>NC_000018.10:13610599-13910649 GCF_000001405.40 Homo sapiens
TTTTAAGAAACAGACAGGTACAGTGGCCTACAGCGCTCCTCACTAAGGCCCTGGCTTGAGGGCAAGCCTATCATGTGACTGAGCCTGACCAGGAAGTGCTGGCCCAGGTGGCAAGGAGCCTCGGGGCTCCAGGGACAAGGGGCGCTGGTAGCCAGGGAGGGGCGGCTTGAAGTGGCTGCAGCTTCTAATTCTTTCTGAAGCTGCCTCTTTCTGAGGGTGACTCCCTCTTCATTCACCCAGCAGGGTGACTCTGAGAAGTCAGGGAAAGTCTGGCACAGGGAGGGGAGTTCCATTTTTAATTCGGAAATTGCTCAGGAAGAATCATACCATCCGGATTTCCCTCGCGGCTGTATATTAATAAATGGTCACTTTCCTTGCTGAAATTCTCTGGTTTCCTTTTATCCACGTGAAGCTTCTGGAAACTCTTCTGGGTGGTTCTTCTGTTGCTTTTCTGCCCCTGCCCCCAAAAATGAGAACATGAGAAAGTGATGTCTTCTAGCCACCTGGAGGACCCTGCGGTGACATCAGGGCCCAGTCCCTGCTGTCATGCCCCAGGTGACGTGCTGGGCTGACAGCAGGGCTGGCCGCTAACGTCACTGTCCTGGCTTCTAACGCTGGTAGTAACCAACAGAGTTTAGTTTTGCTTTGACAACTCCTCCTACAGCCAAAACTATTGTTATGGCCCACATGTCATTCCTATTTACCCTAAATAAGGAAAAACAAAGGCTATTCTGGGCTCCCGGCAGTGCTTGTGGTGGGGGTTATTTGCAGCGTTACCATGGCAGGCTGCCCTTTCCACCACGGCCACCCCGTGATTTTCTCTGAAAACTGCGACAGACTCGCAGCCTGCCCTGAATTTTCTTCACACAGCCTGGGGGCATCCGAATGCACGGGAGATGTTTTACACTCAGATGAAACAAACTGTTTAGACCTCGGGGAAAAGAGACTGTGCTTGAACAAAATGAACCAGGAGAAAGCGCCCTCCTGAGACATGTCTCTGCTTTCATGTTTGAATTGCCTGGGATTCTGTTCTCTAATTTCTGATCCTTATAAACTAAAACTGCCTAGGAACATTGAGCATCCTGACTTTGAAGGAGTCTCTGTGGTGTTTTTGTGCTACCATACATGGGGAATAATGATGTGAGGCAGAGGGAGAGGGAATGAATGGGAGAGCCAAGAGGGAAGAGCGAGCCGGGGGGAAAGGAGCGCGCAGTGTTTCCTGCTGCGGTTAGGACCTCACGCCTTGCCAGTACAGAGCTCGGTGGCAAGAGCCGCTGGGAGCTGCTCCCATCAGTTAGAGGATGTGGAGAGGGAGCACCAGAAGAGGACAGCCCGCAGCCTGGCTCGCAGCCTGAGGGACGCTGTGGGTGCTCCCAGCCGGGCGAGCACGCTCTGGGAGCGGATCTGCAGGGGAGAAGCACGCGAGCCTAACGTGAGCGTCCCGCCTGTCGCGTGTCCTGCCTTGGTAAGCGCCCTCTCCGGTCCTTCCACACTGAAAGCTTCCAGCAGAGATCAAGGGAAGGAGTATTGTGTGAGACTTGCAGATTTCCTCCTTTCTGTCTGGACTGGTTTGATATTTGCCTGTTGAAAAGATTACTGAACGCAGTGTGACAAGATGAGCCGTCTAGCTGCGTTCTGCTTGCCTGTGTGTGTGACACGTCCAGGTGTGAGGCCAAACCTGAGAAGTGCAGACTGCTCACTGATAGACGTTGCTGTAAACAGTAGTGCCCTGGGTGTACAGCTGGTCTCAGGATCGGAGACCCCGGACTTATTCTCTGCTCGGTGACACGGCCGGCTTCCTGCCGCAGAGCTCCTGGTTTCTGTTGATGGCAGTTGATAATTGGTAGCCACAGTCTGCGGTCGGAGCCACAGCATTTGAGTCTAGCACCTGGGGTGGGCCCTGCTGATACAGTAGAGAGAGAGTGAACGAGGCAGACAGAAACACACCCCCCCCCCCTCCACGCTCACACACTCTCCCACACCCCATGCCAGCTATAACTGCAGCTCTGAGCTGCCTGGAGAGGAGATTGCCGGAAGCTGAAGGGATGCTTTGAACGTGGGGGGGCTGCGTCACAGTTGGACTCCCACTTGCAGAGGACCTGATTATGTCCAGTGACCACCTGAACAACAGCACACTGAAGGAGGCTCAGTTCAAAGACCTGTTCTTAAAAAAAGGTACATTTCCCAAGAACTGCTATGGATGATGCATGCTCTTTCGGGTTTGCTGTGGTTCTTCTTGGAGTTTGGTCTGAGGACAGAGCTGAGAAGAGGAGAAGCTCTTTCTCAAGAAGTTTCTTTCTACCTAAGAGGGGTCTGTCAACTCAGAACATTTCCGGGTGGGACTCCCTTTAGGAAGATGCATGTCAGGCTTTTTCATCTTCTTTCAAGCCTGGAATTAGTTTGTTCCTGTTGGAGGTGTTATGCATGAGTACACAGTTTGTTGCTTTGGAGTTTTGTTTTTTTCAAATGTCTGTATATAAGGCTGAGACCTCCCCTGGAAATTCTGCTACTTGTTAATAATTCCTTTTTCTTCACCCTCATGAGCTGAAAACTGCATTTTAAAGAAAAGGTATTTCTCAGGATGTGGCTGGTTCATTGAACACTTTCTTAGGTCATCCATGTAGTGACAGGAGCTATTAGGAAGGAGAACTGTGACTCTGAGAGATAGAGAGCCAAAGAAAGTGAGAGACAGACAGACTGGCTGTGGGATGAGAGCCTCAGAAGCCACCACTCTCCCCTGTGGAAATGAAGGTTCCATTCCATGTGCAGCTGTGTTTTTTTTCTGATGCACTTTCCTAAATTAATAATGTGGAGGTGGAGGTGAGGGTGGATTTTAAATGAATCCTATAGGGGGAATTATGGCTTATGTATGTATTTTTTTCCATTTATAGCATGGCAGAGGGATAGACTTTTAAAAGGTTTATAATTGCTCTTACTCCTCTGCTGATTTTTTAGAAAATCCTGTCAGTCATCTTTGATCAGAACATATTTAGGTAAATTTCTTTCTGAAGAGATCATGAAACTCTAGATTCTAAAATGCGTGGTGAGAAGTAATTGTAGTGGATGAAGGCTTGGGCTTTCATAAAGTGAGGAGATGCCACTCCAGCTGGACGGGCTCGTGGAGTCTGCATTCGAGGGATTCCCTAGTCCGTCCAGTCATCACGGGCTGCTGCCCGCCTGCCCGTGCCGTCCAAGGCACCTGGCCTTGGGCCGGTATCAGGTAGCCGCGCCTGGGTCACACCTGCCCTCCACGTTCATCTCTCCACCTACAGATCATAGGGACCGTTTCCTCATTTTATTGTCATGCAAATGTTGTACATAAATACATGGCTATAAACAGGCAGCTCAGAGTAACCAGGAGGCTCTTTTCTCAGTGACAGATCACACCCTCTTAGAGTAGTAATTTTTGAATAATTGTTGCAAAATATGAAAACCTTTAGCAAAACTCCAGCACCACTGAAGTCATCAGGAAGTGTTTGGGAGAATACGTGTCTGTGCTGGATGCTGTTGAAGCAGGTCAGGCCGTTGGGGTCCCTTCGTTCTTAGGGCTTCTCCACCAGCTTCTAAATGGGGAATGCCAACTTTGTGCCAGGCACACACTACCTGCTGAGACACTGTGGATGAACAAGGCGTTGACCCAGGGCTCACTCTGTAGAGGAAGAAGACCAGAGAATGGATACCACCAAGACAGTGATAAGTGCTGCAACAGGGTTCAGAGCTGCACAGGAAGTCCCCAAAGGTAGTGAACCCATCATCGGGGCTTAGGAAAGAGCTTTTAAAGGAAGATAAAGCCAGCAGGTGACGCCAAAAACTGGGTATTTCTGTAGGGTAGCTTTTTTCCCTTTCGTTCTACTTGTTGTACTATACAGTAGAGTAGCCAACCCACCTCCAAGGAAAATAAAATTCAAAATATATAATGTAATCAGTATGATGATAGCTCTTATTGTTTTGCTTCTGTACTTCAAGCTGTGAAGTCATTCTTGTAACACAGGCTGAATTTTCCCCCTCAACCATGGTGTTTAATGAGTGTGAATCTTCATTCAACCATTAAAATCTCCAAGAGTATTTTTATACTAACAGTTCACAAACTTGAGGCAATTATAGTCTAAGTAGATTCCAACTCCTGCCCCCACCCGTCTTCCTGCCACCACCGCCGCCCGGTCTCTGGAGGATCTTGGAAAGAATTTACCAGCCTTTAGGAACATTCAGCACTTTAAAAGTGTCACAGAGCCATAAATAAAGAGTAAGACACCCCTAAGACTGTCATCTCATCACCACACCCGTCTCTGCTGAGGAGGACAGAGACAGGAAGGAAATGCGACAAGTTCACTGTGCAGTAGCCAAGCAGGCCCAGCCAACATGTGGGAGGGTGGGTGTCTGTCCCAGCGGTGGGGCAGGAGGCGTGCAGGGGAAGGGGCTGCCTGGAGGTAAGGCTCTGCGGTCAGCCAGCCCTGGGTTTGGTGCTCCAGGAAAGGCCAGCACGTAGGGGAGTGAGGTGGGGTGCTGCTGTTGGTAGGGTAGGAAGTGACCTCGCAGGGTGGGGCCAGGGCTTCGTGGCCAGTGGGCGGCCATTTCTGTGACATTGCAATGTTCTGCGTGGATCGTTTTCTGGATTCCTGCCAAGGTGTTTACTTGGCCTGGGGAAAGAGAGGAACGCATGAGGGGCCCAGACCTTGCCCCCTGACCCATGATAGGGTCTTTGAGGGCATACATAACACATCTGGAGCTTAAAAAGAATTAAACTGTAGAAATAAGACTTCAGTGAAGGATAATATATTAGTGGAGGAAAGACCAAATGGAAGATGGTGTTAACCATCCCACAAATAGAAATGAGTGTTATATTAGGAGCCTAAGGTGGGACAACCACACTTCCCCAGAGCTCTTTAAAAATAGCGCAGACACTCATGCCTCTAGTATGATTCAGTTCAGCTCCTCATTGAACCAGGGAAGAGACCGACAGACTTCACACCACTTCTTCTGTTCCTGTAATTCTCCACTGTGCAGCTTGGGATTTCCTGGAGATGTTTCCATAAAAATAGAGAGATGCCATCATCACTGTCGTCACTGTCACTGCTGTACAATAATAAAAGAAGGTGCTAGGATGCCTTCCTGTAAGTTTTAGACTAGATGTATTAAAAAGTATCCGGTATTTCCATTGCAGTGACTCATCTGTTACAGCATCATGAACTACAGCGCCGTAGAAGGGGGATGTGAACGTTTGACTTTGGCCTCAACTTCTTTCCTTGCGTGCCCTGCTTTCTAGCACTCTTCTGTGGACATCTGTTACTGTTGAACAAGGAAACTCAACCAGTGGTCTGTGTTCAGAATCCGTGTTAGGCGTGTAGCATCTTGGAAGCCCCAAAGCATCCTATTAATTTTCTAAGAATGCTACTATTCCTGCGGGTTTTA
Source organism: Homo sapiens (assembly GCF_000001405.40). NCBI lineage: Eukaryota > Metazoa > Chordata > Mammalia > Primates > Hominidae > Homo > Homo sapiens. Next base: position 13,616,009 of record NC_000018.10, read on the forward strand.
TTTTTCTAAACTTTCTGTTTTAACAGTTCTTCCAGAATTCATTTTCTTCTTAGCCTCCCCTTTCCAGCCCACTCCTCCCCAACCCCTAAAAACGAAACCCAAACCCCAGGTGTCTTTCCTTTCTGTGGATGCTGGGCTCCACGCACCACAGCCACCTCCCTGCCCTGCCACGTGAAAACAGGCTGTGGGTGTTTAGTGGAATTCTCCTGTTTAAAATGACTGAGAGGGTGTGGGAGGACAGGTGGGGGGGGGGGGGTTGCCACACACCCCCTCGTGAGCTTGAAAGGGGGTCATGGAGGGAGAGGGCATCTCAATGCAGGGCTCAGGGTCTGGGAATCCTCACACACGTTTCCAAGAACCTGTTGACTGCAGTTTTCACTTTGAGGATCTCCTGGGCCCTGCCTGGGGAGGCTTTGTGGCCCTGAAGAGAGTACAATGCTCATCTTTTCTGTTGCTAGTGTTCTGGCTCCTGTGACTTAAAGACGAGAAGGAGGTCTGTTTCCACTGATGGGTTTTGCCCAGAGTCCCCAGAGCAAGGCTCTGCCGCGTGTGTGGGCCCCGCACCAGACCCTGACGCCCTCAGGGGAGGGCTTCGGGAGCACCCACCGGCCACCGTCACCTGCAGCCAGGGACCAAGCTGCTGCAGTGAGATGACCAGGCTGTGAGGATGGTGGTCTCTGGGACCCAGGTATCCCTGGGTCTTTGTTGCCTGCAGGAAGAGCTGCCTCCTGTGCCCAGGGCTGAGTGCCTTCATGGCTCAGGCCTCATCAGGCTGCCGCCACCCCAGGGCACCCCACGGGGCCACTCGATTCGGTTTGCAGGCTCCTGAGGACAGTGTTCCTGCTCCCACAGCCTCTGAGCATGCCCATGAACTTGACCTGCCCCAGGCACCATGCCACTAGGGTGCCCGTGAACCCCCAGGGCCGACGCTCATCCATGTGCTGTAGATGCACCTGCCACGGCTGGGCATGACTCATATTTGGAGCCTCAGGGCAACAGCATGGTGCAGGTGTCCCAGCAGGGCAGGGCGGTACCTGTGTGTGGCAGGTTTATAAGAAAGCAGTCCCCTTAAAAAGAAAGATGGTGGGGCCTTTACTTTTTTTTTTTTTTTAAGAGACAGGGTCTCGCTATATTGCCCAGGCTGATCTTGAACTCCTGGTCTTAAACAATTCCCCCGTCTTGGTCTCCCAAAGTGCTGAGATTCCAGGCACGCCTGGCCTGGAGTTTAGTTTTACAGAGAGTAATTCCATGCACTGTTTCATACAACTGAGATCTTTCTTATCCTTGCCTGAATTTTAAAATCAGATATATTAGCTCAGAAGATGCACACCTTTCAGTCAATATCACATGTTCCATGTGCTGTGTCAGACCAAAAGAGGAATAAAATCCAGAGCAAATAAAGATCTAACATAAAATTCAAACTCCAAAAATCTTAGGAAAAAAATATGTTTAGAATATTAAAGAGGACCTTCCCAATCAAACAGGATGTTTAGAGGCCATAAAGGAAAAAGAGAGTATTTGATGGCATAAAAGTTTATAGCATCTATAGAGAAACTCATGGTGAAGTTTCAAGAAATGACTGGCTAGGGGAAATAGTTGCAACATGTAACAGACAAAGATGTGTAACCATAATATGTAAAGATTTCATATAAATACATAAGAAATAAATGAGAAAACTATAAATACACCAATATGATTATGAAAAAGAGAAACACAAATTACCATAACCATAGGGAAAGATCTGAAATTACCAGTAATTGGAGAAATACAAATTAAAATGAGATACATATTTTTGCCATCAGATTGTCACCAGTTAAAAGGGCGAGTCTCCAGGGTGAATGAGGGCATGGGGAACATGCCTTCTTCCTGGGACAGCCTAAACGAATGCAGCCTTTACAAAAGGCAGGTTCTCAGTAGCCATGAGGATGAAAAGTGATTATGCCCTGGGTCCAGAAATGTCACTTTTAGGAGTCTTTCCTACAAGTATACTGACAAACGTGTGCCAGCCACACACTTGCACATATACACATGCAATTTTGTGGTCATAAGAGAAAAAAGAAAAAAAGCAAGCCACCTGAACAGCCACCAGCTGGAGAAGGCAAATGCCAGTATGTTTGTACTCTGTAACAGACAGGCCAGTGCACGTGTGTTCTTGTTTAAAGAGGTCTGTGATGTATTAAGTGAAAAGACACAAACAAGATATTTGCACATCGATTCCAATAACTGAAAAAAGGAAAGGCTTTATTTTGTAGCAAACACACACACATGCAACGGAGGCCTGGGCTTTCCCCCGGGACGGAGTGGGGCTTGGTGGAGTCAGGGGCGCTGTGGGTTGGGATGGGAGACTTTACACTGCACTGTTTCCTTCTATATGATTTAAATTTTCAAGAAGTTTTCATTATTTTTATAATAAAAATCCTTTTCAAATGAAACACAAATATGTAAAAAATGCCCAGAGACTTGTGAAAACATAATTTGATTTGCTTTGCTGCAAATGCTTGTCTGCATAGCTTTCCATAGTCAAGAACAGATGACCTAGAAAGGTGTCCTCCAAGGGAAGAGTTGATTCATTGCAGGACTTTGTGCTGATCCTTCCCTGTCACCATGATTTTCCTCTATATCCATGTCCATAAAGCAGTGAAGTTCTCTTGTAAAGAAAACATTTGGAAATCCTAGGGCATGCTTTAATTTGTGAATACTCCGCTATTTAACCACAAAATAAAAACAAGCATTGGTAAAAGAAGGCATTATTCAGGTCACAATAGAAATGTGACCTTATTTCTGCTCACAGGCCATGGGAAGTATGACATGCTTGTTTACCTAGGAACACAGTCTTCGACTTCGGGGTTCAGCCCTCACCACTGTGTTCACTGCCTTTGTCCTGAGCGGAGTCTCTCTGCTTCCTTTCATGCTTATCCCTGGGCTGGTGGCTGACCCCTGCACAGACCCTCAGGGCTGCTGGAGGCGCACTCGGGCACTCTGCAGCCAGTGCAGCCTTATCCTGTTGGCAGTGGCTGTCCTCACAGAGAACACACCCATGCAGCTGGGCAGAGCCCACCGGGGCCACACATCCCAGCCCCTTCTCTCAGCCTGGGGGTGCTGAGTCGCTCATCAATTCACCTTGTACCAGTTAAGCCACTTAGCTGCCTCCCGTGTCAAGAGGGGCAAAGTAGGGGCTCCGGACTCAGCCTGGGAGACGTCACATGGTGTGTGGGGGTAGGGTCCTGAGAAACACAGGGTCAAGGCCAGAGTGTCCCAGACACAGGAAGGTTATGTGCAGGGGCAGAGTCGAAGACTGTGTTCCTAGGTAAACAAGCGTGTCATACTTCCCATGGCCTGTGAGCAGAAATAAGGCCACTTTTCTATTGGAACCCAATTGCAAAGGGCCCAAGCCCCTGCTCGAAGACTCAGAGCAATTTCAGTCTTTTCCAGGAAGCCCCCAACATGAAAATTGTTGATAAGCCCTGGGGAGCGTTTTTGTGTGTGTGTGGGTGGGGGGGTGGGGCCGGGGGGGGGCGGGGGTGGCACATATAAGTGTGGCAGCTCCAATGGACATTTCCTCCCCATAGGAAGTAGACACTCAAACCCCAAGGCTGGGCCGGGCACCAGGCCCCTAGAGTCCCTGCCACTTAGCGGACAGGCCACGGGGAACCCAAGAGCAACAGCACCCCCTTGGCTGGGGCGGGGCCGGCAGGCCTCACTGACTGCCAGCTTCGGGAGCTGCTCAGGGCATGGCCTCTGAGCCTCTGAGCATGGCTTTGTCCGTGTCCACAGGGAACAGTGATGTTCCCACCAGCCTGGCCTCTCCCTGCCTGCGGGGGCAGGGGGCCCTTGGCAGGTCCACCTGCTCTCTGCACAGCTCAGCCACCAGCCTCCTACACAGTCTGCTCTTCATTCTCAAGACACCAGCGCCTCTCCTATAGGCCCCAGTGTCCCACTGCCCTCCACTCCCACCCTCAGTCCCTAGGGTGTGGGGGTCTGAGGGTGGAAGTGGAGGGCCGTGCTGAAGGGTAGGACATGTGGGGATCCAGAGAACCCCTCGTCCAGCCTCACCCTCGGTTCCCAGGGTGTGGGCAGCAGACGCACACAGTCGTAGCCACTGGGGAGGCACCACCTGATCTCTGCCTGCATCGCCCCACGTATGAGCGGATACACTTGACAGATATGCCTCCCCACTGGCCGGGGCCTGAGCCCTGCTGCGGCACATGTACGTGCATGCATGTGTGTGCATGTGTGCTGTGAGCCCAGGGCAGCACAGTTGATGGCTTCTCTCTTCTTACTCCTGCCTCCCCCAGATTCCTGCACTGTCTTCCTCTTAGCATCCCCGAGCCCCTTGCTCTGAATTTACATCACTGCACGGTCAGTCACTTCCTTCCAGCACGGGGGACAAGGAGTGAAGCAGGCAGCAGAGCCATGGGCTGGAAGAGGGGAGCAGAAAGTGGCTCCAGGCCGCCCGTGAGCCCTCGACCTGCTTCCTCTCCCAAAACGGGGGTCTGGCTCACCTGCTTCCAGCTGCCGGCCCAATGTGCTGTGACTGGAAGTCACTCTGTGTTGCTGGACTCACATGTGAAGTGTGTGTCAATGGCATTTAAGGAATCTTTGGGGTGGTGGTGTCAGAAACCCAGGGGAGACCTGACCACTCCTAAAGTGCTGTGCCTGAAGGCCTGGAAACAATGTGGATGTTTCCTAACTCACCTGCAGAGCCACAGCCTTGGAGGCAAGGGGCTGAAGTTGATTTTTCCTTTCAAGTATGGGTCCCTAGGGGAATTGCTTTGAGAAACTCCACTCAACCATAAAGACGGGTTTAACTTTTCTAGAGCGGTGACATTGGAGAAATAGCTTCAGTTTGTGGAGACGTTCTCAGCTCCCTGTGGTGGGGGATGGCAGAGGCTTCCCGCTCCCCGCAGCTGGTTTGCACAGCCTCCCGACTGTGCCGTGGTGTCTCCTTCCCTAAAGTGGGACAGTCGTTTCTGTGTCCTGCTGGCCTCTGAGGAACAGACGTGTGTGAGAGGCCTTCAGGGCCTGATGGCTGGGGTGGTGACAGTGCCTGGAGAATGGGTGGGGACTGGAGGGGCCAGGTGGCTAACCACTCTCCTCTTCCATGGCAGCGGAGCTGGAGTTCGCCCAAATCATCATCATCGTCGTGGTGGTCACGGTGATGGTGGTGGTCATCGTCTGCCTGCTGAACCACTACAAAGTCTCCACGCGGTCCTTCATCAACCGCCCGAACCAGAGCCGGAGGCGGGAGGACGGGCTGCCGCAGGTGAGTACCCTGGCCGCCCCGGCTCCAGAGTCAGGCAGCTGCAAGAGGCTTAGGAGCCCATCAGGGTTCAGAGGCCGGGAGTGCTTTCAGTTGACATGTAACAAACGGGGCGAAGCGCACCTCGTAAGTGTTCCACTTAGTGAGTCCCCACAAACTGAACACACCAGTGTGACCAGCACCCAGTGAACATACAGACACAGCAGTCCCCCCAGAAGCCTGCGTGACCCCTCCCAGGTCTCCCCTGGATCTTTGCTGCCCGACGTGGCTTTGCCAGCTTCTGAGCTGTGCACGAACGGGACCGGCCCTGGGTGGTCCCTCGTGCCTGGCTCCTCTGGCTTGGCAGTGCACTTGTGAGATTCATTGTGTTGTAAAATCCTGTCCTGAGCTGGGTCCTGGAGGTGCTGCGGGGACAAATCACGCGCTCATCGTCACTAAACGTGCCGGCAGCACATGGGTGCCATGAGCTGGAGGACGCCTGGAGCTTAAGGCCTCGGGAGCTTCCTGGGGATCGGCGGTGGGGTTGTTGGCGGTGGGCTTGTCAGCGGTGGGCTTGTCGGCGGTAGGGTTGTCGGCGGTGGGTTGTGGAGGGTGGGGTTGTGGAGGGTGGGGTTGTCGGCGGTGGACCCTCAAGCCAAACTGCACTATGATCAAACTTGAGAGACCAGGGGCTGCTGTCCCAAGCCTGTTTTACAGGCTGTGGTTTTGATGGCTTCCAGCCAGAGGGTTAGGAGCGGTGAGTTCAGCGAGCGTATAAATCCTTGGCTTCCGTGATGGGCAGCGAGGCCGAGTCTCCACAGTGTGGAGCCCTGCGGTATGCTGAGCACAGGAGCCGGTCCTTACGGAGCATCCCTCTTCAGGAACAGGGCTGTGCAGTTCCGGCTCCCACCCTGACTTACAGAGCCTGTCCAGGGTATGGGGTGCAGCTGTCCAGGTGGGTTTCCTGGGGTGGCCGCTGGCCCTGGGACCCCTCTCAGGAGTGCAGGCTCACACTTCACTAGGATCATTGGTGCAGCCATCCATATGGGCAGAGCTGAGGTTTGCTGTCTGCTCTGCAGCTCCTGCAGGTAGTGGGGAGAAGGAAGGGGTGGGTGCTACCGAGTGCTATCTTCAGACCATGGTGAGGGCTAGACGGGGCAGCCTCGGGGAGGAGATGGGATGCCAGGGGAAGACGTGCACCCTTGACAGCCGTTTCCTCCTCTTGCCCCCTGCATCCTCTCTTGCCCCTTCTGTCCTCTCTCTGGATGCCCAGTTCAGTCCACAAGCCCCTCTGGCCCTGTTGTGTTACTTTCCTCGAGCCTCCACAGCATCCTGGGGTCCTTTGTCTGGTGTCCACAGAGCTGCGCCATCCAGACGCACTGAACACTTTGGCATCCTGATGCCTGTAGATTGTTGGACAGAGGGAGGACTAATTCTTCTGAAGTTCTAAACACACAGTGTATGGGATTCACCTGTGTTTTGAGAGAGGACAGGGAGAAAATCTCATCACAGCAGCAGTTTCAGAACCGCAGAAGGCTCAGACATCGCTGCTTTGCCTTAATGTATTACGGGCTGTGAACGCCACCCCTGGACTTGGTGGAAACAAGCACAGCCTTCCTTGGCCTTCTCTCCAGGAGCTCCAGAACGCTTGGGGTCTCTGTGCGCAGGCACACAGGGAGTTTTCTGTCCCCTGCCTGGGCGCTCCCCAGTCTTCCTCCCAGACTTGCCCTGGTGTTGGCTTCTCTCTCCCTAGTGTGGGTCAGGCAGCTCCTTGCTCTGTTCCTGGTGCAGACCCAGCCCCGCTTGCTGTCCCTGTTCATAGCACCTTGTGTCCTGAACACCAGCACACTGGCCACACCCTTACCAACCAAGAGGCCCAGCAGAAAAGCAAAAAGTGTCAAAAAAGTGTCTTCTGTGTCATGTGGCGGCAGATTTGTGTGATGCCCTTTCCCGGGAAGCGCTGGCTGCCCCACCTGCAGAGCCTCCCTTCCCTGAAATCAGGAAGGTGACAGAGCGATGTTCAGAGGTCCCTTCAGGGCTGCACACTGCGTGGCAGGTGAAGACATTCGGCAGCCAGTGAATTGTGTCCACACAGTGGTCCACATCCCTGTCTGGGCCTCGTTTTGTTAATGTGCACATACAGTGTTCCCCCTGAGAGCTCCGTTCTGGAGCTGAGCTGGGGCTTGCAGAGATCCGGCTGCACCGAGCTATTTCTCCTTTTTTTCTGAGTAACCTGGAACTGGGAGCTGTCCCTCCTCGAGGTGTGGCTGTTCCTCCTACGGCTTCAGCGTAGCTTAGCAAAGGACTCTGTGTGATGTTTCATAAAACACAAGATGCATTCCAGCACGATGACCAGAGGCAGCTCGGCCCAGGCCCTTGCTCCACTTCCCGATCTGGTGTATTAGCCCAGTTGATGGTTCCCCAAAAGAGAAAAGAGTGGCAGCTGATGAGGAAGAAACCTCCATTCTCTCCTGGACACAGACTCAGGCCTTGCTAATACTATGGGTGTGGCCATGCTATCCATTTCCCTCTCTCTGCCCTGAGGGTCCCCTAACCCAGGTCCTCTCCACCCAGGAATGCCCCCACGCAGCCAGGCTTCCTGCCTCCTAATTCCCTACTTCTAACTTCTTTTAAGAAATGCCTGTTCCCCGTATACAGTATTAGGGGAGCGATCTGATTCATTTACACTCAGCTCAGGAGTCTCGATCAGGGCTGATTCTGCCAAATGTCTAGGGGACATTTGCAGTGTCTGGCATCATAAGGGGGAATCCTACAATGTGTCCTACAGTACGCGGGCGGCCCTGCAACAAAGACTCATCTGTACAGTGCGTCCTACAGTGCACAGGCAGTCCCGCAACAAAGACTCATCTGAGTGGATGTGAGCGGTGCTGAGGCGGAGGAGCCGGCCCCACCAGGTGCTGAGCACTGCCGGACCCACCAGGTGCTGAGCACTGCCGGACCCAGGGGCACTTCACTGTAAAAGAGGCTGCCTGTTACCATGAGGGGGTCTCTCTAGGCTGGCTCTGAGGCATCCACAGAGCGGAGAGCTCTTCCCAGCAGTACGAGTTTGGGGTCTGGTCTGGGACTCTGCCTTGGGAACAGTTTCCCCAGTGACTCCTGCCTCCTCTGCTCATCCAGCCATTCAGTGGACACTCCGCAGGAGCCAGGCACTGAGTAGGAGGGGGAAACAGTGGCCATGCCCCGCCTCCGCCACCAGCAGCACCTGCAGTCCCCTGGCGGAGGCCAAGACCCCGCTGCCATTCTCTCCATCTTCCTAGGGGAGGCTAGGGGTCTGGCTGGCCGATTGTGCCTTTGGGATGGGGGAGTGTCAGGCGTGGGAGCTGTAGGAGGTGTTTGGGGCAGGTATGAGGACCTGTGTCTCCTCCGTCCCCATGCCTGGCCTGGCCCATGTGCAGTTGGCGAGGGCAGTTCCAAGTTCCCCGCCTTCCCCATCCCTAGGTGACCACCTGTGTCAGGAAGCCCCCTCCCAAGGGGCTTGGAAGGGGCTGGGAAGGCACGGCTGGCTGGTCAGCATGGCAGGGAGGGCCCTGTGCCCCCTGGCAGAGCCTGGCAGTCCTCTGTCTCCTGGGCTCCCTGTGCTGCTGTGCAGGCCTGTGCTCCAGGGCAAGGCGGCTGGGGAGGATGAGTGTGTCTGGGCAGATGCTGCCATCCTCATGGCTTCTTTCCAGTTATCAGGGCCCCTGCAAGCCCCTAAGCACCTCTTCCTTTCTCAGCACCAATGTCCGAGGCCTTTCTCCTGCAGCACCCGAGGCCCTGGGAGTCCAGGCCCTGGCGGCGGCTCAGCACCCTCCAGTCAGCAGCTGGGGTTGGATGCTCCTCCTGTCCCCTCTGTGGAGCGCAGCCTCATTAGGAGCCTGTGCATTGTTGGGGAGCCTCCTGTGAGGGCCTGTTTGTAGAGACCCACCCCAGGGCTCCATGAGCACATTAGAAAATGATGTTCTATTTAAACCTGGTGTGAGAAGTGCTGGGCATTGAATTAACCAACTTCTAGGTGATTAGGCTTCACACTCTGATTAAACTTACTGTTACGTCTTTCTGCTGGAAGCCTGGAGAGTGGAGGTGGAAACATAGCTTGGGGCAATAGGATGGGAGTGAGTTTTGGTTTGGAGGAGGAGGATGAGCAGGCCAGCAGCCTTACTTGGCTGAGGAAGCTTCCCGCCCTGCTATGAGCGGCCCCTCGCCTCCTCTACAGGTTTTCCACTTTGACCACAAGGAAGGGCCAGACCAAGCTTAACCAGACAGCATCACTGTGGCCCTGGCTTCTCTGCTTCTTGCGGAGAGTCCCGTTCTGAGAAGTGGTGACTGCCCCGCTGCCTTCTCTGGCCCCTTCCTGAGGGAGTGCCCAGCTCAGCCAGTTCTGGTCCCTGTCCCATAGGGTGTGCTCCTGTGCAGGTGCAGGTGAGGAGCCGCAGCCGGCGCCCTCCTCCCCCCGCCAGAGGCCTCCTCCCCCTGCCAGCACCCTCCTCCCCCCACCAGAGCCCTCCTCCCCCTGCCACCACCCTCCTCCCCCCGCCAGCACCCTCCTCCCCTCAGCCGGCGCCCTCCTCCCCCCGCCAGAGCCCTCCTCCCCCCACCAGAGCCCTCCTCCCTCCACCAGCAACCTCCTCCCCTCTACCAGCATCCTCCTGACACTGGCACCTTCCTCCCATGTCCCTTGGCCTGGGACAGTGCATGCTGCATGAACGTGATGGGTGTCCCAAAGCCAGTCAACCTTTGTCGCCATGCGGTAGACACTGTGTGTCCCAGGGGGGCCCAAGGAATGGATGTTACTGGGCCTGAATGTGGTGGAAGTAGTGATTTCTGGATGAAAATGAAAACTAGCAACTCAGGTGTGAATTACATCACAGACAAAGCAAATGCTTACATCATAGCAGATAGCAGCGGCGGGTCCGGATCTGCATCCTTGTGCATTCTTGCTGAGGTAGCCTGAGCTTGGTTTCTTTGGAGCCTGGTTTGTGTGACTTCTGAGCATTGAGACTGTCTAGATTTCTTTTCATTATCTTAGACCATTCAGTAATGGGAAAGCAGTAAAGGGGCATGAATATTCTAGACACAGCCCGGAGAGCTATTTGAACAAGTTGCTGGAACATTTCTTGCTGGAGCTGAGGGAGCCCAGGTGACCTTTTCTGACTGCCAGCAGCCTGGCCCAGAGGGTCCAGCCTGGCCTGTGTGGACAGCCCAGGGGTAGGGGATGGCATGCAGGCAGAAGGGTCTGGCCATCAGCGGATGGAGGGAGAGGCAGGAGAGGGACAGGGACCTTTACCCAGATTGAAGCATATGAAATTGTTAACATTCAGCCATTTTGACCTATAGAAACAGCAATTTCAATTTAAAAAATTAACAAAAGGAATCACATCACACATCTCTTCATTATCAACTCCTACAGGGATTAAATCGATTGTGAAAATCCAGGTGCCCATTCTTCATAGCCAGGAGGAGCAGCCAGGCCCCACCCAGCACAGCTGGGCTCCTCCAGCTCCCTGGGGTTGACACTGGGAGGGGCCCTGGCTGTTGCGGAGGAGGACAAGCACTTGGTGGCTGTCAGCCCTCTTGATGCAGAAACTCATGCTCCTCAGATCCACAGTGCCCTGACATGGGGTGAGCTCTCCCCACAAGTCCCTCTCTGCAGAAGCCACAGAGTTAGCCTAGAGCATGGCTGTGTACCTGGTTTGCCCCACAGGGTGTTCGAACCTAAGTTGATCTAGCTTTTAAAAATTGGGGCTGGGTGCGGTGGCTCACGCCTATAATCTCAGCACTTTGGGAGGCCGAGGTGGGCAGATCACTTGAGGTCAGGAGTTTGAGACCAGCCCAGCCAACATGGTGAAACCTTGTCTCTACTCAAAAATACAAAAGTTAGCCAGGTGTGGTGGCACGTGCCTGTAATCCCAGCTACTTGGGAGGCTGAAGCAAGAGAATCTGGAGGCAGAGGTTGCAGTGAGCTGAGATCACGCCATTGCACTCCAGCCTGGCCGACAGAGGGAGACGCCATCTCAAAAATAAAAAAATAAAAAATAAAAATTGTGAGATTTCACATGAAAATTGGAGTTTCCATCTTCTCTTGAAAAAGCAGCCTATGGGGCCACACCCTGAGGCTGGGGCTGTGAGGTGGCTGCCATGGAGTGGGCCTGTGCTGCCCGGGCTGTCACCTGTCTCTCGCTGGGGACCCTTCAGTGCCGGGCAGCAGCATTGCCATCTGTGGGTTTGCACGTGGGGGTTGTTTTTCAGAGAAAATTTTCTTCTGCACTCAGGCTTCTATTGCAAGGCTGAAGACCAAGATAGACTGAGAGGGCCACTGGTTCCCAGAAAAATGGGTGAGAAGGTCCTTGTGGAAGTAAATACTGTTCCTGCCTGGTTAGGAGTTGAGACACGTGTCTGGGTCAACAGTGCTGTGCGTGTCCTGTGCCCAGCCTGACATGGTCACTCGTGGCCACTGCTGTCCAGTCATCTCCCCAGGCAAGGCCCTCCTCTGTGACTAAAGCTTATAGCCAGAGGGACAGAGGTGGCCATGGGCTCCCCGCTCTCTGAGGCTCGGCCCTGCACCAGCAGCCTCTCTGCTGGCCTTGGGAGCAGCGGTGGCCAGAGGGCAGACGGTCCTGGGCAGGTGTCTGACAGCCAGGAGCCCGCTGTGCTGGGGCTCAGAACTCACAGTGAGGGGACCTCTGGGTGTGCCATATGTGACGAGTGCCTTTCTCTACCTGGGCAGTGTCCCTCTACCCTCCCCTGCAGATAGAGGCTCTGAGGTGGGCCCCAGGCTCAGGGGTGTTTGAGAAACCCACAGGCAGTGTCCTGGGATCCCTCGGAGGGCACAGGGAGCAGGGGTTTCAGCGCCACACTGTTCATTCCCACTGCGGCTGGAGCGCTGGCTCGCTGTGCCCTGCTGCTCTCACTCCTGCCCACCTCATACGTTTAGAAAAGCATGTGGAAAACGATGGAAAGGAATGATTTTCAGTAAGGCTTGAAGGAGTGGACTAAAGGGCTTACTGATGCAGTTGTACTCGGTCTGCCTCTGACACTCCAGACTAAAGAAAAGAGCCACAGGCTTCCTCTGGCATCATTGTGGGGATGAACCGCAGGGGACCGTTTCCCTGCAGGCAAGGCAGACCCTGCTGCACCACAGACCAGATGTGTGTGTTTGTCGGTTGTCCAGTGACAGCTCTCCGTTACTGCATTTCACGGAAACTGCATTTCCAAGAGCTTAGGGTCCGGCGGGTTGGCCGCAGCATGTCTGTCTGAGTGAGCAAGGACTTCCAATTATCAGGCTGCCCAGGTGGTCATTTGAAAGGTTTTGCCCTTTGCTATGTCTAATTGAAGCATTAGAGGATAGACAATTTCACATCACCTCAAAATGAGAACATCTCCCTTCAATTAAGGGAAACAGGAGGCCAAGCGGCCCGGCAGAAACTGCATAAGGATGCTGGACCCCAGCTGCACGCAGATTCCCACCTGAACCACAGTGGGCAGAGCTTTGGAAGAGTCAATGCTTATCTTTAAAGTGACAGTGTCTCAAATAGTCCTTCTACTGATGTTGGCACTGCTCAGAATGTTTGGGAATTACCTTCAGGTTTTGGGGTTATTTTTAAGTGACAAGATCTCACTTTGTTGCGCAGGCTGGAGTATAGTGGCATGATCATAACTCACTGCAGCCTCGAACATTTAGGCTCAACTGATCCCCCTGCCTCAGCCTCCTGCGTAGCTGTGACTATAGGCACGCGCAACCATGCCTGGCTAATTTTTAAATTTTTTGTAGAGACAAGATCTCACTGTGTTGCCCAGGCTGGTCTTGAACTCCTTGCCTCAAACGATCTTCCCACTTCAGCCTCCCAAAGTGCTAGGATTACAGGCCTGAGCCACTGCACCTGACTGGGTTGTTTTTATTTGTTTGTTTGTTTTTTTAATCAAGGGAAATTTTTTAAAAGCTTCTCCACAATGGCAAATCTTCCTTTGCAAAGAGCAAATAGTTTTGCTCTTGGGGATAGATTTGATTTTTGGTACCAGCCAAAATCCATTTAGAGTTAAGTCTTGTTCATTATATGGGTGATCAAACCAAATGATACAATTTTGGTGCAAAGGCAAGCACGACTCAATTAGTGAGACTGACGTCCGAGTTACAAACTGATCTGTAGAGAAAGGTCAGGAAGGACCCACAGCAAACTGACAGCTGTGCCTGGGAAGGAAGTAAGGACAAAGGAACACTGATCTGTGCAGTAAAACTTTTATGGTAAGAATGTATTCATGTATTACCTTTGCAATTACAAAACATCCTCTGATCATGTAAACTGATGCTAAAGGCAGTAATGTTCTGGGCATCTATAGACTCCCAGAGTAATTCATTTGAACATGGTTTCTATGGTGGCTAAAATAATAATTTTAAATAAAATGTATGAACATTTTTATCAACAAATTTATAGTAATCTTTTAAATATATAAGGTATTAGCATTAATAATCTAATAGTAAAATCTGTTGGTTTATTTTTTGCTTAGTCCTTGAAAGTTGGTGTGGTTTGTTCTGAAAAAAAAAAAGAGAAGAAGATTAAAAATTATCTTAATGATCATAACTCTGGGTGGCCCCTGTTGGGGAGGCTCACCAGGCTGGGGTCTGGCTCTTGGCAAAGCCCCAGCAGCTCTGTGACCTTGGGTGAAGGTCACAGAAAATCCCCTCTGAGCTCTGACTTCTTCTCACATGTGAGACGAGGCAACTGGTGCTGAAATCAGGATGATGCCTGCCTGGATCTTGTGTGGTTCCACATTTTCCTGCTGCCTGGAACTTTCTCATTCCCAGGCTGATTCCTCTTGAAGTCCGATTGCTCACTAACCCCAGCACCAAGCTGGGAGAGGCACCTCATATTGCTTTTCCCCGCTAGCCCATTGCATTGTCCCAGAAATAGAAAGGATTCCCTTCCTTTTCTTCCAGCAGACCTTCCTAGATGATTTGTCTTTTCTCTTAAGGGACGTGCCCTAGATTGAGCAGAGTTGGGGGATCTTGAATCTGAGAAGTCTGATGATGGATTCCCCAGGAGGAAGAAAGGGGGAGGTGCAGTCTCTGACAGCCAGGGGTACTGGCCTCACATCCAGGCTGTGACTGCCATCTAGAGTGGAAAGGACGGTAGTGATAAAATATCAGGATGGTGGAGAGGCTGCATGAAAAAAGGGAGAAAACAGGGAAAATTGATTTTATCAGAAGGCAAAGGTGTTGCTGAATATCCAAAGATCAATTTCACCTCTTCTTTGAAATTCTCACTGTGGAACAGGGGAAAAATAGATTTCCAACTATTTGAGGCCATAAAATACATTCATTCACTGGGAGGTTAGCCCTTGGGTAGAATCAGAATACCCAGCAGTAGTCTTGCTTTACCGCAGACTGACCGAGGTGCCTAGAGAGGAATATGCCCTCTGTCCTCAGTTTCCCCCCATCTAAAATGAGGGATAACTGGCTTCATTCGGAGGCCTTCAATCTGTATCTTGCCATGAAGAACAGTAAGAAATACATTTTATATCACAACACAAAAGCCTCCTATAATGCAATTAAGGCAGAGGTTTTACAAAACAATACTTACAGTGTGCTCAGATCATTTCTGTTCTGTTTCAGTTTTTGGAATGCTGGCTGTGACCCACTTAAATGGATTTTCCAGCTCTCTAAGAGGCTGCAAAGCACATGGTGGAAAACACTGTGTTCAGTGCTCTCCCTGGTTGTTTCCAGTCCCCACATCTGATCATTCCTGGGGTCCTCTGTGTGTGTGTGGAAAGGAGAGTGTAGCTGAGAGCATAAGCCCAGCAGGGTTCGGGCGTGGTGTGGCCTTGCACACGTGGACGCATGGCAGCAGGCGACAGCCCATGGTGCAGCACAAGGGAACCCTCAGTAAGTCATGGCTGCAGACGACTGTCCTTTAATAATATGAGATGTACTGGTTGGAAGAAAAATGATCCAATAAATACAGAAATGAAAAGGATTATAAAATAGTGCTACGAACAATTGTATGCAAACCAATTGGATAACCTAGATGAAATGAAAAGATATTAGAAACAGCCTACCAAGACTGAATCATGAAGAAATAGAAAATCTTAATAGATCTATAGCTAGTAAGGAGATTGAACCAATGGTCTAAAATCTCCAACCTGGACCACATGGCTTCAGTGGTGAATTCTACCAAACATTTAAAGAATTGACATCAATCCTTCTTAAACTTCTAGAAATTTCAAGAGGTGGGAACACTTCCTAACTCATTATGAGATGAGGCCAGCATTCCTGATACCAAAGCCAGACAAAGACACAGCAGAAAAAGATAACCATAGACTAATATTTCTTATAAATATTGATGCAAAAGTCCTCAACAAAATACTAGCAAACTAAATTCAGCAGTATATTAAAAGGGTTATACTGGCTGCGCACAGTGACTCACACCTGTAATCCCAGCACTTTGGGAGGCTAAGGGAGGCAGATTACTTGAGGTCAGGAGTTCGAGACCAGCCTGGCCAACATGGTGAAACCTGTCACTACTAAAAATACGAAAATTAACCAGGCATGGGGGCACGCACCTGCAATCCCAACTACTCGGGAGGCTGAGGCAGGAGAATCACTTGACCCCGGGAGGCGGAGGTTGCAGTGACCTGAGATCGTGCCACTGTACTCCAGCCTGGAAGACAGAGCGAGACTCTGTCTCAAAAATAATAATAATACTAAATAAAAATTAAATTTAAAAAAGTAAAAGGATTATACATCATCAACAAGTGGGGGATTTATTCCCAGAAGGCAAGGATGGTTCCATACATGAAATTCAGTCAGTGTCATACACTACATTAACAGAATGAAGTTGGGGGTCCCAAACTTCATTCAGCAGGTCCCAAGTTCTTGTCCCACAATCATCTCAGTTGATGCAGAAATAGTATTGTCACAGGATCCTTAGGGTGTCACTTCGCCAGTCAGAAACCTTTGTGGCTGGTGGTGCCTTCTGCCTGAGTATTGCTCATGCCCACTGGGCTCATCCTGCCCACTTCCCCTGGCAGGCTGCGCTCAGCTCACGTTACTGGCCCAGATCCCACACCTGCCAAGGGCAAGCCAGGCACAGAATGGTGAGGGGTGTGTGAGCAAGTGAGTGCAAGGTCCAGCCACTGTGCACAGCCAGGTGCGCTGGTTGCTGCAGCAGGGCAGGCAGCTCCAGGTACTGGCACAGGTGCTTGCTCTGTGCAAGGCTGCAGCTGGACCAGATACACTGCATGCAGCATCCACTGCAGGCACTTGCGTCTGGATGAGGGGAATGTGATGGTACCCGGAAGCTTGGAGACACCAGGAACTGCAGAGTCCCAAAGATGGTGTCACAGCCCTGGCCAGGAGAACCCTAGGTCTGGGCTGCCCTAAGGGTCACAGCTCTTCTTTCCTTCTTGTCCCCCACAGTGTGGTGAGTGGAGGGGCATGTTTCAGCCCTGTTTATGTTACAGCTCTTTTAGTCCCACCATTCGGCCAGTCACAAGTTCTTGTCCCACATCCAAGAAGAATGAGGTACATGGACAACTGGTGGGTGAGAAGTTGGAGAGAAGCTTCATTGAGCAACAGAACAGCTCTCAGGAGACCCAGACTGGATAGCTCCTTTCTGTAGGCAGGTCATCCTGATGTCTGTCTGTCCAGCTCAGATCAGAGAGGAGACCCACAGTGGGTAGCTCCTTTCCCCAGACAGGTCATCCCAATGTCTGTCTGTCAATGGGTAGCTCCTTTCTGTAGGCAGGTCATCCTGACGTCTGTCCAGCTCAGAGCAGAGAGGAGACCCATAGAGGGTAGCTCCTTTCCCCAGACAGGTCATCCCAATGTCTGTCTGTCAATGGGTAGCTCCTTTCCTCAGGCAGGTCATGCCAATAAGTGTCTAGCCGTCAGTGGAGAGGAGACCTGCAGTGAGTAGCTCCTATCCACAGGCAGGTTGATCCGATGTCTGTTCAAGTCAAACTGAATCCAGGATTTTTAATGAGCTCAAAAGGGAGGAAGTGCATGCTGATTGGTCCATGGACGGCCACAGGCAGGCCCAGAAAAAGCATCCTAAGTTCTTACTCTGGTCTGTGGACTCCACTCAGAACTGACAGCTTGGCCCCCATGCTTTAGGCCATTCCTGGCTTGAAGGTGGGGCTTCAGCAGGGACCTGCCCCTTTTTGCCCAGGAGCCTGTCTGCCTCCTGCTGCCATCAGTCATGTACACGGTGCCCAGGCTGTTGGTGTCAAGGGGCACCTGCAGGCCCACACCAACCCACCCTCAGCCCACCCCTGCCTCAGCCTCCCACTGATGCTCGTCAGCACCCAAAGTCCGGAGGGGGCTGAGGTGGCAGGGGGCTGGCATATCAGCGCTGCCCCAAATTGTGACACACCTGGCCAAATTGTGACACACCTGGCCAAATTGTGACAGTGCCCAGGCTCAGCCTCAGCTTTGCTCCAAAATTGGAGCAGGCAGCAGGAGCGGGGAGAAGCCAGGTAGCAGGAGCAGGCACTTCTGAGCCTGCAGGGGCAGGGGACTTCGCTAGGACCCTGAGAGCACAGGGATGCCCTGGGTCCGCAGCTGCAGCTTTGTGACTGCAGCTGCACCCAGGAGGGCAGGGCTCCTGCCCTACCAACTCAGAAGAGGGCAGGGCTCCCACCTGTTCCTGGCTCTCACCGGCTCCGTGGAGCACACAGCCCTGGCCATGCCTCCCCTGCTGCAGCCAGCATCTTCACAGCAGCTGCTCCAGATGGGCCACCACTGCCATCAGTGTTTGATGAAATTCAACATACTTTCATGATAGAAACCCTCAACAAAGTAGGATGGAAGGAAGCTACTTCAACATCATAAAGGCTATCTATGAAAAGCCCACAGCTTACATCATACTTAATGGTAAAAGACTGAAAGCTTTTCCTGTAAGACCGGGAACAAGACAAGGATGCCTGCTTTCACTACTTCTGTTCAACATAGTATTAATTAGACATTCTAGCCAGAGCAATTAGGCAAGAAAAAGAAATAAAAGACATTCCAAGTGGAAAGGAAGAAGTAAAAGTATCTGTTAGAAGATGACATGACCTTATGTGTAAAAACTCTAAAGATTCTATTTTAAAAATAACCCAAAAAGTGTCAGAACTAATGAATTTGGCAAAGTTAGCAGGATACAGAATCAACATGCAAAAATCAATTGCATTTATTTTCATGTACAATGAACAATTCGGTAAGGAAATTAAGAAAATTCCATTTTCAATAGCATCAAAAAAAGAGAATACTTAGAAATATACTTACCCAAGGAGGTGAAAGACTTGTGCACTGAGCAATAGAAAGCATTGCTGAAAGAAATGGAAGAAAATACAAATAAATGGAAAGATATCTTGTATTCATGAATTGGAAGACTTAACTATTTTTAAGATGTTAGTACTACTAAAAGCAGTGTACAGACTTCAGTGTAATCGCTTTTGAAATCCCAATGAGGCTTTTTGCAGAAATAGGAAAAATAATCCATCCTAACGTTTATATATTATCTCAAGGGACCCTAAATATCCACAATAATCTCAAAAAAAAAAAAAAAGATTTGAAAAGTTAAAGGTCTCACAATTCCTGATTTCAAGACTTACTACAAAGCTGTAGTAAGTTTTGTAGTGTGGTGCTGGGATATAGACAAATATATAGACCAGTGGAATAGAACAGAGAGTCCAGAGATAAACCCTCAAATATATGGTCAAGTAATTTTCAGAAAGGATGCCAAGGCCATTCAATGGGGAAAGGACAGCCTTTTCAGAGTGGTGATGGGGGATCTGGATAGCCACATGCAGAAGAGTGACATTGGACCCTTATAACATATTCAAAAATTAACTCAAATGGACAAAAATATAAACATAAGAGCTAAAACTTTGAAATTCAGCCTTAGTTTGACTGCTAGAACAAAGTACCGTAGACCGGGTGGCTTATAAACAGCAAACACTGATTTCTCATTCTGGAGGTCAGACATGAGAGACCACAGTGCCAGCACGGTTGGGTTCGGATGAGGCCACTCTTCCCGGTGGCAAACTGCCACCTTCTCTTGTGGAAAGAGCTTGCTAGCCTCCAGCCTCTTCTTATAAGGGTACTGGTCCCATTCATGAGGACTCCACCCTCATTACCTAATTACCTAGCAAAGATTCCACCTCCAAATACCATAACATTGGAGTATTTCCCATCTCCCCCCAAAAAAGTGCCAAATGGTCTGATGTAAAAGGAAAAAAATTCAGTCACTGTGCTCCAGATCTGCAAATTGCACATCTTGATTTTCAGCACCATAAAGACAATCATTTGGAAGATCCGGTGATATTTTTTCTCTTTAATGCAAATGTTTTGGTGTCAAGCAGATTGAATTTGTGGGGAGTTTTCCTGTTAGTGTGGCTGTTCACTGACCATTCAGAAGGAAGAAAATGTGAAACAGATTGCTCAAGTGTAAAGGAGTCTGAAAATGTCTGTCCTCAAGCCTGCAAGATTTGGAACCGTTCTGCGTCCCTTTTCCATAGATATAGGAATAATAAGTCTGGATTCAGTAGAGTCATTTGACCAGCCAGCCCCTCAGGGTGGTCCCTGGGTCTGGGCAGCCATGCTCTCCGGAGCTGCCCTTGGGGGCAACTTCCAGGGCCAAGCCAGAGAGGCCAGAGCTCTAGACTAACGTTAGAGTTCCAAGTGTACGCAGCAGAGAAGACAGCTATGCTGTGTGTGTGTGTGTGTGTGTGTGTGTGTGTGTGTGTGATTGTGCCTTCTGTGGATATCGGCTAGGGACTGTCTCAGGAAAGCCTCTGCCTTTGGCGTGTTTACTGCTGTCAAAACCCTGCCCACAGCCTTATAGACCCCAAAGAAAAATGTTCTCATCCTACTCAGAGATGTTCAAACAGGAGTGATTGTCTGACAGTGACTACACTCACAGGAGAATGACAAACAGCAAGGCCCAGCTGTCCCTTGGTACCCTCAGGGGATTGGTTCTAGGACCTCCAAATAACACCACAGTCCCAGCATGCTCAAGTCCCGCAGTCTGTCCTGCTGAACCCATGGACAAAAAAGGTCGGCCCCTCCGTATGAGAGGCTTTTCCATCTCATGAATACACATTGGGTTGAAAAAAATCTGCGTTTTAGTGGAACAGCCAGGTTTAAACACATGTTGTTCAACGGTCCACTGTATTCATTCACAATACAGATTTCATTTTAGAAAAAAAAAAAAAGCCCAAAGGAAAATAAAGACTTTTCACAAAGTTGAATGTTATAAAGTTGTTTTTGTTTTTGTTTTTGTTTTTGTTTTGAGATGGAATCTTGCTCTGTCGCCCAGGCTGGAGTGCAGCGGCGCGATCTCTGCTCACTACAACCTCGGCCTCCCAGGTTCAAACAATTCTCCTGCCTCAGCCTCCTGAGTAGCTGGGATTGTAGGCGTGCACCACCGTGCCCAGCTAAATTTTTTTTGTATTTTTAGTAGAGACGGTTTTTCACCATGTTGGCCAGGCTGGTCTTGAACTCCTGACCTCAGGTGATTTGCCTGCCTTGGCCTGCCAAAATGCTGGGATCACAAGCGTAAACCACCGCACCCAGCAATTTTTTTTTTTTTCGAGATGGAGTCTCGCTCTTGTCGCCCAGGCTGAAGTACAGTGGCATGACCTCGGCTCACTGCAACCCCTGCCTCCTGGGTTTAAGTGATTCTCCTGCCTCAGCCTCCCAAGTAGCTGGGATTACAGGCACCCACCACTACACCCGACTAATTTTTGTATTTTCAATAGAGTCAGAGTTTCACCATGTTGGCCAGACTGGTCTTGAACTCCTGACCTCAGGTGATCCACTCACCTTGGCCTTGCAAAGTTCTGGGATTACAGGCATGAGCCACCGTGCCTGGCCTAAAGTTTTTTTTGTTTTGTTTTTGTTGTTGTTGTTGTTTTTTACCCCATCCACTGCCTCCCTATGTGACCTCATGACATCAAGAAAACAGTGCATGGTGCAGATAATCTCTGCTGAGGTTTGTAGTCATGGTGACTGCCTCGGTGGGAAGCTGACTGCCATGCTGGGCTAATGTTTTAATAGCGCAGATAGTCTTTATGCAGTGGCGGGCCATTGGTCTGTGTAGCACCTGGGGTTCTTCTGAAACCAAGTAGCCAGAGCCAGAGAAGAACTTGCCTGTAAGGAGACTCTTGGTTAATGCAGCGCCCAACCTTAAGAGAAAGCTCCTGAAGAAATCTGGAATTAACACAACATTGCTTAAGCTGCCCCCATTCCTCAGCCTTTCCATTCAAAACACCACCTTTGGAATACTGTTTAAAAAAATAAGGAAATGTCAATGAACTTGTTGTCTTTAAAGGAATATCTTAAAAGAGATAATGGAAATTAGGCTGGGCGTGGTGGCTCAGGCCTGTAATCCTAGCACTTTGGGAGGCCGAGGCGGGTGGATCACTTGAGGTCAGGAGTTCGAGACAAACCTGGCCAACATGGTGAAACCCCGTCTCTACTAAAAATACAAAAATTAGCCAGGCATGGTGGCACATGCCTGTAGTCCCAGCTACTCAGGAGGCTGAGGCAGGAGAATCGCTTGAACCCGGGAGGCGGAGGTTGCAGTGAGCCAAGATCATGCCACTGCACTCCAGCCTGGGCAACAGAGCAAGACTCCGTCTCAACAACAAAAAAAAAAAAAAAAAGAGAGAGAGAGGTAATGGAAATTTATCCCCCTTTAACTGTGCATAACAACAGCAAGTAACCATTACCTGTGATGAGAAGAGCTACCTGTTTGCTGAAGCTTATTTAAGGCACTATGCTAAGGAATTCTCATAAATGGTATTTGAGCCTCATGACAACCTCTTTTTACAAATAAGGGAACTGAGGCTGGGAGAAACTAAATGAGCTGCCTGAGATCACAGTTTGGAAAGTGGCAGAAGCTGAGCTCGGTGGCACACACCTGTAGTCCCAGCTATCCGGGAGGCTGAGGTGGGAGGATGTGTTTGAGGCCAGGAGTTCAATGCTATGAGCACATTTATGAAAATGTGCTGCTCTCCAGCCTGGGCAACATAGACTTTGTCTCTTAAAAAATAATAAATGAAAATGTTTTAAATTTAAAAATGAAAAGCATGGCCAGAATTCTAGCCTATGCAATGGCTACCTACCTCAGAGACTTCTTACCCTTACAGATGTATACCTATGCTGATAGTGGTAGCCTCCATCTGTATAATATTAAATTGTCATCAGATAATTCTTGTTACCTTTTTTGTTACTGCCTTTGTTCCAGGGAGAAAATAAGAGAATAAAAACATGCTTGCAAGGCAGTGCACATACAAGAGGCCTCTGAAAGCTGCTGCCAGACCTGTGTGCCCCCAGAGCAGGTGCCCTCTCGTAAGCATCCTGGGGCAGGTATAACAGCCCCTGATAAGTCCTGCTCAGTGCGATGTGGGTCTCAAGGAACTGGTCCTTATAATGGTCAAACATGAGTGATTTGAGAGTAACGTAACTTAAAAAGTAAACTAGAATTCATTCAAAGTGATCCCTAGAGTAATGTCCCTCTAACCCACTGGCATTCCAGGATGCTTTCTTGAGTTTCTTGGGTTTAGAGTGACTCCATGAGCCCTGGGAACTGTGCAGAGCCCCTGTCTCCCAGCCCTTGGGGACATGCAGCACCAGTATCTGTTGGACATGTGCACATCTGCTCACATGTTGCAATGGAAGAGGACTGAGACCCGCTGCAAGGAAGTATTCCGTACATGTATAGTGAGGTCATTAATGAACAGCTGGGTGAATGGCTGCCTCCCTTTTGGTTGTTATTACAAGGAAATAGCCTACAAGACAGGGAATGCATTTCAGCCTGTATGAAGTTATTAACAAAGTTTTGTTCCTATTGCTTAAAATTCTGTGAACTACTTTAAGTATTATCTTATTTCACAGCTTATTTTGAGTGATACAACAATGTAAGCATTAGCCAAGAACATCAGTGCCTTCATTGTTGATTAAAATTGGCCCCATAATGAGTATGCGGGAATGCTGCCATCTGAGCGGCAGCCAGCTGTGTAGTGAGCCCCCTTCTCCCTGAAAATGTTCTCCATAGCATGTGGGGTGAGTGAAGAGACCCCCAACCTAGACAAGGGAGACACATCTTTGTACTCAGCTATCTGCACTCTCTCAGTTGGCACAAGCCCCTTGGAGGACACCAGTCACAGAGTCACACCCTCGTTTGACAGAGATGGAGCAGGAGCCAGCAGGCTTCATCAGCAGCATGAGAGGTTTAAGGGCTAAGGACGGTGACCTTGCCAACAATCAGCGTGTGACAGCCTTGGTGGAATGACCAGAGAAGGCTGTGGAGCGAGCATCAGCTAATGGTACGGGGTGGTTGGGATTCAGCCTTTCTAGAACTCCGGTCAGTCTTCCCATCTGGGTTTTCTGGGTAGCAGCCTGGGGCACAGAGCTGGAATGCCAGCCTTCTCGGGTTTTGGCCTCAAGCTCTTCCACCACAGCATGTTGTAGTTATAATGTCCCCATGTACTGTGTGGGTGAAAGGCCTGGGAAAAAAAGTTTCCTATAAAAGTAAATAAATTGGGGCAGGGGGCAATTGTCAGTAAATAGTTAAATAAATTATTATGTAGTCATAATTTTTGTTATATTATTATACCTCAATAAAGCTGGAAAAAACTGGTGGTGATAGAGGAAAGTGCTTATGTTATACTCTGTGAAGAAGAGAATACACAACTCTGGCCACATTATGGTTACAACTGTATAAATTTAATATATGCAAATGAACAAGCATTAGAAAAGCACTTAAAGAAAGAAACTGGCAAGGTGCGGTGGCTCACGCCTGTAATCCCAGCACTTTGGGAGGCCGAGGCGGGTGAATCACAAGGTCAGGAGATCGAGAGGATCCTGGCTAATATGGTGAAACCGCGTCTCTACTAACAGTACAAAAAAAACAAAATTAGCTGGGTGTGGTGGCGGGCGCCTGTAGTCCCATCTACTCGGTAGGCTGAGGCGGGAGAATGGCGTGAACCCGGGAGGCGGAGCTTGCAGTGAGCCGAGATCCCGCCCCTGCACTCCAGCCTGGGCAACAGAGCGAGATTCCATCTCAAAAAAAAAAAAAAAAAATGAAATCCGTTCAAGTATTAGGATGATGGGACTGTAGATGCATTTCCTCCCATTTTAGATTTTTAATTTTGCTGTTACATTCCTGCAAAAAACAAAAGCCAGGCAGGAAAAGTTCCCATCTCCAGGCCATCCCGTCTGGCAGATGTCCCAAGGCAGGAATGGCCTGAACTCCTCTCTACCAGTGGCCAACTCTCCTGCTCCAGGCTTGGTTCTCAGGCTTTGAGAACCTCAGGGCAGAACACCTTTTTCCACCCCAGCAAGCAAAATGAATAGGTAACAATTGTGCCCTTGTTTTGAGCAACAGGAGCAGATGGGACCTACACTGGTGGGCTGGCCTGGGAAAGGTCCAGGGCTGGCTTGGCCCGGGCAGCAAGGCTGAGGAAGGTGGTGTGGCGGGGAGGAGACCCCAGGGCTGCAGGCATGCCCTGCGTTACCCTCTGCACCCCTTTCCTGGCCTCAGGAACTCTCTGTGGGATGCGTTAGAAGACCTGCCGACAGGCCGGATAAGGCCAATGAGAGAGGGAACGGAGAAGAGGGGCACCTGGGTTCACAGGCCTTAAGAAAGAATTTAGTTACTTATTTAACAAATTAAACAATGTGTGTCACGCATGTAGGTCTGGGAAATGCATTATTAAAAACACACAGTGCAGAGGTGCAGCACCAGCATACGGGTGGATTTGGGACTCTAAAATGGCTTTGGTTGTGTGTGGTACAAGGGAGAATGTATACATGTATTACGTGTGTAGTTTTTTAAAGTACACATATAGAGGAAAAGATGAGACAAGTCTGATGAGATGTCAACAGCAACAATTCTTAGTTGTGGGTGCTGTGAATTTCCCAGAGAGGAGGAGAGTCCTTTAGCTGGGCATGGTGATTTCAGCACTTTAGCAGGCTGAGGCAGGATCACTTGAGCCCAGGAGTTCAAGATCAGCTTGGGCAGCATAGCGAGATCCCCATCTCAATAGATGGATTAGATGGATGGATAGGTAAATAGAGAGAGAGAGAGATACAGATATTTAGATAGATAGCCTAGATTGCTTGATGAATGGATAAGTTGGATAGGCAGAGACAAATGGATAGAGATAGATTAGAAGGATAGATGGATAGATTAGATGGATGAATGAATAGAGAGAAACAGATTAGACAGAGATAGATGGATCCATCGATTGATTAGATAGGTTAAGATAGTCCTTGCATTCAGGCAAGCCACAGCAGGTGCCGCCTAGGGCAGCGGCCTCTGCCCAGACACTCAGTGCTGCAGAACAGGAGGGAGGCCGGGGCCTGTGGCGGGCGAGGGAAATGCGGGGCCCGAGGACTGGGGTGAGGGAGAGAGGCGGCGGCCCAGAGGAGCAGCAGGCGCGCCTCTGGCGGTTTCCTGTCCGGGCTGGCGGGGCCGCCAGTCGGCGTGGGGTGCGGCAAGGGGAGCGGGGCGCTGGGTCAGCCGAGGGCCGGGCCTCGGGGGCGCAGCCGGACTGGACGGCGGCTCCTGTGGGCACTTGGCCGGGTTTGCTGGTTTTTCGGGAAATAAGGCCACTGGGGACAGTCACTACGTTTTCAGGAACCGCTCAGCCCCTCTGAGTGCCCCGCAGATGGACCTGGCGGCGTTCCTGGCTACGGCTGACTGGGCTCCCGGAGCGAGGAGCGCCCCTGCGGGCCCAGCCTGGGCCCTGGGCGGTGGGAGGGCCTCCGCCCCCTTCCCGCTTCCGCCCCGCTGGCGCCGGACCCCCGCCCTCGTCTGTGCCTGCCAGGCCGGGCCCTTCCCTCCCGTCACAGGCGGTCCCTGAGCCCACCCTTCGTCTCCGAGCAGCTGGACCGCCGTATACGTTTGCCACTGATTCCAGGATGTCCCCGAGTATCTTAGGAAAGGGCCGTGTTGGACAAACGCGGGGCTCGGTGTTTCTTCCGCGCCGTCCCTCGCTGCTGGCGCCGGGGCCGTCGGAGGCTCAGTGATGGCCCAGCCCGCCCGTTTCCGAGAATTCCCCAAACGCGGGCCCCTACACGCTGAGTTCGCGCTCTCCCGTGACGGCCGACAGCCCCGCGGACCCTGCTGACAGCCACACTCTGGGCTGAAAAGGGTACCACGCGTACTTTTTTTCCCAGCACGCGTGGGGCCTTGGAAAGAACCTTTACTGAGGCCTGTGGCTGGCCTGTCACCTTGTCAATCTGGCCAAACGTTTTTGAAAAAGGATGCTAACTCACCAGATGTGAAGTTGCATCTGCCCTGTGAATAGGTGGACTGGAGAAGACACTCGCTGGAGGATCCTGAGCCCAGGCTCGGAAAGGGCCGTCCACCTGCGAGCGCGGACTTGCGCCTCTGCTGGAGGCCGGGCAGGGCACGGGCGGGCCCCGGGCCACCTCTGCCAGGGCTTCCTCAACCCAGCCTGCCCTCATCGGGCGGCCACTGAATGCGGTTGGACAGTCATCTTGAATGTATTTCAAGCACACAGGTGTAGAGAGTGAGCCATATTCCACTTCAAATCTAATCTGGCCAGGAGTTCAACTTTTCCATGTTTCCTTTTGTTCACAGCCCTCCATGTAGACAAGAGGTCTGAAAAGGGACGGGCTCTTTCTCGCTCCACGTTTTTTGTTTGTTTGTTTGTTTGTTTATCTATTTTTTGTTTTTTTTTTTTCTTCTGTTTTTTTGATACGGAGTCTCACTCTGTCGCCCAGGCTGGAGTGCAGTGGCAAGATCTCGGCTCACTGCAACCTCCGCGTCCCAGGTTTAAGCGATTCTCCTGCCTCACCCTCCCGAGTAGCTGGGATTACAGGCACCCGCCACCACGCCCAACTAATGTTTGTATTTTTAGTAGAGACGGGGTTTCACCATGTTGGCCAGGCTGGTCTCGAACTCCTGACCTCGTGATCCATCCGCCTCTGCCTCCCAAAGTGCTGGGATTACAGGCTTGAGCCATGGCGCCCGGCCTCGCTCCACGTTTTATGCAGATCCCCGTTTCCAGAAGTTGTGCTTCATGTTTTTAGGTGCGGCGGGGCTAATGATTTTCCTCTGTTTCTTGTTCCCCCCACTCTCCTCCCCTTCCCCTCCGCCAGGAAGGGTGCCTGTGGCCTTCAGACAGCGCCGCACCGCGGCTGGGCGCCTCGGAGGTAAGGGGCCCCAGGAGGTGATGGCTGCGGGGGGCGGGGGGGGTGGGTGGGGATGAAGGGGGCGTGTCCCTGCCACGTGGGGTGGAAGGGGAGGGGCCTCACCACGTGGGCTGACACTTTTGGAGGAAGGCATTGCCTAGAACTTTGGTCAAAAGCGGGAGGGGACTTCCCCTAGAATCTTCCAGGGATTATTCCTGCTAGTCTAAAGCTCCTTATCAAAAACAATTTGAGAATCACTTATCTTTACATGATCCCGTAAGCTTCTACTAATGTGCCTTGGCAAGTGGGCATGGTTTATAAATATCATAGCATGATTCATTCCCACATCTCCAAGTGTAATAATGTGGATTTTAAAATAACATGTTTTTGCCTTTAAGTTAAAAATATTGGTGTGAGAGAAATCAATATCTGTATGTACGTGTGTAGATATGTGTGTATATTAAATGCATGTATATACACATATATGTATACACACATACACATCTATGCATATATGCGTGTGTGTGTGTATGTACGTATATAAAAGAGCCGTCTCCTAGAAGAAACTGGGATGGTAGAACAAATGAGAAGATTTTGTAAGAAATGTACTACCTGGATTCATTTTGAAAAAATAAATTATTATAATCATATTTATTTGAGTAAAAAATATTTTTCATGTCAGTGACTAAAAATAACTACAGGAAACTTTTATTCAGATTCCAGATAACTGGAAAAGTCTAGGAGCCACAAAGAAAAAACAGTCATTTTGGGGGGAATTTGTTAAAAAGTAATTGGCAATGATCTTCTCTAAGTAATTAATAAATCGACCCAATGCTTTGTATCTGCTCCACGTACCACTGTGTGAAGTTATAACTTCTGCTTACTCAGAGTTCTGGCCGGCGCAGTAGCTCATGACTGTAATCCTAGCACTTTAGGAAGCTGAGGTGGGTGGGTCACTTAAGCTCAGGAGTTCAAGACAAGCCTATGCAACATGACAAAACCCCATCTCAAAAAAAAAAAAAAAAAAAAAGCTAGGCATGGTGGTGTGCACCTGTAGTCTCAGCTACTCAGGAGGTTGAGGTGGGAGAATCACTTGAGCCCAGAAGGTTAAGGTTGCAATAAGCCAAGATGGCGCCACTGCACTCCAGCCTAGGTGACAGAGCCAGACCCTGTCTCAAAAAAAAAAAAAATTAAGATAAAAAATTAAATAAAAATAAAAACTCGGAGCCCCTCCTTACTTTTCTGAACCATAGGTTCTAAGTTCTAGAGCTGGCAGGGACCTGAGAAAGCAGGCAGCCCTGTCCTGTCCTCGTAAGTTATAGAGAAGCCGAGGACTGGACGATGTCACTGGTGACCAGATCCAAGTGCAGGCCGCAGTGCTCTTCGCCCTGTGACTCTTGGAGTTCCTAGTGTGTTCTGTTTCCAAGGGGAAAATGCACACGTAGCACGCACAGAAACTCCCAGGAGCCCAAGCTTTCCATTACCCACAGCTCTCCATTGCTCAGCCCTCCTGGATGCGCTGGGATTTGGCAAGGTGAGTGGTCTGTCATAAGGAATCAGAAAAGTACACTTTTTTTTCTGGAATTGGATTTTCCTGTTTTCTTTTTTTTTTTCCTGGGAGATGGTGTTCAAACTGGTAGGAACACACACCAAGCGTAACTTTCCTTGATTCTGACACATTTATGGTCATCATTGCGCTCAAACTGTCTTCAAGCCTCTCCTCTTTTCCTTCCAGATCATGCATGCCCCGCGGTCCAGGGACAGGTTCACAGCGCCGTCCTTCATCCAGAGGGATCGCTTCAGCCGCTTCCAGCCCACCTACCCCTATGTGCAGCACGAGATTGATCTTCCTCCCACCATCTCCCTGTCCGACGGTGAAGAGCCACCTCCTTACCAGGGGCCCTGCACCCTGCAGCTCCGGGACCCTGAACAGCAGATGGAACTCAACCGAGAGTCCGTGAGGGCCCCACCCAACCGAACCATATTTGACAGTGATTTAATAGACATTGCTATGTATAGCGGGGGTCCATGCCCACCCAGCAGCAACTCGGGCATCAGTGCAAGCACCTGCAGCAGTAACGGGAGGATGGAGGGGCCACCCCCCACATACAGCGAGGTGATGGGCCACCACCCAGGCGCCTCTTTCCTCCATCACCAGCGCAGCAACGCACACAGGGGCAGCAGACTGCAGTTTCAGCAGAACAATGCAGAGAGCACAATAGTACCCATCAAAGGCAAAGATAGGAAGCCTGGGAACCTGGTCTGATTCCTTCCAACGTGCACTTCAGCTGGAGAAAGAAACCAAGAAGGGAAGCGGCCGCTGGGCCCCTCCTGCGCACAGTGTTGTTCAGTTTCACATGGTACAAATAAGTAAAACCAAATGAGCAAACACGGTCTTTGTTTCTGATTCCTTTTAGGGGAATTGCATGCAAACTAGACTGAAATGATACAAACTTCCATCTGGTCTGACCGCAAACAGTGTTTATTTGGGGACAGGGGTTGGGATGGGGGTGTGGGCAGGGGAAAACAGAGAACGGGATGCTTTGAAGATACCATGAAATAAAACCCACAGAGGTATTTGATGTATTTAATTGTGAAAGGAGACTTTGCAGATAAATGAGGCCAGAATGGCATGTTTTATAATTAACTGAATAAAGAAGGAAGCATTATTATATATTATTGTGGGGAAGAACCAGCCAGTTCGCTTTTTCTCCTAAGGTGTGGAACTTTTATTTTGTTTTAAAAATATGAATCAAAATTCCTGTGTTGTGTGCCAAGGTATAAAGTGGAGAAGTTAGATGAGTGCAAGGAGCTCCTTTGTGTTGTGATGATGTGTTTTAAAAGTTGCACTATCTTAATGTTGAAAATATTTACAAGGGAACTGTTTTACGTGAAGTTCTGTATGTTGTCTTTTCACCTGTGGATTGTAATCAGGCCCAAGGAATATCCTGGAGTGGTCCCCAGAAGCATCCAAGAAAAGATATTTGGGGACGTAGCCTAACATTTTACCAACTTACGTAAATCAAAAAAGTCATTATTGTTGCAGGAGTTTGCATCAAATAGCAGTGCATCGCTGAAGCTTTTGGAGACTTTTGGATGGAAGATAAGATAGGGAAGATTAAGTTCCAGCATTTCTGACTTGTTATTTTGAGTTACTCTGCTACTCTTAGGCTGCATAGTTTATGAGAAAATGAACACATGCATTTATGGATCCAGTATCATGCAGTGCTGCCCTCATCCTCCAGCAGTGCAATTTCTTCAGTAATTTAGATTTTTTTCACTATAGCATGAAATATATTCAAATACATACCTTATTTTATGCAATAAATTGTTTAAAATGCAAGGTGGTTATTCTGCATACTGTTGAAATATGTGACTCCTCAGTATATTCCCATTGCCTCTCCCCCTTTCCTCGACAGCTTAGTTCAGTTCTGCAGGGCTGCTCAGTTCACAGGAGGCTCCCAGCAGCCACCCCACATCCAGCCTACACAGAACTTCGTGTGGGAGTGGTGTGGGTGGTGGTTTCTTATGCTTTGGAAGCCCCTAGAAATAATGACGGAAGAATGCCATGTTGCTGATCGTGGTAATAAGCCATTGTGGGTTATTGTATGTCACTAGTATTAGCATAGCATTCTTAAAGGAATGCAGTGCTCAAAACCTACCCAAATTCCCGCAGGATTCTACCAAACCCTTCCCCAGGCCAGCTTTTGTACTGAAGGCAAGAACTGGACAGTCAGAGAACAGTGGAGGGGGCAAGTGACTGAAGAGCACCGGGTAAAAAGCACAACATGCAGTTAAAATGCAACTAGAAAACTAATTTTAAATATTGTTAGTTTTAATATTCCTGATATTTACAAATATTCATTCTTATATACAATGAAAAAAATAACTTTCTTCTGCAGATGTAAGCACTGGCTTTTATAAGAGCAGCAGCCAACACGTTTAGCAGACACTGCGCGTGGAGAAGGGCTTATCTGCAGTACACTCTGCCATGTGGAGGGTGGGCCTCTGTGGCCTCTTCACATAACAAGATGAGCTGGAATGATGATTCCATGACTCCCACCTATGCAGCCTTAAAGCCAAATCCGCGTGTGTGTGTTTGTGTCTGTCTGTGGGTCTCGAAGGTGATCCGTCGGTGCGGTGGCTCTGTGCTGTAACTGGAGAGACTGTTCCAAACCCCAAGAGTTGTCTGATCCTAGTCTGTTCCCTTCTGCTTCTTACCTCTGTAGATAGGTCACTGGTTTTTGTTTGTTTGTTTTGAGGATTGGAATTTCCATTACATTCATCCTTTGCACACAGTAACATCCACAGAACTAGTCCAACTCTTAAAAGGAGAGAGGAAAAACACAGGCACCAGTTGTCAGCTCATGCTTACAACCTGTGTGGAAGTATATACAGTTGAGAGTCACAGTGGAGGTTCTGAGACTGGATTCAGTCTTGTTCCAGTGACAGTTGGAAGGCCTCTGCTGGAGAGACACCAGCTCTCAGGGCAGAGATTGGCTTGGGGCCAGAAGGACCCTCCCCAACCCTGGAGACACCCTGAAGGTTCACTGGCTCTCCAGATTAGCCTCTCTTCCTCTGTCAGGCAAAGATGAGGAGCCCGTGTTCCCATCGGGCCCTGCTGGCAGGGACTTGCAGTGGATTCTTGGTCAGGTGTGCCCACAGATGCGGAGGCGAGGTGAGTGATTCCATCATTTCAGTTCTCACCTGCAGTTTTGGTGAAGCAGGAGATGCACCCCACAGCTCTAGCTCTCAAATGGCTTCACAGTCCTTACTTCTCTACCTGCCTCAAGAAGGGGCTCAGAGCAGAGACTTGTGAATTCCTTAGTAACTGTGAGTATATGAATGTGTTGCACATGTCCACAGTATTGGCGAGATAATTACATAATTCAGATACCTTTAATCATCTTTCAAGAAAGAGGCTCCTCCCATTCAACCACCCTAGAGAACTGCCTTTGTTAAATAGTTATTTAAAGACTCATACATATCAAACCATGACTTTGAAAGGTCTTCGAGGCTGGGGCTCTGTAATGAATTAGTTTAAAAGCCAAGGTCATAACATGAATTGATGGTCAATTTCCCTTCAGCAGAAGGAAAAGGTGATTTAGATCAGTAGCTCTTTTGAAGGTTGTGGCTGACCTGTTCATACCGTGTCGCCTCATGGCTAGTGTGGCGTTGAAAGAGTAGCGACTGGGAAGATACAACTTACACAGTGGGGCCTATTGTTCTTTCAAGAACCCTTTTTTTAGCTTATAGAACCCATGGGTCCAGTTTAGTAACGAGTGATTTAGGCAATCAATGATAGGTTTATAATCTTAGATTATTCCAGCAAAGTGTGGATTGCATTGTTAGGAAGAACATTTGGTGGGAATGAACACTCCTGGGCATACCGCTGACTTTTGTCCCTTGTTCCCGGTGTAGGAGACCCAAGGCATCTTGAATCCCATCTATAAGAACACAATCTTCCAGCATACGTTTGCTTTTTCAGAAACTCTAGCATTCTCTTTAAATACTGACGCAATCCTTAATGGAAAAGAGATTTCATGAAGCAAATTATGTATTTCAATAGTTCTTCTATTTTTAGTGTCCAAAATTTACTAATACAGAAGCTTGACAAGCATGTCCTCACCCTCCCCACCACATAAACACATGGACACACACCCAAGCCACAAGAAATCCCAAGAGAGCAGAAGCGAATTTTTAAAAGATTTATCGTGAGGACTGCATTTCCATTCACTAATTTTGGCTCAAACTTATGAGGCAGGAAATAGGGGCCAACAGTAAATGGGGGAGGCCTCCTGACACCAGCAGAGGAATTTTGTACCCAGGCGAGGACTTCTTGAACTTCTGCGTATCTCCGTTTGATCTCTTTCACCTTTATTTCATCTTCATAAGAATGAGAAAGGCTCAAAAGGAAGCACTTTTAGAAATCTTCTCTGACCTAGAAGAATCCATCCAAATCCCTGCCTTCCTCTCTGAACCAACAGTTCCCTTCTCTGACAGGGGCCATCCTCTATCTTCCATCCAGCGGCTCTTCTTTTTAGGAAGGCTCTGGTGCAGAGCACTTCAAATATGTCCTCAGGCCAGATACTGATTGCTAGTAGAGAGACACCCGGCACCCAGTCCGAAGCCCTCCCTCAAAGGACCGGCTCATGGCGTTGGTCACTGGCAGGCTCAGAGACATTCTGCTGTGGGCGCAGGGAGCCCGGCCCCCCATGCAGCCATGACTGGATGCGCCCCCATCTCGGGGGCTTGCTGCACTGCTTGTTTATTGAATTTTGCTACTTAGAATGGCAACATTAACTTTGTGTACCATTCATTTTTTAAAAATTTTCCAAAGCTCGGCAGTGTATGAAAGAAAAAACTGGGAAAGATACTTGGTTTCTGTTAACTTTTGTGTTGCTTGCTTAAGTGATTAAAGCCAGTGCTTGGAGCCAAGCCTTCATGCCACGAACATGCTCCACAGCCTGCCCTTTGCTCTCCTGCTCACACTGACCAAGAATGCCGCGTGCTTGGCCTACTGAGGTGAAAGGACAATTGAATGACAGGTGGGCAAAGGGAG
This sequence comes from Homo sapiens, assembly GCF_000001405.40. Classification (NCBI taxonomy): domain Eukaryota; kingdom Metazoa; phylum Chordata; class Mammalia; order Primates; family Hominidae; genus Homo; species Homo sapiens. Next base: position 13,649,954 of record NC_000018.10, read on the forward strand.
AACTTCCCCTTCTTGGTGCGAGGAAAGTCACAAATTTAAAAATGTTGCTTCCAGCCCAGATCCTAAATGCTAGTTCTCAGCAGCTGCGTGGCTTACCGTTCGCCATTTCCACCACCGCCAGCTGCCAGCACCGCTACAGATCACAGAGATGTGAACAGACAATGGAAAGCACTCTTAGCCTTGCAGTGGTCTACATTTTTTAGGAACCAATATTTCAGCATTCTTTATTACCCGGCACGCTGTGTCCTTTGCAGAGTTCAAGTTTATGTTACTGCCAGGGTCAGACAGTCATTTGCTGCTGCTGCTGCTGCTGCTGCTTCTCGAACTGGATGCATTAGGAAGCTGCTGTCTGAGTGTAGGAATGTCTTGCTAAGAAAGCAATGTCTTCCTTCATCCTTTTCTTTCTTCCCTCTGCGTGTCCTTGTTTTTGTGTAATGCGGGAGAGGGTTAGAGCTATAGAGATTATATATACACTATCCGTGCACATTATATATATGTAGATATACCCCTATCATGTCAGAGATCTGCATGTCAGTTTTTCAGCAACTAAGGTGCCTCATGTTCTGAGTTCAGCAGATATAGGAACCAAGCCGCCCCCTCCTGCACTTGATGCTCCCACCTTTGTTGTGCCTCACTTAAAATGGTGCTTTTTTCAGTTGTCTGTCTTTTCTTATGTTTTTATTTGTAAGGTGCTGTATATAAGTTGAATATATTATGCACATATCCTACCCAATGGGTAGAACAAAAAGTTGTTAATACTGTAATATAATGTATAGATGATACCAATTTTAACAGAAATGGCATAGAATTTGTGAATGCCTATGTGCTTTGTCCTCTTTTGTAAGGAAATTTGCAAATGGATGCATACAGATTAAAGTCTATGTAGTTTATTTTCCTATTAAATATCAATATTATAACACAAGAGAAAGAAGTGTGAACAAACAAGCAACAGTTTATGACCAGCGTATATATAGCAATGGAAAGTTGCATCTTTGCTGTGAAAACACTTTAAAGAAAATACTTTTTAAAAAATCCCACAGCTTTTTGGTTGCCACTAGACGCTTCTTATTTTAATCATTTTAGTAATGCTCAGCTGGACCAGTGTTAGTTATATTTGAGTCAGAAAAATGTTGTTTTTCAACTTGCTTTATAATCTCCTGCATCTATCTCCTGCTGTAGCATCACGAAGGTGTCAGGCAACAGTGAAAAGTGCACATTTTTGTTGTTGCAGAAACTGTGTCAGAGGAATAAGTAAATCAGCCTGCAGCAGAAGACTTTGTTCAGCTCCAGAGGCATCTGTGACCGTCTGTGTCCAAGTCTCTCTGTGCCTTTTTCTTTTACAAACTGAAGCTGTGGAGCCAATGAAGTAACAGTAGAGATTGTAGGGAAAGAATACCTCAGGAAAAACAAATACACTTACAAGAAGACCCTGTTCTTAGAAAATGTGTTTAGTTATGGGTTAGCACTAGAAGAGACTTGGCTGTCAGCCAGCCAAGTGAAGGACCTCTCATCCATTCCCATTCATGTCCCATCATAATACGGACCCAAAAAGCAAACTCGGTTTTGCCATCAGTTAGAAATTACGTTTTGGATTGTATATTGTTACATCTCTCTTCCGGCTTAGTTTTTAGTGTCTGATTGTGACCTCTGCATTTATCTTCAAATACCCTAATTTTAAAACAAAAGAACAAGAAAAGTTTATAACACCATGTTCACTAAAACCACGGTTGAATCTTGGGTGTGGGCATCCTTTCGAGTGTTGTCCATAAGAGCAGTTCGTGGAATTTTGCCCATCTGACCCATATTATCAGCTTATTCTGCCACCAGAGTAGAGTCTAATAAATTCCAAAGTTTTTATTTGCTCCATGGTGTATGTTCTGACTTTGAAAATGTCAGATTCTATAATCATACCCCTAACATCCAGGAAACAAATGACAGATTATCTTTAAACTGAAATTGACTCTACAATGCAACCCTTAATGCTGAATGGATTAAAAAAGTCAGCCCTTTTAGTATCTGTTTGAAAGGGCCGTAAAAAGTTGACACTTTTGTTGTTGTGGATCCTGCGTGTCTAGACCCACGTGTTGTTTCCATCGTATACTGTAGGGTGCACCCCTTGGGATTCATCATTAAGAACTGAGGCTCACTGTTGTCAGAAACAAAGCTCCCACCCCCCAGGTTCAACCTTGTGGGAGAACTGTTGAGCATGAGAATGTTCTAGACTCAGAGGTACTAAAATTTGTTACCACATCATTGCTTCCTTTCTACAGGACGAATTGAGGCTTAAACTTTACTGTTAATGATACTGGTTCATTTTAATGTGCTTGTTGGTATGTTGCTATTTTTCATTTCATAGCTTTCAAAAATCATGCTAATTGTATACTTGTCTAGTTTAAGGCTATTTTAAAATATGTACAATACTATTCACAGCATTTAGTTCGTTTAATTTTTATTATAAAGCAATCTACTAAAAAAGTACAACTGTATTTGAACTTTTCAATAGTTGTTTGTGAGCTATGATAATCAAAAGTCATTAAAGTCTTTTTTAACAAACATTCGTGCTTACTTTTCAACATAATTCCCAGTTATATACAGAAAAAGATTTCCACCTGTCACGTATCTGCCTCTTTTACCTGAGCAATGGTGTAGTTCTTAGACCTAAGGTCTGTAATTGCAATACTTTTAAAGAAAGATGTTGCTCTAAGTGCTGTTTGTTAGTTATGAAATCAGATTTTTCTGCTTGTTCTTAATGCTGTGGTCAAACCATAGCACAAAATCATTAAAAATAATCAGCGGCATACATTTGTCCCTTGGGTTTTTGTTTTGTTTTTCTTTGTCTTTCAGCAACAAGGCACATGCATGGGGAAAATGCTGTGTGTTTTAAGACCTGTCTCAAAGAAATACTTCCTGTGGCTCCCTAGCTAAACTTCCCACTCAGCTTGTAGTCACTCTGACTTTTCAAAAAAATCACTACTTCATATTCTACTAGAAGCAATTCTGGTCAGATCATGATTCGTTTCCCAATGCTGGGTTCTACACAGGTCATTCAGACAGTCATCAGGTCCCCTCATGCAAGGAGTCCCCAGAGAAACTGCTCACCCCACCTGAGGCGCCCAGGGAGGACTTTCTAGATGCCTCAAAAAGTCTTTGGGTGGCTGTCACACAAAACCGAAATGCTCAGCCCAAAATATGAACAAGATTCCTAACAATGACAACTATTCCACAATGGAACAGACCCCCTCAGTGTGTGTTTTAAACTCCTTGGCATTGGAGGTCTCCAGTCAGTGATAATGTAACAACAGAGAGGCTCTAAATTTCCTACACCGAGAGACTAGAATAGTATTATCTCTATGCTCTAAATAAGAATATGGGTTCACAGATGATGACTGTGTGTGCATAAAACCCCACACGATCTACCAAACTACTAAAGTGGATTTAGCATGGTTGCAGGATATGCAATTTATTTTTGCATTTCTATGTACTTATAATTAGCAAATGGAAACTGAAATTTTGAAAATACCATTCAAAATGGTATGGGCCCCAAATTCTGGTATGGGCCCTAAATTCTAATGGTACATCCATTTTCGATTCTGAATTAAATTCTTTCTTTAAGATTATTTTGGAAAGGGGATTTGAAGAGAGCTATAAGAAGGAATAGAGCAATAGGAAAGTTTCTTTCCTGTCAAACAGCAAATAGTCACTAATTAACCACACCACACTCTGGAATAAATTCTGTAATCTCTGAATTTAGCAAACCATTAGAGAAATATTAAAGATACCCCCCAAATTTGCTAACGCTAACAACTATGCAAACTTTGTTCCTGCAGACAGCTCTGCACAGAAGGAATGAGGGGAATCCAGGCTTGGGATCCCTGCTTATGCAGACCATAAGCAGCAAATCCAGTAAAACCTGGGACTGGCTTCTCACAACGGAGACACAGGGCTCCTCTCTCCCCCACTGTCCCTGGGAGGCTGTACCAGCTGTCACTTTAGAAGCTGTCTCAGAGCCAAGGATGTGGGAACTGTTAGCAGAGGAAACAGGCAAATGAGAGAGGAGAGAGAAAATACAAAAGGTATGCTGAGCTGGTTCCCACTACGGGCCAAGGGGTTCAGCCACACTCGAGAAACCATGCAGGCTGTGCCTCTGAAGGACAGGAGGCTGGGACATCTCATCTGCCCACTGCTGAGGAGTGCCCTTACAGGTTCATCTTCCCAGCCACCCTGGCTGTGGACTGAGCAAGCTCAGAAGGCTTCAGCAAAATACCTGAGACAGAAAAACAAAGGCTTGGAAGTGCTTGGAAACTGCTGGTGCACAAAGGAACCGCCCGCTCTGGCTGGAGCTGAAGCGTGGGAGCCAAGAAGCACTCGGCTCAGATGCCTCGGAGACAGTGCAAACCAAGCGACAGACAGAACGGGCGGGGTTGGAGGGGATGATGGCAGGGAGAGAGGGCAAGCGCTATGTCCAATGCCCACACCACTGCCTTCTGTCTGAACCCCCTCCTTGACGATGGTCTCGACACCACCCTGCCCTGGGCCTCCTTAATGCTCCAAAGCTCGTGAATTTGGGTTCTCCATTGTACTTCAGTGCCACCTGACTGTTCCCAAACCCCTCCAACTTCTGAAGCTAAGCAATTCCTGGCTTTCTTTCACCCACTTATTTTAGTCATTTGTTTTGCAAACAGAAGTGTCAACAGCTGAGCAGAATCCACCTGGCCACACACTCACCTGGTTGCCCTCTCCCCACGGCCAGGGGGACTGCCAGAAAGGCATGCTTGAAATAATCCCTTGGAACCTTCCAGAGACCCACCCAGAGTGGGCCATGGAATAAAGCCCCTATTCTGCTCTCCCATGATGACATGTGCACAGCATATGAGTCTGTTGCTGAGAACATTCTAATTAGATTTCCTTCACTACACTGCCTTGATGTTTTGTTTGAATGGATTCTAATTCAAACACACATTTTAAAACAGCTTCCCAAAAGTCTTAATGTCATGTTTCTGTCAAGACTCTAGCTTTTGCCTTAATAATGCAAACCTCATTCACCCAACTTTACCCTTTCATGCTAAAAAAATCAGAAGTGCAAAAGCTCAGTTTTTGAACATAGCAGAGTGGTGACTAAAAATACTTTCTAAAGGACTTACTAGTAAGCACATACATTTTTTTTTATTATTCTAAAAAAAAAACTGCAGCTGTATATAGCGGCTCTTATATCACTTTCCCTGCTTACGAAGCCATTTTCATTTACAGAGTTGTATTTGTCTCCACTGTTACCAGTCATCTATAAGCACAAAACGTTCTGGCAACCTACACCAGCACCTAGAGCAAGCCACTCCACGCAGGCCCGGGGGCCACTCCACGCGGGCCCGGGGGCCAGGGCTTCAGGGCAGTAGGTGAGGCGCTGTATTTGGCATGGGATTCCCAGGTGATCTGGCTCCTTGAATATTTCCCGCTTACAGTTAAAGGGCAGCACAGGCTTTGAATCTTAATAGACCTGGGTGGTCCGAATATTAGCTTCATCTCAAATTAATTAATGTCCCTGACAGGTTTTAAAGTCTCATCTATAGAACAGCAACAGCGATACTTACCTGGCAGGACAGTTGTGAAGACCCAAGGAATGTGCACGCCGTAGGGCCTGACATGTGGGGCTCCTCGTGAACCATGGCTGTTATCGCTAAAACTTTCTTGTTCTAGGCTGGGCGTGGCGGCTCACGCCTGTAATCCCAGCACTTTGGGAGGCCAAGGCTGGCGGATCACGAGGTTAGGAGATCGAGACCATCCTGGCTAACACGGTGAAGCCCCGTCTCTACTAAAAATACAAAAAGTTAGCCGGATGTGGTGGCACGCGCCTGTAGTCCCAGCTACTTGGGAGGCTGAGGCAGGAGAATCACTTGAACCCGGGAGGTGGAGCTTGCAGTGAGCTGAGATCATGCCACTGCACTCCAGCCTCAGTGACAGAGCAAGACTCCGTTTCAAAAAAACAAAACAAAACAAACAACTTTCATGTTCGAGATTTAATTTAAAAATTTTTTGCCTGAATACAACAGATTTGTAAATGCCCTTCGCCTTTGGAATGCCCTCCACACTAAATGGCTGCAGCTTAAAATCTCAATGAAATAATCACAGCACTCTGGGAGGCCGAGGGGGGCAGATCACCTGAGGTCAGGAGTTTGAGACCACCCTGGCCAACATGGTGAAACCCCATCTCTACAAAAATATAAAACTTAGCCGGGCATGATGGCAGGTACCTGTAATCCCAACTACTCAGGAGGCTGAGGCACGAGAATCGCTTGAACCCGGGAAATGGAGGTTGCAGTGAGCCGAGATCATGCCATTGCACTCCAGCCTGGGCAACAGAGGAGACTCCATCTCAAAACCAACCAACCAACAAACAAAAAAACATCCCAGTGAAATAAACAGGTGCTGATTTTATGCCCAGCAATGAGTACCACAGGGGCTTAGAGCACCGAGTGACAAGGCAAAGACCAAGTCACTGGGCCCAGAACTTCCTTTCCATGAGTTTGAGATCAGCCTGGCCAACATGGTGAAACCCTGTCTCTACAAAAAATACAAAAATTAGCCAGGCATGGTGGCGGGCGCCTGTAAGCCCAGCTACTCGGGAGGCTGAGGCAGAAGCATCACTTGAACCCGGGAGGCAGAGTTTGCAGTGAGCCGAGATGGTGCCATTGCACTCCAGCCTGGGCAACAAGAGTGAAACTCCATCTCAAAAAGGGCATTCCTAACTTCTGAGGGAACACCTATCAATCATCAGAAAGCCATTAGGAGATTATTATTGGCTGTACAGAAACCTAAAGAGGTGGCAGTCTTACACTGCTGGGGTCATCAGAAGGGAAAGGAAAGAGAAATAGAAGGGAACCACCAAGCGGATATTGAAGCCAAAAGAGCCGCAAGGCAGGACCCTCCATTAGAAATGCTTATAGAAGGACCTCTAGTATGGGGTAATCCCCTCTGGGAAACCAAGCCCCAGTACTCAGCAGGAGAAATAGAATGGGGAACCTCACGAGGACATAGTTTCCTCCCCTCAGGATGGCTAGCCACCGAAGGAAAAATACTTTTGCCTGCAGCTAACCAATGGAAATTACTTAAAACCCTTCACCAAACCTTTCACTTAGGCATTGATAACACCCATCAGATGGCCAAATTATTATTTACTGGACCAAGCTTTTTCAAAAATATCAAGCAGATAGTCAGGGCCTGTGAAGTGTGCCAAAAACATAATCCCCTGCACTGCAGGCTATACATTTCAATCCCTGTATCTTTAACCTCCTTGTTAAGTTTGTCTCTTCCAGAATCGAAGCTGTAAAACTACAAATAGTTCTTCAAATGGAGCCCCAGATGCAGTCCATGACTAAGATTCACTGTGGACCCCTGGACCGGCCTGCTAGCCCATGCTCCGATGTTGATGACATCAAAGGCACCCCTCCTGAGGAACTCTCAACTGCACGACCCCTACTATGCCCCAATTCAGCAGGAAGCAGTTAGAGTGGTCATTGGCCAACCTCCCCAACAGCACTTGGGTTTTCCTGTTGAGAGTGGGGACTGAGAGACAGGACTAGCTGGATTTCCTAGGCTGACTAAGAAAATCCCTAAGCCTAGCTGGGAAGGTGACGGCATCCACCTTTAAACACGGGGCTTGCAACTTAGCTCACACCCGACCAATCAGGGAGTAAAGACAGCTCACTAAAATGCTAATTAGGCTAAAACAGGAGGTAAAGAAATAGCCAATCATCTATCGCCTGAGAGCACGAGGGAGGGACAATGATCAGGATATAAACCCAGGCATTCAAGCCGGCAATGGCTACCCGCTTTGGGTCCCCTCTGTTTGTATGGGAGCTCTGTTTTCACTCTATTAAATCTTGCAACTGCAAAAAAAAAAAAAAAAAAAAAAAAAAAAAAACCTCCATCTCAAAAAAATAAAATTAAAAATAAATAAATTACATCTGTTTCTTCTACTTCATTACTTTAGTTATACAGTTGTTTTAATGAAGCACTCTGCAGTGGGGGCGGTGTTTATTATAGCCTTTGTAACAAAATGTGAAAACCCAGAAGGACCTAGGGAGAATAAATGGTTCAAAATCATTTGGCTTCTTGCCTTGCTTCCCCCACACCCTCTCCTGCCCTTCCTCCTTTCCTCTGGCTTTCCTTGTCTGAAGGATTCAGGGAAAGCACACGTGGATCTGGACACTGTCACTCACCATTCTCTCCACTTGCCTAGCTCAGTCCTGAAGCAGCCCTGGATGCACCCAGGGTCCTCGGGCAGCCTCTCCTGTTGACGGGCCTTCTCCTTCTGCGTTCCCTCTGCTGACACTGGCCGACCCACCTCCTTCAGGAATGATATGTGCAAGCACTTAGCCTTGTGCCTTACTGACAACGCCACTGTAAACCCCAGAACACTTTCCTCCTGTCTCTTGCTCTGATACTTCTTTCACCATCTGCTGGTCTCCCTCTGCAAGGGTTCCAGCCAAGGAGAACCGGCGATGGGAGAGGCAGGGTGCCTCAACCTGCTGGGTCCTCAGCAGCCTGATGGAGGGGCCACCGCTTCTACAGGGTTCTCACCACACTTGCTGTTTAACCACCATGAGTGACAAAGGCAAATGCCACACAGCAATTCTAAGCCCATCAGGTGCATGAGACACCAAACACCGCTCACAGACACTGCGGAGGGCACAGACTGGCTGTGTAGCAGGCACTGCAGTGCAGAACTGCCCACACAGTGTATGAGGGGCCAGGGTTTTTGTTTGATTTGCATTTTATTGTGGTAAAAATACTTAACATGAGAGCTACCCTCTTACCACATTTTTAAGCATATAATACAGTACAGGTTTTAAGGTTGGTAATTTTCATGGAATTCAGAGGCCAACCTCTATATTTTGGTGAAAACTAACAGTTCTTAATCTGAACTACTCAACACTAAAATTTTCCACAAATGGCAGCTTCTGATCACTTCAGATGTTCCAGTGATTGGTAGCAATTAAATGGAAAATTCCAATCTGAGCTGGCTCCAAGTATGCCACAAGTACAGGATCAGAAGCTATGACCACTGTCTGACCCTCCTCACAGCAGCAAAGCAGGAAACAGCAAACTCAGTTTGTACCAACGGGGCAATGGGGAATTTCCTGAGGTCAAATCCTCCTTGGATGTGTGAAATATTTAAACTTAGACGCAAAGAAACTAGATTTAATAACTGTTGCCATTACTTGCCTTCTAGTACGGATTTGGATGTTTCAAAATAGTGGCCGAGCACAGGGGTTCACACCTGTAATCTTAGGGAGGCCAAGGTGGGAGGATTGCTTGAGGCCAGGAGTTCAAGACCAGCCTGGGCAACCTAGTGAGACCCCCCCGGCTCTACAAAAAGCGAGCAAAGAAACAAACAACAAAACTGAAATTAGCTGTGCTTGGTGGTGTGCACCTGTAATCCTAGCTACTTGGGAGGCTGGGGTGGGAGGACTGTTTGAGCCCAGGAATTTGAGGTTGCAGTGAGTTACGATCCTGCCACTGTGCTCCGGCCTGGGCAAGAGAGCCAGATCCTGTCTCTAAAAAAATAAATAATTAAAAAAAAAAAGAAAGGGGCTGGGTGCAGTGGCTCACACCTGTAATCCCAGCACTTTGGGAGGCTGAGGCGGGTGGATCACGAGGTCAGGAGTTCAAGACCAGCCTGACCAAGATGGTGAAACCCCGTCTTTACTAAAAATACAAAAATTAGCCAGGCACGATGGCAGGCACCTGTAATCCCAGCTACTTGGGAGGCTGAGGCAGAGAACTGCTTGAACCTGGGAGGCGGAGGTTGCAGTGAGCTGAGATCGCACCACTACACTCCAGCCTGGGCGACAGAGCAAGACTCCATCTCAAAAAAAAAAAAAAAAAAAAAATATATATATATATATATATATATATATATATATATATGTAATTTATATATGGAAATAGCTACCTAATGGCTTTGCCAACACCAAGCCCACCCAGAAAGTGACAGACATCACTGAACTGGCTCACATAAGTCTCCCATCTCATAGTCCATCCCAGGTGAAGGAGAAAATGAAGCTGGAGCATGAGAAATTTTAATAAATACACGTTTCCTTCCTGCAGTCAGAAACTGAGGTCACAGAAGTGACTATCGTCCCATCCTATCACTTTAAGGACAAAAAGATGAAAAGAGATCTAAAAGAAGCTGAAAGGCAAAGAAGATGAAAGCACCAGCAGAGGAGGAAGGAAAGGAATATTTATAATAAATTGACTTGAGCTTCTGTCTCCAAAAATACAAGGGATTTCAGAAGCCCCAAAGCCTGGCCTCTTACCTGAATAATTGGCACCAAAGGAAAGCACTAAACTGGAAGTTGAGATCCCAATTTTAAATCCAATTCTTTTGTATTTCTTTCTTCAACTAAAAATATTGGTTCTAATGTGACCCATGAAATGTCAAATTCATTGGTTCTATAGGCGTAGGGTTTATGTTGCAAAAAACTATTAATCTAAAATGTGTTTGAAATGCAATTAATGAATGTTTCTCAACAAAAATTGCATTAGGTTTTGTGGACATATTTGTTCAATAATATTCTCAACTTTTTGTTGGAATATGAGACTTTTATTTCGGGACCAAAAGAAGTGAGGAATGCAAACTGCGACCCACTGTATCCTGCATCTTCTTGAATAATGAGAGGATAAGAAGTGCATGTTGATGCAACACTATGGCAACAAAGCCCTGTAATTCCAGCTCCAGGCTGCAGCTGAGCACGTGAGGACTTTTGGCACCCTTATCATAAGAGAACCAGAGTCGCCACTATTCTTAGAGAAGCAAAGCAACTGCACTAATTAAGTCACCATATTAAGTGTCCAAAGAAAATACTGACTCAAATGGAATAAAATACACACTAGTCAAAATATGCTTCAGCCATTATAAAGTCACAAATCTTGTACAAAGAGGAGCACAGACGGTAAGGCTGAAATACACGTGTATGAGAAAATGCCATGTGTTCATTAAAAAAAAAAATCACAGGTTTTAGAGTTAAACATCTAATTGGTATAACAGAAGATCCAGAATTGCCATCATTTCTTATCACATGCTTAGAATAGCCTTTACGGAACTATCAAAATAGAGGATAAGGCTGACCTTTGCCATGTATTTGATTAAAAAATGAGGGGAAGTTCGTTTTATCAAAATAAAAAGGATGAAGTTTAGGTTTTAATGTTGTTTCTCTAAGAACTAAAAATGGCCTAGTATCAGTCAAATGCAGCTGGAAGTTCACTGTCCTCTTTCTGGAGACAGTGTGCCTATCCTCCCCTAGAGACTGCAACAGGGAGGCCCACACAGAAGCGTCAAGCAGAACGTGTACCTGACATGCTCAGGGCAAATTTGTCTTTTTCTTTCTCACTTCAAAGTTTTTCTAACATTTACATTGTTCAAAATCCAAAAGAGAAGAAGCTGGACAGAGGGAGGGAGAGGGAAGGGAGGTTGTGTTCAATCCTCACTTTCAAGGACAGTGAAAATCTGCTTTGGCTGCAGGCAGGACGTGTTTAATTGTATTCAACTTTTCTTATGGGGCATGTTGTCCCAGAGAAAACGCACTGAAACATGCTTCTCCACAAGCGCCCTTCATCTGTAGAGACTTGATACTCTGAGAATGCCTCTGGCGGCCTGTGCATCTCTCCACTATGACTGTCCAATCAAGTCACCGGAACAAAGAACAGGCTTCATGTTATACACTGCCCTGGAGGTTTCTGAAATCAGGATGCATTCTTTCTACTAAGAAAATAATTCTTATCATAATTGCCACAAGATAATTATGATCTGTAATTATTATTGTTGGTGACTGTCAATGATGCATAAAGAAGAATACAGCTTGATTTTCAAAGCCTAACCCTGAAGAAGCAAGACAATTAAAAGCTTGTTTTGACTACTTAAAATGAACAAACTTGACACAAAAGTCACAAAGGAAAAATTCTAGAGGGAAAATATCATCAATTGGCCTGACTCAGCATTTCTCAAAGACAAGTTACAAGCGCCAAATGCAGGGGAAAGATGTTTCAAGAACCAGAAGGTCAGGCCAAAATTCATGATTGCAGATGAATTCTGGGAAGGAGGTGTGGTCCCCCAGACCATTCAAGTCCAGAAAGGAAGAATGAGGTCTTGACTCCCATTGTCCTCAGGGAACATGATGCAGTACGTTCTGCAATCTCATTTAGTACTAACTTAATACTACATAACATACAAATGATCCAAAAGAGAACAATGTTAACATCTGCAAAATGAATAGGTAAAATTCCCCACCTCTGGTTCTATAGATTTCTGGCTCAGGTGGTTGAATTCCAAGGCAGGCAGCAAAGAGGCTCCCACTTCTCTGAGTGCACATGTGCCACTCAGGCATCTGGGCCAGTATGATCAGACACACTGAGACACCTCCATGCTCATAAGGACAATTGAGTAGTGAGCTTTCAGTACCAAAAAATGTAAGTGGCTTGCAAAAAAGATATTTAAACAGGTACAAACAACTTTGGTGACATTTAATCTATTTTATTTTAGGCCTTATAGAAACTCAATTTTGAAAATAAAAAATAAATGAAGGCCCCCATTTCAAAAAATGAACTTTGGCCAACAGAAAAAATATGTCCACATTACCTAACAAGTTATATTTTCAGAAGGAATCCTTTAATTCAGAAATGTGTATCTCACAAAAACATCTTCTCAACATATCATTTCAGAAAAAGCAGGAAAGATGACTTTTTTTGCCTCATTGGCTAAAAATCATCTTCTGTCCATTCCATTGTAATTACTATCTTCTACAGCAGCCTGATTCATGTCTGAATTGGTTAAGAAATCCTGAATGACCCAAACCCAACACTAAGAACACAGAAAGAAGCTCAGTGTGTCAAATATACAATTTCCTTCTTTTCTTCAAACATCTTTCTGCGCATACTATTAAGATCTTTAAGGCCAGGCGCGGTGGCTCATGCCTGTAATCCCAGCACTTTGGGAGGCCGAGGCGGGCGGATCACGAGGTCAGGAGATCGAGACCATCCTGGCTAACACGGTGAAACCGTCTCTACTAAAAACACAAAAAATTAGCCGGGCATGGTCGCGGGTGCCTGTAGTCCCAGCTACTCGGGAGGCTGAGGCAGGAGAATGGCGTGAACCTGGGAGGTGGAGCTTGCAGTGAGCCGAGATCGTTATCACTGCACTCCAGCCTGGGCGACAGAGCGAGACTCTGTCTCAAAAAAAAAAAAAAAAAAAAAAAAAAAAATATATATATATATATATATCTTTAAAATTCCTGGAATTATCATCTAAGATCACTGAAACAAGAGAGCCAGTATCTCCATTTCATCCTGAGCATAAAGCATTTGTAAGTAAGTGTAGATTCTGTGACAAATAAACACACGATTATATTTCAAGGGATAAATTTATTATTTTCACTACTGGGAGGTAGGTAATCTCAGTATAAGCATTCTTTTTCTCCTTTCTTGAAATCTGTAAACAGCACCCTGCTGTATGTACAAAAGGCTGTCTCAGTGAAATACATTTTTTGATGTGGTTGGTTTTGCTCTTATTCCTGAATAAACTAAGTCTCTCACCTAATCCATCTTTCATTTCAAATATCAATTTGCTTAGCAAACCCTTTTTGTGCATTTTACACAGGCGAATCTCAGTCCTAGCTCCCTCCCCACCCGGTCAACACACCTCGCATAAATGCAGACATGCCTTTAGCCAGGCATGGTGGTGTGCACCTGTAGTCCCAGCTACTCAGCAGGCTGAGGTGGGAGGATCACTTGAGCCAGGAGTTCAAGACGCAAGTGAGCTATGATCATGCCACTGCACTCTAGCCTGGGTGACAGAGTGAGACTCTGTCTCAAAAAAATAAATATAAATATAAATATAAATGTAGACATGTAAGACACAGGGCTGCTTCTGCCGAGCACTCGCAGTTCACAGAGGTTATAGGTGAATTAATCCCAAGTGTGAGGTGTACTGTAAATGAAATGAGGTCTATTATACATAGCAAACTATACTGTATATATTCTCAATTATTTAACTTGGCATATTGGTACTGTATTCTGTTAGCCTGCTATTAATACTCCAAACTCAACATATTACAGGAATCCCTGAAACTTAAGGACTAGGTTAGCAATATGCTAGCAACAACATTTTTGTAACATTCCTGGTGCCAAGTAATACAACAGAGCTTCTCACATCTTCAGAGCATTTTTTACTAGAGAATTTCATATCATTCAAGCAGTAACTCATTGTCTATTAGACTAACACAACATGATCATGAAACTGGATGGCAACAAAACTCAAATGGACTAACAAAAGATGTCTATGCAGGAAAAGCAAATTTTAGTTTCAGGATTATTAGTAATAAGAACCTCCAATTTATCCCCACTGGAAAATATGCAACATGAAAAGTAAAAGGAAATTGTTTTAGAAAAATTCCATATAACACAAGATTTTCACATAGTCTCCAGTGGTTAAAAAGAAAAAAGAAACAAGGAACATGTTTAATATCTTAAAAAACAGCACTTAAACCTGCAAAAATGTGAATTATTTGATAAATACTTAAAAAACATGTTAATCATGTTTAGATTTGAAAATGTGGCATCAATGTGAAGCAGTGCATTCAACCCTCTGTATCAGGAGACAGCGGTGCTGCCTGCCCAAGACTGCAGAGAGCAGAGACACAGCTGCATCTCTCAGCACTCTCCCCGGCCCCCAAGAAGAGATTCCAATCACAGCATATTCATTTAAAAAGCATTCTAATATAGTAATTAGACTCATCAAATACAAACTTTTTTTCCCCTTTAAACTATACTCTAAATTTGGCCAAACTAAGTACTTGATATAAAAATCCTGGCAAAGAGCAGGGGTCCCTGCGGGACTGTGTGGCAAACCCAGACATTCTCTCGCCTTAGCAGATAAGTCAAAACAAGGACAATCTAAGAGGCCATTCCCTCATCCAATTAGCAATTGAAGGGTTAGAACTGAAATAGTCACTGTTAGAGCACAGGAAATAGACACTTACATACTCAAACACACCCCACCAGCCCCGCAACGCTCACAGCTGACAACGGCTGAATTTCATTACAAGCAAATGATTTAATGATAGCTTTGTTAAGATGGTGAAACCCCATCTCTACTAAAAATACAAAAAAATTAGCTGGGCGTGGTGGTGGGCGCCTGTAGTCCCAGCTACTCGGGAGGCTGAGGTCAGGAGTTGGAGACTAGCCTGGCTAACATGGTGAAACTCCACCTCCACTAAAAATACAAAAATTAGCTGAGTGTGGTGGCACACGCTTATACTCCCAGCTACTTGGAAAGCTGAGGCGGGAGGATCACTTGAACCTGGGAGGCAGAGGATGCAGTGAGCCGAGATTGTACCATTGCACTCCAGTCTGGGAGAGAGAGAGGGAGGCTCCGTCTCAAAAAAAAAAAAAAAAAAAAAAAAAATCAAGTAGAATGCTCAAACAAGGATATTTCCCTTCAATGTAAGACAAAAAGCAGCAGCCACAATTTAAAACTTTACTCCATAATGAAATCAGCATGAATTCTGAAACTAAGACATTGGGAAATTGCACTGGTTTGCTGAGGCAAGGCCCATGTCTACCCCAAGGAGTTAGCAGTCTCCATGAAAACCTGACTCCATTTTTAGTCTCCCAAACCTTTTTCTGCTTGAGAACCATGAGCTTGAGTTACTGCTGACAAATATTTGATTTTAACAATGAATTTAAGGTTTAATGATTTTTTACCTTTCCTCTGAAAGACAGTTGAAAAGGACACAAATGATTCACAACAGAGGTTTATGTTTGAGGTGATCACCACTAATACACACTTTGAAAAGTACCATCACCATATATATATTTGCTTTAAAAAAATTATGACAAGCTTCAGGTAAAAATAATTTTTAAAGGGTCCATTTTTCATTTACGTACAATCAGTACATCTTATTTACATATATGACTGGATCTTTATTCTATTTTCTTCATATAAGATATTTTAACTGGTAGGTAACTGCTCTATTCTGTTTTTATAGAAAGACTAAACACCTTATTTACAGGCAGTTTTGATGATGCTAGTTTGTCTCCAAATTACGTACTGAATATAGTTAAAATCTTAATGAATAACATAAAAATTAAGATCCGGTATTAACAGACTATTTTATGGGTCACACTGGATATTCAAGGAGTCAGCTGCCTAGTATGTGTCAATTACAGCTGCAACAAAACAGAAATCAAGTGTGGTTCTGAAGACCTTGAAAAAGAAGTCTGACTTCTAAGACATTAACCACTGCTTAATACTGCTACTGATGGCAAATTCTTAAACTGGGTTCATTTCTTCCCTTGTAATAACACTGATTTTTCTAGTGATATTTAACTTTAAAAAGGTATTTTACTTCTTTAACCCTCAGAGAACTAGTATATTTCGGCAACTAACCAAAAAAATAATCAGACACATGTATCTTTGCCCATAGTTTCCAAAGGGTTAAAGTGCAGGAATTTTCTATACTGCTATATAAGGCACCTTATTCCACTTTTTTCTTAAAGGAAACTTTTTCTTTGGTTTCTTGTAACTTTTCAGTGAGTCTATCTTTTGTTTCTTCCATTTTCTCTGTGATAAGCTCCTTTGTCTCTTCCATCCTGTCCTGCAGATACTCCTTGACGGGTGGCGGCGTGGACATGTAGCCATGACTGCGCAGATACTTCACAGTGACAGATGTTCCTCCCAAAGTCACGGTATACCGAGCAGGTGTTGCAATCTTAAGCAAAAAGCAAACAGAGGCAAATCAAAACCTGGTTATTACTGTCATCTTAAGCAAAAACAAGTTAAAATTAAAATTCTTGGTAATAACCCATCAGAATAAATTGCCTCATTGTTTCACAAAGCTAATGTAGTAATATCCTATATGGTTTTCCCTCCTAACAAGAGATATTTCTTCTGTAAACTCATTTTATGAATGTTTGTCCTCTACACAATCCTGACCCAGATAACAGAATCATAGCACTGATGTCCCTAATCGCATGCTAGTAAACTTGGGGGACAGGTCAACCTGGAAATCAGAAAGAGGACTCAGTACCAGTAAAAATAACAGAGGAACACATGTTTCTATTCCTTAAAAGCCCTGCCATCCTGCCAAATGCTTTCTATCTGGAGCTAAACTAGAACTGAATGTCTTCAAATGGTGAGAGGCAGAGCATGAAACCACTCTCTGTTGGGATTTAGGTTAGCTTCACTTCCAAATCCCTTTCCTTTGACTTTTCTAAACCTATGCTACCTTCTCATCACAATCTACCCTGAGTCTCAAATCCTAGCCACTAATTTACACAAGGCCAAAAGTAGTAAAATGGCACACCTGCTGCAGACATGCACAGGTTTAACGTTAATTGGAACTTTTAGGACCAATACTAAATAGCAGATGGATGACTGGTCAAAGAGAACCATACAAGTAAAAAGGCTGCATCATATTCTAAGTCAAAAATCAGGTTGGGTGCAGTGGCTCATGCCTGTAATCCCAGCACTTTGGGAGGCTTAGGTGGGTGGGTCACCTGAGTTCAGGAGTTCAAGACCAGCCTGGCCAACATGGTGAAACCCAGTCTCTAATAAAAGTACAAAAATTAGCCGGGCGTGGTGGCAGGCACCTGTAATCCCAGATATTTGAGAAGCTGAGGCAGGAGAATCGCTTGAACCCGGTGGCAGAGGTTGCAGCGAACCGAGATTGTACCATTGCGCTCCAGCCTGGGCGACAAGAGTGAAGCTACCTCTCAAAACAAAACAAAACAAAAAACATAGGTGTTGGCAGGTACAATGGCTCACGCCTATAATCCCAGCACTTTGGGAGGCTCAGTCGGGAGGGCTGCTTGAGCTCAGAAGTTCAAGACTAGTCTGGGCAACATAATGAGACCCTGCCATCTCTTAAAACACAAAGAAAAAGAAAGAAGAAAAAGAAAAGAAAAATACTTAGCCGGGAGTAAGTGGCATGTGCCTGTAGTCCCAGCTACTTGGGAGGCTGATGCAGGAGGACTGCTCGAGTCTAGGAGTTCGAGGCTGCAGGGAGCTGTGATTGCACGACTGCACTCCAGCCTGGGAAACAGCAAGATCCTGTCTCAAACGAAACAAAACAAAATGCATAGGTGTGTTGTATAACAAAACTTTGAAAGAGCTGTCTGCTCTATCTCTAATTTCTCTCCTAAACTCACGTTAAGCAAGCTTTCACCCATACCTCTTCACCAAAACTGCTTTCAAAGTCACAGTGACCTCTACAAAACTAAATCCAGTTGTCAATTTGGAACCAGCCCCTGAACCACTGGAACCATCCCACACAGCTTTCACCTTCCCTTCACTTGGCTCCAGGCCCTCAACTTGCTGGGCTTCCTTCTAGTTCATGGCGGCTTCTCATTTTTGCCAATTCCTCCCCTTTCACCCACCTCTGAACGTGGTGTGACAACATTCGATCCCTGGACCTCTTATTTTCTCTACCTATCTCACTCTCTGGTCTTTAGTGCCAACTATACATGGATGATTCTTAACTTTAATCTCCAGACTGAACTTTTCCCCTGAATTCCAGTATATACAACCACCTCCATTTGCATATCTAATAAGATCTCAAACTTAATGCAGGTGAGTCACTTAATGGGGATACGGTCTGAGAAATGTGTCATTAGGTGATTTTATTGTTGTGTGAAACTTCACAGAGTGTACTTACACAAACCTAGATGGTGTAGCCCTCTGCACACTCAGGCCACAAGGTATAGCCTATTGCTCCTAGGCTACAAACCTGTACAGCACACTACTGTGCCGAACACAGTAGGCAATTATAAGACCACAGTAAGTATTTGTATACCTAAACTATCTAAATGTAGAAAAGTTACAGTAAAAATATGACATTCATAAAAACATGGGACCTATGGGACCATCACTGTCTGTAGTCCATGGTTAACCGAAATGCTGTTGGGTGGCACATGACTGCATGTTCAAAACTGACCTTCGGATCTTCGACTGTCCTACTTCAAACCTGCTTCTCTCAAAGTCTTACTCATCTCAGAAAATGGCAATTCTATTCTTCCAGTTGTCCGGGCCAAAAACTTACAAGAAAGCTTCAACCCCTCTTTCTTTTCCATAATTTATATCCAAACCATCAGAAAACCCCAGCAACCACGTCTTTAAAACGTATCGAGAATCCAACTACTTCCTGCTACCACCTGGGTTCTGGCCACTATTGCCTCTCAACTAAAATACTGTAATCACCTCACCTCACACCAGGTCCCTTGGCTTCTCCCCTGATCCCGCCATGGTCTGTTACTAGAGCAGCCAAAGTGATTTTGATGGAACAGAGGCAGGATGCTTAAAATTGTCCAGTGGCTTTCCATGTCCTCAGGGTAAAAAGCAAAGTCCTTTTAAGGGCCAACAAGGCTGTCCTGATCTGATGACACGCCATTCTCTGCCCTGTTCACTGATTCCGGTCACACTAGCTTCCCTGCATCCCTCAAATACTCCCAGGATCCTGCAGCCTCAGAACTTTGTCTTTCGGATTTTCTCTGTTTGGAATGCTCCTCCCTCTTGGAGGAGCAACTCTCTCACCTTCTCAGCAAGGTGTGCCATCTCCCATTGAAAAACAAATCCATACCCCCATCCCTGGTTTCCTTTCTTAGCAGTTACCATCATCTACGTACACACACTTTGTGTGTGCATGCATTTCTAACTTTACCTTGTCTCCCCAACCCACTACCACTCACTACACTATCAGCCCTATGAGGCAGGTATTTTGCACTGTCTTCTTTGATTCGTTTATTCCCAGTACCTAGAATGGTACCTAGCACACAGCAGAGGATGACTAAAACTCTGGGTGTATTTCAAAGAGATTATGAGGCAGTCAGTGAATATATCCCGTAGCCAACTGCCACCAGACCATACATGCCATACTTCATTTGGGGACTTTGTCTTGTTGAAGCAATAAATCTGTGTCTGTTGCTCTATTTGAGAAACTGGGGGTTACAGATAATACAAAGGAGAATCCCCTCCATATCTCCTACTTCACAGAGGAATAGTGAGGGGGAAGAAACACCACTGGCACTCATCTCCCTACCATGACGCCTACAGCCTCATTTTCAATCCCAACTCCACAAACACGTGCTGAGCATTTTATTCACCTACAGAACATAATACCAGGTGCAGTGAAAAAAAACAAGAAAGAAGACATGATTCTGAGTTCCTGGGAGCTCCTAATCAAATAAAACAAACACTTAACACCTAGCACACACTGTGCTATCAACTGTCATGCTATGGGAGTGGGATAAGGAGCAATTAAATTAGGGAAGGTTTACATCAGCATGATAGTTTGACTTACTCGGGTTAAAATTATACCCACCATAATTAGAAACTTGATAATTTTTAAATTTAATACACTTTAATGTAGAAAAACTCAAAAATTAAATGTTAGCCCTCTCATCAAAATTATAATAAAAGAGGAAATCTACCAAGATTTCAGAGGATGCTAATGAGGATGACAGAATGAAACAATGCTACTTTTGAGTAATGCTGTAAAACTGTAATTCTTAGATATTCTTATACAACAGAAGTAAAATAAAACATCTAGTTTCTGTGTTTTCAACTTCCTTAGGTAGAAGTTTCACAGACCCTCATAAATATTTGTCAGTTTAGAAAATGAGATTAATATGGCTAAACTCCACAATTTACAGTGAGTCTTCCCTTCCAAAATAAAGACCCATAGGCATAGAAGCTATCAAGATGATGCTGTCAGGCCGGCTGCAGTGGGTCTCATCTGTAATCCCAGCACTTTGAGAGGCCGAGGGCGGGCAGATCACCTGAGGTCAGAAGTTTGAGACCAGCCTGACCAACATGGAGAAACCCCGTCTCTACTAAAAAAATACAAAATTAGCCAGGCATGGTGGCACATGCCTGTAATCCCAGCTACTTGGGAGGCTAAAGCAGGAGAATTGCTTGAACCCGGGAGGCAGAGGTTGCGGTGAGCCGAGATCGCGCCATTGTACTCCAGCCTGGGAAACAAGAGTGAAACTCCGTCTCAAAAAAGTTGTCTGAATCCGGAGAATAGTTACAAAGATTATCAACTTTTAAAATGAAACATATGTTAGGTTAAAATCTAACAGAAAAGGGTTTATCATATAAGACAATTTGGATTAAACCTATTTTACTTGCTAAGAAAAGATGAATTATTAAAAACAGTAAAATAGGGGGATCTCCTCTTTTGGCTTTGGAGGCCCCCCCCTTCTGTCTCTGTACAGGGGAGCTTCTTCCTTCTCCCTTCCTTCTTGCCCCTTCTTGCCTATTAAACTCTCTGCTCCTTAAAACCACACACAAAACAAAACAAAAAACAGTAAAATAAATGCTAAATTTTGCTAACAAATCAGGTGGCATGCAGATCACTGAATAAGAAAAAACAAATATAATTATACTTAAAATAATTATATCTCCATTTATCAACGGGAGCAATGTCAAACAGATGACTACTACCATGGAAAATCACATAAGTCTAACAATTATTTGACCACAGGAAGTTATGAATGATCTACCAATTTTTAAGGCATTTCTTCCTAAAACCACATTTTTACTTCCACTTTATTTTGTTATCTTGTTATCTCCCAGCTACTCGGGAGGCTGAGGTAGGAGAATCACTTTAACCTGGGAGGCGGAGGTTGCAGTGAGCCGAGATGGCATCACTGCACTCCAGCCTGGCAAACAAGAGCGAAACTCCATCTCCAAAAAAAAAAAAAAAAAAATTATCTTACATTATTCACCAGACATATCAGAGATGAAATACAGCGTTTCAAGTTACGAAATACAATTGGAAGCTAACATGGAATCTCATGGGAAAGTGAGCAGGTCACCACCAGTGAGTTCTGAGGAGCAATGGGTTTGTTACAGTACCCACCTTAAACAAGGCATATGCTGTGAGGGCATTTCCACTCTGGGAGTTTTTCAGGATGCTTACCACACTGTCAGGTAACCCAATGAGTTCTAGAAAAGGAACGACATTCACTCCTCTACAAAAAAAAAAAAGTAATTTTCATATGTACAAACTTTTAATGATATTTTCAAAAATTATCTGAAAATACCAAAACCACACTATAATTTTATTAAATTTTGCTTAAAAGTTGATTCTACATTATCAAGCACTTTACCTTCACTCTAAGAGAACATCTTACTTGATGTACAATATGCAACATGCACACAAACATCACATCACACGGTATCTTATCGCCTACAACTTCTATTTGCTTCATGTGGGCATCCTAGTATGTTTAGAAAAATAGAGGCAGTTATTAGAATAAAATTAACAGCTTTAAATAAACTATGAGAAAAGGATCAGAATCATTTGCCTGGTCTTAGTTTCCTCAACCAAATACCACTTCCTTAGAATGCTCCAACTCACATTTTAAGACCTAAAATTTTTACCTTTAAAATTACATGGTTTGTTAGTTTGTTCTGTTCTGTTTTGAGACAGAATCTTGTTCTGTTGCCAGGCTGGAGTGCAGTGGCGCAATCTTGGCTCACTGCAACCTCTGACTCCCTGGTTCAAGCGATTCTCCTGCCTCAGCCTCCTGAGTAGCTGGGATTACAGACACGCAACCACCACGCCTAGCTAATTTTTGTATTTTTAGTAGACATGGGGCTTCATCATGTAGGCCAGGATGGTGTCCATCTCCTGACCTCATGATCTGCCCGCCGCAGCCTTCCAAAGTGCTGGAATTACAGGCATGAGCCACAGTGCCCAGCCAATTACATGTAATTTTATGTGTAAAATTGCACTGTAAAAGCAAGAGATATTTTAACATCACTTTAGTCTGTTATTATGCAAAGAATAAACGACACTATGGGTTTGATGAAAACTTCAATTACTCTAAAAGGATGCTTCTATTCTATTAAAAGACTTAAGGCAGGTGAAGGAGCAATTAACATATACCGCGACAAATTTCTGGAGACAGGAGAGAAGGCAGAGAAAGTCTCCAACTTGAGCCGCAACTTCTCCGTTTCCAGCTTCCTGATTATTAACATTCCTGAGACCCGACTTCTTTTATTTCCAGTTTCCTGATTATTAACATTCCTGAGCCCTGGCTTATTTCCAGTTACATTCCTGAGCCCCGACTTCTTTATTTCCAATTTTCTGATTATTAAGTCTTGAGCCATGACTTATTTCCAGTTTCCTTATTAACCTTCCTGAGCCCCTGACCTATTTCCAGTTTCCTGATTATTAACATTCCTGAGCCCCGACTTCTTTATTTCCAGTTTCCTGATTATTAACATTCCTGAGCCCCGACTTCATTTCCAGTTTCCTGATTATTAACATTCCTGAGCCCCGACTTCTTTATTTCCAGTTTCCTGATTATTAACATTCCTGAACCCCGACTTCATTTCCAGTTTCCTGATTATTAACATTCCTGAGCCCCGACTTCATTTCCAGTTTCCTGATTATTAACATTCCTGAGCCCCGACTTCATTTCCAGTTTCCTGATTATTAACATTCCTGAACCCCGACTTCTTTATTTCCAATTTCCTGATTATTAACATTCCTAAGCCCCGGCTTCTTGATTTCCAGTTTCCTGATTATTAACATTCCTGAGCCCCGACTTCTTTATTTCCAGTTTCCTGATTATTAACATTCCTGAGCCGTGACTTATTTCCAGTTTCCTGATTATTAACATTCCTGAGACCCGACTTCTTTATTTCCAGTTTCCTGATTATTAACATTCCTGAGCCGTGACTTATTTCCAGTTTCCTGATTATTAACATTCCTGAGCCCCGACTTATTTCCAGTTCCCTGATTATTAACATTCCTGAGCCCCGACTTCATTTCCAGTTTCCTGATTATTAACATTCCTGAGCCCTGGCTTCTTTATTTCCGGTTTCCTGATTATTAACATTCCTGAGCCCTGGCTTCTTTATTTCCAGTTTCTGATTATTAACATTCCTGAGCCCTGGCTTCTTTATTTCCAGTTTCCTGATTATTAACATTCCTGAGCCCCGACTTCTTTATTTCCAGTTTCCTGACTATTAACATTCCTGAGCCCCGACTTCATTTCCAGTTTCCTGATTATTAACATTCCTGAGCCCTGGCTTCTTTATTTCCAGTTTCCTGATTATTATAATTCCTGAGCCCTGGCTTCTTTATTTCCAGTTTCCTGATTATTAACATTCCTGAGCCCAGGCTTCTTTATTTCCAGTTTCCTGATTATTAACATTCCTGAGCCCTGGCTTCTTTATTTCCTGTTTCCTGATTATTAACATTCCTGAGCCCCGACTTTATTTCCAGTTTCCTGATTATTAACATTCCTGAGCCCTAGCTTCTTGATTTCCAGTTTCCTGATTATTAACATTCCTGAGCCCCGACTTTATTTCCAGTTTTCTGATTATTAACATTCCTGAGCCCTAGCTTCTTGATTTCCAGTTTCCTGATTATTAACATTCCTGAGCCCCGACTTTATTTCCAGTTTCCTGATTATTAACATTCCTGAGCCCTAGCTTCTTGATTTCCAGTTTCCTGATTATTAACATTCCTGAGCCCCGACTTTATTTCCAGTTTTCTGATTATTAACATTCCTGAGCCCTGGCTTCTTTATTTCCTGTTTCCTGATTATTAACATTCCTGAGCCCC
Source organism: Homo sapiens (assembly GCF_000001405.40). NCBI lineage: Eukaryota > Metazoa > Chordata > Mammalia > Primates > Hominidae > Homo > Homo sapiens. The sequence continues at coordinate 13,674,583 of NC_000018.10, forward strand.
GACTTTATTTCCAGTTTCCTGATTATTAACATTCCTGAGCCCTAGCTTCTTGATTTCCAGTTTCCTGATTATTAACATTCCTGAGCCCCGACTTCATTTCCAGTTTCCTGATTATTAACATTCCTGAGCCCTAGCTTCTTGATTTCCAGTTTCCTGATTATTAACATTCCTGAGCCCCGACTTTATTTCCAGTTTTCTGATTATTAACATTCCTGAGCCCCGACTTCATTTCCAGTTTCCTGATTATTAACATTCCTGAGCCCTGGCTTCTTGATTTCCAGTTTCCTGATTATTAACATTCCTGAGCCCCGACTTCTTTATTTCCAGTTTCCTGATTATTAACATTCCTGAGCCGTGACTTATTTCCAGTTTCCTGATTATTAACATTCCTGAGCCCTGGCTTCTTTATTTCCTGTTTCCTGATTATTAACATTCCTGAGCCCTGGCTTCTTTATTTCCTGTTTCCTGATTATTAACATTCCTGAGCCCCAACTTCATTATTTCCAGTTTCCTGATTATTAACATTCCTGAGCCGTGACTTCTTTATTTCCAGTTTCCTGATTATTAACATTCCTGAGCCCCAGCTTCTTTATTTCCTGTTTCCTGATTATTAACATTCCTGAGCCCTGGCTTCTTTATTTCCTGTTTCCTGATTATTAACATTCCTGAGCCCCGACTTCATTATTTCCAGTTTCCTGATTATTAACATTCCTGAGACCCGACTTCATTTCCAGTTTCCTGATTATTAACATTCCTGAGCCCTGGCTTCTTTATTTCCAGTTTCCTGATTATTAACATTCCTGAGCCCCGACTTCATTTCCAGTTTCCTGATTATTAACATTCCTGAGCCCTGGCTTCTTTATTTCCAGTTTCCTGATTATTAACATTCCTGAGCCCCGACTTCATTTCCAGCTTCCTGATTATTAACATTCCTGAGCCCTGGCCTCTTTATTTCCAGTTTCCTGATTATTAACATTCCTGAGCCCCGACTTCATTTCCAGTTTCCTGATTATTAACATTTCTGAGCCCTGGCCTCTTTATTTCCAGTTTCCTGATTATTAACATTCCTGAGCCCTGGCTTCTTTATTTCCAGTTTCCTGATTATTAACATTCCTGAGCCCCGACTTCATTTCCAGTTTCCTGATTATTAACATTCCTGAGCCCTGGCTTCTTTATTTCCAGTTTCCTGATTATTAACATTCCTGAGCCCTGGCTTCATTATTTCCAGTTTCCTGATTATTAACATTCCTGAGCCCAGGCTTCTTTATTTCCAGTTTCCTGATTATTAACATTCCTGAGCCCTGGCTTCTTTATTTCCAGTTTCCTGATTATTAACATTCCTGAGCCCGACCTCTTTATTTCCAGTTTCCTGATTATTAACATTCCTGAGCCGTGGTAACTTCTTTATTTCCAGTTTCCTGATTATTAACATTCCTGAGCCGCTGACCTCTTTATTTCCAGTTTCCTGATTATTAACATTCCTGAGCCGTGGTGACTTCTTTATTTCCAGTTTCCTGATTATTAACATTCCTGAGCCCCTGACCTCTTTATTTCCAGTTTCCTGATTATTAACATTCCTGAGCCCCGACTTCATTTCCAGTTTCCTGATTATTAACATTCCTGAGCCCCGGCTTCTTTATTTCCAGTTTCCTGATTATTAACATTCCTGAGCCCTGGCTTCTTTATTTCCAGTTTCCTGATTATTAACATTCCTGAGCCCTGGCTTCTTTATTTCCAGTTTCCTGATTATTAACATTCCTGAGCCCCTGACCTCTTTATTTCCAGTTTCCTGATTATTAACACTCCTGAGCCCTGGCTTCTTTATTTCCAGTTTCCTGATTATTAACAGTCCTGAGCCCCTGACCTCTTTATTTCCAGTTTCCTGATTATTAACATTCCTGAGCCCTGGCTTCTTTATTTCGTTTCCTGATTATTAACATTTTGCCATGATGGCTCTTGCTCTCTTTGGACACTGTGACCCTTCGCCCCTAAATCAGAACGAAGACATTCACCTACATAAGCATCACATTTATAACATACACAATAGTCTACAGTTAATATATAATCTAGATTACAGTTTCCTAAATTGTCCCAGTATGTCCTTTATGGCTATTTTTCCTGTCTCTCTAGTCTGCTTTTCTCTAGAAGTGCTTCTCAGCATTCTATGGTGGAGGAGGGCAGCATGCAGGCTGGCTACTTGGAAGGACATCTCTCAACTTGGGTTTGTCTGATTGTTTCCTCAAGAGGAGATTCACGTTAAGTACTTTCGCACAGGAAAACGACAGAATGGACACTGTCCACCTCAGCACATCACAACAAGGGACACATAAAGCCAGTCTGTCCATCCTTAGTGCAGCAGGACGAGCTGCAGACAAAACCCCGCAGACACTGAGTTAAAGAAGGAAGGGCTCTATTTGGCTGGGAGCATCGGCAAGACTCATGTCTCAAAAAACTGAGCTCCCTGAGTGAGCAATTCCTGTCCCTCTATTTTTTTTTTTTTTTTTCTTTTTGAGACAGAGTCTCGCTCTGTCGCCCAGGCTGGAGTGCAGTGGCGCAATCTCGGCTTACTGCAAGTTCCACCTCCCGAGTTCACGCCATTCTCCTGCCTCAGCCTCCCGAGTAGCTGGGACTACAGGTGCCCGCCACCACGCCCGGCTAATTTTTTGTGTTTTTAGTAGAGACAGGGTTTCACCATGTTAGCCAGGATGGTCTGGATCTCCTGACCTTGTGATCCGCCCACCTCGGCCTCCCAAAGTGCTGGGATTACAGGCGTGAGCCATCACGCCCGGCCCCTGTCCCGCTTAAGGGCTTACAACTCTAAGGGGGTCCGCGTGAGAGGGTCGTGATCGACTGAGTAAGCAGGGGGTACGTGACTGGGGGCTGCATGCACCAGTAATCAGAACAGAACAGAACACAACACAACAGAACAGAACAGGGATTTTCACAGTGCTTTTCCATACAATGTCTGTAATTTACAGATAACAGATTAGGTTCGATCTTTAACTACCAGGCCCAGGGTGTGGCGCCGGGCTGTCTGCTTGTGGACTTCATTTCTGCCTTTTAGTTTTTACTTCTTTCTTTGGAGGCAGAAATTGGGCATAAGACAATACGAGGGGTGGTCTCCTCCCTTATTAGTATTACTGAGTTTGCCTCTTGGTGAAGGCAGGGTCGGTAGACCTCCACTGTAAAAGCAGCTTTCCCTATGTCATTAAGAAAGAGCATTGCCTAGATCTATTATGATAACGGTAGCGGTAAACTCTTAATTTTTAATATTAATTAGGGAAAAGATGTCCTACTCTGTGACTTCACCATAATACTAAGCAGTCAGGGAGCACCCTCGGTAGATATGGCTGATCATCCTCAAGAAAGGACTATTAAAATTACTTATCATCAAAAGTCAGAGGAAACCAGAACAACTTAAGGGAAGTTTAAAGAGATGAATTAAAAAATAAACTACGAGTCCAATCTCATTTCTTCTATCTTCTATCTTCAGTTTCAATTCTTTTTCAAATCTCTTTCTAGATAACAACTAAATCTCATTAAGATAAGGTTTAGGCCAGGCGTGGTGTCAAGACTTGTCTCTATAAAAAATTAAAAAATAAAAGATCATACAAACAATGGACTGAGACTCCAAGCACAAGCTGTATTGTCACTGGCCTGCATCCTTTGTCAGATAAAGAAGCAAGCATCTAGTTCCAATATTTTTTTTTTTTTAGATGGAGTTTCGCTCCAGGCTGGAGTGCAATGGTGAGATCTCGGCTCATGGCAACCTCTGCCTCCTGGGTTCAAGCGATTCTCCTGCCTCAGCCTCCCAAGTAGCTGGGATTACAGGCTCTGCAATTCTGTAGTGTAATGCACCACCATGCCTGGCTAATTTTTGTATTTTTAGTAGAGATGGGGTTTCTCCATGTTGGTTAGGCTGGTCTCGAACTCCTGACCTCAGACGATCCGCCTGCCTCAGCCTCCCAAAGTGCTGGGATTACAGGCGTGAGCCACTGTGCCCGGCCCCACTTATTTCTAAACTGTTGATGACTTTTCTTAAAAATAACTTTCATTTCCTCTGGAATTACTGAACATGAAGTATTAATGAGGGTCTGATTCAAACAGAAACATCTACTGTTTGTCACTTTCTACTCTGAAGTGCCCACAGCCAGCCAGGAATCTGTGCTTCTCAAACTGCCAGCTTTACAACTGTTTCCACAGATGAAGAAACACACAAGGACAAAAGCACATTCACTGTCTGGATAAAGTGCAGTAGAAATCAATCAGGGTTTTGCCTCACAGTGGATCTGTAACTTTAGGAACTTGAGGTCTCAAACACAAGGCATCTAAATGCAGGGACCACATCATCATTGCTGAGCCACACTTGATCAAACTAAAGCACTTCTGGACATAAGACACCAGATCTCTGCAAGGCTTTGCCAGATAGGAGCGGCAACAAAGCTCAGTTTAAAATAAAATCTATTAGCATGCACAATTTAGAACTCCCTGAAATAAAGTATTTCAAAAACCTGAGAACTTCATCACTCTGTCATTCTAAATATAGAATGACATTTTGCTCTACGATGCCTAGAAAGGCAGTAATGCGAGCTATCAGGGTAACCAAGACAAACACTGGTCAGTAATGAGGCATGATGTCAAATGCCCATCTTTCCAGCTACAAACTATTTTTCTCCCTTTCTTTTAATAGTAAGTAGGCAACAAGCAAATAACACAGAACTTTTTCCAGTTAAAACAAACAAACGAACAACACTAAAATATAACTAGCCTCTTGTCAGGTGAATTGACAATCTGTATTTAGTATAATCAACTTCAACTTTTAAATACAATCATCCTACAGTGAAAATATTCGAATTCCTTTTTCTTTCATTCATGAATTTGATTTTTTTAAGCATTACTTGTGATTAAGATCTTCATATAGAATAAATTGACTTTCAAATTTTGAAGGATCTAATAAAAACCCCAAGGAGGACTGTTCTGGAAAGCAACCCATCCTGCCCATTATAAATTCTCTACGTGATGCTATGACAGAATTGACCCAGTGGTCGTGGCGGGGCAGTAGTGGTGGTCTAGCAACCCGATTCCTATGCTAACAAATAGCCCCAAAGCAAGGTGTAATGGGGAAGGGTATTATTTTAAAGTAGACAGTTGTATCACCATGTTTACATATAAGCATTCTGCAAAAAAGAGGGAGGAAAATAAAACTAAGAAAGTTGCATTTTACAGGGGATGACAGAGCATCACCCACAGCTGCTTCAGATGCCCACAGCACTGAAGAAATCTTAAGCATTATTAAGATCACTAGATTATTCTGGGTCTACTTTTTCAGTTACAGAACTTTTACCAGAGAATAAGGAAAAGTAAAAGGAACAAAAATATTATTCTTAATAGCCTAAATGAGAATCTCATATTCAATTAATTAAAAGCTTGAATTTCTCCCTCTAAGGCCAGCCAGGAGGCCGAATGCCTTGCCTTATCATACATGGGCAACCTGACGAGGGCAAAAGAAACACATATGTATTTTTCATGTCATCTTTCACAGACTGAATCACAAAAATCCTCCATGACTCAAAAAAGAAAATTTAATATGTAGAAATCCATTCATTACATAGCAGGACTGAATGCCTACAATAACTTTTGATCAAAATGGTAACTTTATTTTCTGTCAAAAAACCAAGGGCAGTTTTGAAGACTTCTATAAATATTAATCATGTCCAAAAATGTCATTAATAAACCAAGAAACAATTCCATAAAATATACACCTAAAGAATCTTCTGCAAGGAAAGATACAATTCTTAAAGAAAAGGATATGCAATGAAGAAGGATATAATTAAATAAGAGGAACATAATGTAAAGATACAAAGTGAAACAGAACAGCATCAATTACACAAGGTGAAAAAAAATCCTTTTAGAAATTTTGTCAAGAAATCTATGTGGTCCTGTGTTCCCAAAAATAGGTAGTTTCTATTCCATCATCCTGGAAGAGCTACTTATAGCTTAGTCTGCAATAGGCTGCTTCTAAAGAGTGAGCTTTACGTACAACACTAACCATATTTTGTTAATGTCTTGATATCAAGCCATTAAATATAATCAAGCACTGAAAACCACTCAACTCTGGAAAGTATAAAATAATTCTCAACCAATTAGGAGAGTTTACTGAAGTGTCTAAGTCCTTCACGCACACCAGGCCCGGACACTGAGGAATGGGCACTCGGCCGACTAGTGGCAGAAATGGGAAATCACTGGTCCTCCTAAGCCTAAAGCAGTGTGAAGCAAATAACTTACCTTAAGGGGAAGGCATAGTATTAACAAGAGAGATGCACTTTAAATTGTATGTTTCAAAACACTGGGAGGCTAGACCTACTAGATTAATTTCTGATCAGAACAAAAGACCTTTCCTTGACACTTACTGGACTTGGGTAATATCAATGCAAACAAATTAGCCGGACTTTGGCAAAATCTTGCAAATTTCCCACCAAAACCATACATATGGCAAAATAGACATCTTTTCACATTTATGAACATTCTAAGAAATATATAATTATGGAGTCATGGTGCTGCCAAATTTCTGAAATTTGATTATTTTATGTCTGTGCTTTCCTGAATGCCAGGATGAGATCTGCATATAGGAGAGTGTATGCTTTGAGATCAGACGCACCTAATTGGGTTTTTAGTCCAGGCACCACTTCTTAGCAACTGAGTTATTTTGGGAAAAGCTGAACTATTTTTACTTCTCCTTGCCTAATCTGTTTTCTCATTCATAAAATGGGTGTAACTGTGTAACTTGCTTTATATGGTTGCTGGGAGGATTAAATAAGATGAAACAGTTAAAAACTGCACCAGATGCTTGCTCCAAACAGTAAGCAAATGTTAGCTATTATTATTAAAATGTGAAAAAACAGTTATCCTCTATTGATGAAAAACATTAAAGCATTTAAAAATCTAAAGCTATCATTAGTACAATTAAAAAGATTAATATTCTGGTAAGACAGGGAAAGACATTCAACTAAGCAAAAACTTACTTCAAGGCTGCATAATAAAATGTTCCAAACCAAACACCAGAAGTTATTAGATGCACTGGAATCAGAACTTTTCCATACTGTCTAAATGTCTTCTTGAATCGTTGATAAAGACTAATAGATTTGTCTTGCAAAGGATCAGGCTCTTCCTTTTTTTCCGGAGTTCCCTGAGCTGTGGCACTGGATGAAAAAACCCTCCTGAATGAAACATGTTGCTTCCCTTGCTTATGGCGAAGGACTCCTGGTTGGGGTGGATGAGCATCCAATGGCCTCCTTTCCTTTGCAACACACTGGGCAGCAGATAAATGCAACCATTGTTTTTGAGGGCCTTGTACCAAAACCACTTTGGATTCAGCATTGTATAAAAGTAAAGGTCCCTTTACATTTTGACAGTGTCCAAAGAGACCAGCATTATGTGGTTCCAAGCATGTCCTGCGTGCCAGTCGAGATACAGTCCGTGGTACATTCCATTGCATTTTGAAGAGTGTTGATAGGTTTCAGCTTCTACAAAGACAATTTTTCAAAAAAATTAGGTAATACTTAGGTTTCCATTTTAAATCAATTCATTTGAAAATCAATCATTAACCATTAGGAAGTAAAAAGACAGACACTGCTACATAATCCACAAAAACTGATGTTAGGGTATAGAGTTTAAGCACAGTGTAATTTTAAAATCTCATAAAGGCCAGGTGTGGTTACTCATACCTGTAACCCCAGCACTTTGGGAGGCCAAGGCGGGTGGATCACCTGAGATCAGGAGTTCCGAGACCAGCCTGGCCAACATGGCAAAACCCCATCTCCACTAAAAATACAAAAATTAGCCAGGTGTGGTGGTGGGCACCTGTAATTCCAGCTACTCAGGAGGCTGAGGCAGAAGAATCACTTAAACCCGGGAAGCGGAGGGTGCAGTGATCTGAGATCGGGCCACTGCCCTCCAACCTGGGTGACACAGCAAGACTCCAGCTCAGAAAAATAAAATAAAATAAGCCAGGTGAGGTGGCCCACGCCTGTAATCCCAGAATTTTGGGAGTCTGAGGCAGGCGGATCGCTTGAGGTCAGGAGTTCGAGACCAGCCTGGCCAACATGGCAAAACCCTGTCTCTACTAAAAATACAAAAATTAGCCGGGAATGGTGGTGTGTGCCTGTAATTCCAGCTACTCGGGAGGCTGAGGCATGAGAATTGCTTGAACCCAGGAGGTGGAGATTGCAGTGAGTTGAGATCATGCCACTGTACTCCAGCCTGGGGGACAGAGCAAGACTCCGTTTCAAAAATAAAATAAAATAATAAAAATCTCATAAAACACACCATTTAAATATGATATGGTAAACTAGTCCAGCTGACACCATGGGGAATAATGTTTTGAGGCCTCTTGTTCTATAGAAGCAGTGTAGTATAGTGGGGGAAAAAATAAGATCTGGGTTCTGATGCTTTGGGGATATAATTCCACATAATTCCCTTTCAGGAACCAAGCCCATGTCCACTACTAAAATGAAGATGACTTTACAGGATTGTCACCAGGAATTACATAAAATTTCTGATGTAAAGACACTTTTGTAAACTAATGAGCATCATAAATGTTATTTATGATTACAAATGTTAAAATCTGATGAATTGTTGATATTAGTATTATTTACACTATAATGCCTTCGGACTAAGTTATCAAGTTATAAATCACTTACGTTATTGAATGGCGAGAAGAATTGCCTGGTATTTATTTTCTTCCCCACCCCCATATCAATGGTGGAGAGAAAAAAAGTGTAGAGTGATGTCTCACTATTTGATCTGGCATCAGCATAGAACAAAGATTTACAAGATGGCGAGACACAGTGGCTTCGGCTTGTGGTTCCAGCTACTCGGGAGGCTGAGATGGGAGGACACTTGAGCCCAGGTATTTGAGGCTGTAATGCATTTGTGAACAGCTACTCCACTCCAGCCTGGACAATACAGCAAGACTGCAAGCCTTTTTTTTTTTTTTTTTTAAGAATTATAGAGACTTCCAGATAATTACTTAGCCTCTCTAGACAAAGGTTCTCCCAGTGGTAAATGTAATTATAGTAGCCATTACCATATAGTCAATCAGTCCCCTTCCTTCAACATCAGGTGGTACCACACATGCCTTCCCACTCCCAATGCCAGCTCTACCTTACTACTAACATGTTGAGAACAGACACTTTAACTATATCCTAAGTAACAGACAGTGAGATCTGAATTAGCACCCCTATAAATGAGCACTGCAATAAATACAGATACTCCATCTTACACGAATATTCTTTATCTGGTGTACAAAGTTGACTGGCAAAACAAAAACTGTCATCATATAAAAACATTCATTAGTAATTATCCACCTACAAAAATTAATCCCCTGACTCATCCCTCCCAAATGAATAATTAACATCAGCTCCTAACAGACTCTCACAGATAATCCAACAACAGTACAAATGAGTTGATAAGGGAAACTGCAAATCTTGCAAAATAAATAGGCTCCCAAGAAGTCTTTTAAAAAGTGATACTGGGCTGGGAGCGGTGGCTCACGCCTGTAATCTCAGTACTTTGGGATGCCGAGGCAGGCACATCACCTGGTGAGGAGTTCGAGACCAGTCTGGCCAACATGGTGAAACCCCATCTCTCCTAAAAATATAAAAAAAAATTAGCCGGGCATGGTGGTGCACGCCTGTAATCCCAGCTATTTGGGAGGCTGAGGCAGGAGAATCATTTGAACCCCAGAGGTGGAGGCTGCAGTGACCCGAGGTCGCGCCACTGCACTCCAGCCTGGGCAACAGAGTGAGACTCGTCTCAAAAAAAGAAAAAAAAAAGTGATACTGGAGATTAATTTCAGACAAAGCAGACTGCAAACATTCTTTGATTATAAGAGTTAAAGAGGGGCACTGTATAATAACAAGAATGAAAAGAAGACATAACAATCCTAAACACGTATATACCTAACGAGAGGATCAAAATAAATGAGGTGAAAACTACAGAACAGAAAGGAGGAAAGAAATTCACTCTTAGAGACGTCAACACTCCGGTCAACAACCTTGATAAACCCAGCAGGCAGAATGTCTGTAAGGATAGAGTTAAACTAAACAACAATGTTAATCAATTTGATCTAACTGACATTTATAGAATACTCCATTCAACAACAGCAGAATACACATTCCACTCAAGTTCACATGGAACATTCAACAAGCAGACCCCATGCTGGGCCATTAAATATACTGTAACAAATTCTAAAAAATGAAAATCATGCAAAGTTATGTTCTCAAACTAAAAGAGATACTAGAAACCATTAACATAAAGATAGCCGGGAACTCCCCCCACTCCCAATTATGTGGAATTTAAACAACATACTTCTAAAAAAAAATCTTCAAACTTCTAAAAAGAAATTTAAAAATATTTTGAAGTAATTGAAAAAAATACAACTTAACAAAATCTGTGGGATGCAGCAAAGCAGTGCTTTGAGGACTAAACTTTGACCTTTTTCCTCTTGTCCAAATTCCTATCTAAGGGGTCTGGGGAGTCACACCCTGCAAACCATGAAATTCCATCAGAGGGGTTTTATTTAACCCTATATAAATGGCTACTTTCCAACTTGACTCTGGCATAACATCACATGACAGATAGAGAAGGAAATCAAAATATCTTACCCCAAAACACGTTTCTCTGCCATATTTTGAAATGACCCTGCAAAGCCATTTTTTTTTTTTTTTGGTGGAGAAAAACTGTATTTGTAAAGACTCTATTAACATAATCAGATCCCTGCTTCCAGGTCCTCTCAATCCTGAAGCGGTTAACTGAGAGTCTAGCACCTTTTAAAGGTCCGAATAGGAAACATTTGCCATCTATTGTCTCTAAGGACGGCCACCTTTGAGACTTCATCTATGTATTAAGAACCTTGGTATCCACAACCCCTTATCTTAATTCAGACACTCTTTTCTATTGATTCCAGGTCTTTAGATAATAACTCTTCCAACCAATTGCCAATCAGAAAATCTTTTAATCCAGTTATGACCCATATGCCCCCACTTTGAATTGTCCTGCTTTTCTAGGTGGAACCAATGTCTGTGTATACCCTACATATACTGACTGATGTCTTATGCCTCCCTAAAACGTTTAAAGCCAAGCTGTAACCCAACTACCTTAGGCACTTGTTCTCAGAACTTCTTGAGACTGCCTCAGACCCTGGTCACTCATTTGGTTCAAAATAAACCTCCTTAAACATTTCACAGAGTTTGACTCTTTTATCAACAGTTTACAGGAGGAATGCACATATTAGAAAAGAAGTAAGATCTAAACTCAATAAGCTAAGTTACCTCCTTAAGAAACTAGAAAAGAGGAGCAAGCAGAAAGAATCAATAAAAATCAGAGCAGAAAGCAACGAACATGAGGAAAAGAAAACAAAAAATATCAACAAAACCAAAACCTAGTTCTTTGGGGAAAAAATGAATAAAATTCATAAATCTCTAGCCAAGATAAACTAAGAGAGAAAACAAATGACCAATATTAGAAATAAAAGAGGAGTCATAACAACTGATCCCACGGATATTAAAAAAGCAATAAAGGAATACTATGAATAACTTTAACTCTATGCCTGTGAGAAAAGATCTTATCTGAGGAATTCAAGTCTTTTTAACCATCAGGCCCAAAGAGACATTAAAATGAGACCGAAATCACGCCCCACCTCCCCTCACCAACCCACCTCCTCTGAGCTGTGTATTCACCTCTTGAAACTGCTTGTTATTGCCATAAGTAACTATGAATTAACCTAATAATGCTATAATTCACAATCTATAGCTTAACGTATAGCCAATAACTCAATGCTACGTCTGTAAACCAGTGAGAATTCCTGACAAACAACTCTTTATTAGTTCATTCCCTGTCCCCCACAATTTTGCCTTTAAAAATCCACTTACTTATAACTGCTGCTAGTAAGTGTGTATATTCAGGGCAACTTGACTCTATGCTCCTGGGTTGCAATCCTTAGGCTTTGCCCAAATAAACTCTTTACTTACAATAATTTTGCTTCAGCTTGTTTCAGGTTGACACCCACAAATTATCAAACTTAGATGAAATGGACCAAGTCCTCAAAAAGACAAACTGCCAAAACCCACACAAGGAGAAATAAAAGACTTTACTAACCCTATATTCATTATTCATTAAAGAAATGGAATCAAAAATTAATATCCTTTCCAAAAACAAACAAACAAAAAAAGATCCCAGGCTGAGGTTGATTAGTGAATTCTACCAAACATTTAAGGAAAAAATAATACAATTCAGAAAACAGAGGCAGAGAAGACTAACTCATTCCATGAGGCCAAAAGTGGCCCTAATACCAAAACCAGCTACATATAATCCAAGAAAGGAAAACTACAGACTAATACTTCTTATCAACATAGAAAGTAAAAATCCTCAACAAAATATTAGCAAGTCAAATCCAGCAATGTCTAAAAACTATCATACACCCAGACCCAGTGGGATTTAATCCAGATATGCAAAGGTATATCTAAGAATCAACTTAAAGGTATATTTAAGAATCAGCTGGGAATAAAAATGAAATTGTAATCTCCCAAATGACTGAATGGACCTCTCTTGGCCAAGGGGACCCTGGTGAAACCTTGGAAGCTGAGTTCAGGTCACACGCCTGTTACCAGTAGTTAGACAGGTATGGCGGGGGCAGGAGAGGGCTCTTTCCCACCCACTAGAGATGTCAGGTGATGGTTCAGCAATTATCACACTACCTTTCTAAAAGTGATAAATTGGCAGCAGGGGCCAGAGAGAGGCCATTTCCTGATGGCCCACACCTGTTACACTAAAGTGTTAATTGAATGAAGGCACCAGGGAGAAGCAAAAAGGGCTTCCAACAAAATCTCAGGTATTGGACGAGTGAGCCGGGCACATGCATTAAGAGACAAAATGGCAGAGTATGACCTTCCAGGGGCACTCCACAAGAAAAGGGAAAAAAGCCTCAGATGGACGTGCATACAACTTCCTAAACACACTGCTCGTGCTCACTTCCCAAGTGTAAGGAGGGCACTGTACATGCAGGTAGCCCACCCTAAGGAGAATCATGGGAAAAGTGTGCAAGACACTGGAAGTGGGTCAGCCTATAAAGTCCTAGGATCATGGTTAAACACTGCACTTACCCTTCACATGCCCGCTTGGGTCTTTCCCAAGCATACTTTCTTTCTTGTTCTACAGCTTTTTTGAAAAATCTTCCACTACTTCTCTGAAACTTGCCTCGGTCTCTTTTTCTTCCTTACGCCCATCAGTCAAATTCTTTCTTCTGAGGAGGCAAGAAATGAGATTGCTGCAGACCCGCATGAATTGGCCACTGGTAACTTTTGGATACCTCCCACCAGTAACAAACCCTTCAATATACCCCATCTCATTAACCTCCATTAGGCTTTCTTCCCTAGGAGATAAACAGAAACCGGCTCTCCAAAAGACTCCACACTGATAATGTCGATTACTAGCTTATCTTCCCATGTACAGAACAAAGACAAGATGAGATTAATTATTCTGATACAATGATAGGGACAGGAGGCAGAGAAATTCTAGGCAGACAGGGACAGGTCCCTGGCAAAACCCCACCTTTGAGCAGGAAGCCTGAAACCCACAGCCCAAAGTGAGAACTTCCAAACGTGTGTGCCCGCTCTCTCCCAATTGGTTCTTTCTGAATGTCTTTTTACCAATCGAATGTTGTCTTTTCCAAAACTACCTACAGCTCGGCCCCATCCTGTGCCTACAAAGACTCAGACTCAGCTGACAGAGGGGAGAAGTGGCTGGACGTCAGGAAAAAACAGCTGGACATCAAGAGAGGCACCTTGACTTCAGAGACGATGGCTGCATGAGGCAGAGAGGCAATTAATTTCAGGCTGCCCTTCTCAGCCCCTTTCCAGCTCCTCTCCCCACTGAAAGCAGCTTTCATCACTCAATAAAATTCTCCATATTCATTATCCTTCAATCGTCTGCATGACCTCATTCCTCTTGGGCACTGGACAAGAATTCAGGAGGTGCCAAGTGTGGGTGCCCAAAAAGGTTGTCACTCTGGCTCTTTGCCCTCACTGGCGGAGAGCAGCCACCCCACGTGACGAGCCAAAGGGTCCACTGAGCGGATAACGCTGCTGTCTGTAGATGGCGGAGCTAAGGCAGCACTGTATCATGGCCTCTAGGGCCTTGGGGTTGCAGGCACCCCCACCTAGATGCTACCACATGGCCTGCACGGAGTTCGCTCCAGCTGGTGCTAAAGCAGCCGGTTCCTGCACTCACTTGCCTGCGTGCTTTCTCCTGTGATGGGTGGAGCACAGCAGACCTGAGTGAGCAGAGTTTGCTCCTGCTGGCACCAAAGTGGCTGGCCAGTTCCCATGCTCATTTGCTCACATGCTCCCTCCCGTGAGGGGTTGAGCGGGGCAGGCCAAGTAAACAGGGCACCCCTGTCGCGAGTCCTGTGAAGGGGTCAAGAAAATATCCTGCATCACTTCCTTCATCCCTCCCTGAGGCATCTGCTTCCTCTGTCCCCTTTTCCTTCAGAGGTTCACCTTATCTTGTGTAAAACGTACATCTACTGGGCACTAACTAAAACCTCACAAATATGCAAGTATTCCTGTCACTAAACCTCCTGAGAACCAAAAAATCAGCCACAGATGTGTCTGTAACTTGTGTTTTTTCTGGGCACGCCTTCGAGATGGCCCAATAAGCCTCCACTGACTGTGACACCTACCTCAGTCACTCATTTTGGTTATCACAATCAATGTAACCCACCATATCAACAGGCTAAAGAAATCATATGATCATATGAATTGGTGGGGCAGCAAAAGCCTGACAAAATCTAACACCTATTCCCAACACCTATTCATGATTAAAAACAAATTTCTCAGCAAACTTGGAGGGGAACTTCTTCAACCTGATAAAGAACATGTACAACAAACCTATTGCTAAACTCATCCATACTTAATGGTGGGAGGCTGGACGCTCGCCCCCGTGGCTGGGAACAAGGCAAAGATGACAGACAACCTCTACTGCCACCGTGATTCAACATCATACTGCAATTCCCAGCTAGTGCAACAAGGCAAGAAAAAAAATTTAAAAAGTATACCGATTGGAAAGGAAGATGTAAAACTTTTTATTGCATATGATATGATTGTTTTTGTAGAATATCCAAAAGAATCTATTAAAAGACTCCTAGAAGTAATTAATTGGCTGTGGTTCCAAGACGGCCAAATAGGAACAGCTCCAGTCTGCAGCTCCCAGCATGAGTGACGCAGAAGACGGGTGATTTCTGCATTTCCAACTGAGGTACCGGGTTCATCTCACTGGGGCTTGTCAGACAGTGGGTGCAGCCCACGGAACAGGGCAGGGCATCACCTCACCTGGGAAGTGCAATGGGTCAGGGAATTCCCTTTCCTAGCAAAGGGAAGCCGTGACAGACGGTACGTGGAAAATCGGGACTCTCCCACCCTAATACTGCGCTTTTCCAACGGCCTTAGCAAACAGCACACCAGATTATATCCCGTGCCTGGCTCAGAGGGTTGCACCCCCACGGAGCCTCGCTCACTGCTAGCACAGCAGTCTGAGATCAAACTGCAAGGTGGCAGTGAGGCTGGGGGAGGGGCATCCGCCATTGCTGAGGCTTGAGTAGGAAAAGAAAGCAGCAGGGAAGCTCGAACTGGGTGGAGTCCATTGCAGCTCAAGAAGGCCTGCCTGCCTCTGTAGACACCACCTCTGAGGTCAAGGCATAGCCGAACAAAAGGCAGCAGAAACTTCTGCAGACTGAAACATCCCCATCTGACAGCTTTGAAGAGAGTAGTGGTTCTCCCAGCACGGAGTTTGAGATCTGAGAATGGACAGTCTGCCTTCTCAAGTGGGTCCCTGACCCCCGAGTAGCCTAACTGGGAGACACCTCCCAGTAGGGGCCGACTGACACCTCATACAGACGGCTGCCCCTCTGAGACAAAGCTTCCAGAGGCAGGATCAGGCAGCAACATCTGCCATTCTGCAATATTTGCTGTTCTGCAGCCTCTGCTGGTGATACCCAGGCAAATAGGGTCTGGAGTGGACCTCCAGCAAACTCCAACAGACCTGCAGCTAAGGGTTCTGACTGTTAGAAGGAAAACTAACAAACAGAAAGGACATCCACACCAAAACCCCATCTGTACATCACCATCATCAAGACCAAAGGTAGATAAAACAACAAAGAAGGGGAGAAACCAGAGCAGAAAAGCTGAAAATACTCATCAGAGCACCTCTTCTCCTCCAAGGGAACACAGCTCCTCACCAGCAACAGGACAAAGCTGGACGGAGAATGACTTTGACAAGTTGAGAAGAAGGCTTCAGACGATCGGTAATAACAAACTTCTCCAAGCTAAAGGAAGATGTTCGAACCCATCGCAAAGAAGCTAAAAACCTTGAAAAAAGATTAGACAAATGGCTAACTAGAATAAACAGTGAAGAGAAGTCCTTAAATGACCCGATGGAGCTGAAAACCATAGCACGAGAACTACGTGACGTGTGCAAAAGCTTCAGTAACCAATTTGATCAAGTGGAAGAAAGGGTATCAGTGATTGAAGATCAAATGAATGAAATGAAGCAAGAAGAGAAGTTTAGAGAAAAAAGAATACAAAGACATGAAGAAATCCTCCAAGAAATATGGAACTATGTGAAAAGACCAAATCTACGTCTGATTGGTGTACCTGAAAGTGATGGGGAGAATGAAACCAAGTGGGAAAACATTCTTCAGGATATTATCGAGGAGAACTTCCCCAGCCTAGCAAGGCAAGCCAACATTCAAATTCAGGAAATACAGAGAACGCCACAAAGATACTCCACAAGAAGAGCAACTCTGAGACACATAATTGTCAGATTCGCCAAAGTTGAAATGAAGGAAAAAACGTTAAGGGCAGCCAGAGAGAAAGACTGGGTTACCCACAAAGGGAAGCCCATCAGACTAACAGCTGATCTCTCAGCAGAAACTCTACAAGCCAGAAGAGAGTGGGGGTCAATATTCAACATTCTTAAAAGAATTTTCAACCCAGAATTTCATATCCAGCCAAACTAAGCTTCATAAGTGAAGGAGAAATAAAATACTTTACAGACAAGCAAATGCTGAGAGATTTTGTCACCACCAGGCCTGCCTTACAAGAGCTCCTGAAGGAGGCACTAAACATGGAAAGGAACAACCAGTACCAGCCACTGCAAAAACATGCCAAATTATAAAGACCATCGAGGCTAGGAAGAAACTGCATCAACTAATGAGCAAAATAACCAGCTAACATCATAATAACAGGATCAAATTCACACATAACAATATTAACCTTAAATGTAAATGAACTAAATGCTCCAGTTAAAAAACACAGACTGGCAAATTGGATAAAGAGTCAAGACCCATCAGTGTGCTGTATTCAGGAGACCCATCTCACATGCAGAGACACACACAGACTCAAAATAAAGGGATGGAGGAAGATATACTAAGCAAATGGAAAACAAAAAAAAAGGCAGGGGTTGCAATCCTAGTCTCTGATTGACTTTAAACCAACAAAGATCAAAAGAGACAAAGAAGGGCATTACATAATGGTAAAGGGATCAATTCAACAAGAAGAGCTAACTCTCCTAAATATATATGCACCCAATACAGGAGCACTCAGATTCATAAAGCAAGTCCTTAGAGACCTACAAAGAGACTTAGACTCCTACACAATAATAATGGGAGATTTTAACACCCCACTGTCAACATTAGACAGATCAATGAGACAGAAAGTTAACAAGGATATCCAGGACTTGAACTCAGCTCTGCACCCACCCAATGGACCTAATAGACATCTACAGAACTCTCCACCCCAAATCAACAGAATATACATTCTTCTCAGCACCACATCACACTTATTCCAAAACTGACCACATAGTTGGAAGTAAAGCACTCCTCAGCAAATGTAAAAGAACAGAAATTATAACAAACTGTCTCTCAGACCACAGTGCAATCAAACTAGAACTCAGGATTAAGAAACTCACTCAAAACTGCTCAACTACACGGACAACTTGCTCCTGAATGACTACTGGATACATAACCAAATGAAGGCAGAAATAAAGATGTTCTTTGAAACCAATGAGAACAAAGACACAACATACCAGAATCTCTGGGACACAGTTAAATCAGTGTGTAGAGGGAAATTTATACACTAAATGCCCACAAGAGAAAGCAGGAAAGATCTAAAATTGACACCCTAACATCACAATTAAAAGAACTAGAGAAGCAAGAGCAAACACATTCAAAAGCTAGCAGAAGGCAAGAAATAACTAAGATCAGAGCAGAACTGAAGGAGATAGAGACACAAAAAACCCTTCAAAAAAATCAATGAATCCAGGAGCTGGTTTTTTGGAAAGATCAGCAAAATTGATAGACTGCTAGCAAGACTAATAAAGAAGAAAAGAGAGAAGCATCAAATAGACACAATAAAAAATGATAAAGGGGATATCACCACTGATCCCACAGAAATACAAACTACCATCGGAGAATACTATAAACACCTCTACACAAATAAACTAGAAAATCTAGAAGAAATGGATAAATTCCTCGACACATACACCCTCCCAAGACTAAACCAGGAAGACACTGAATCCCTGAATAGACCAATAACAGGCTCTGAAATTGAGGCAATAATAGCCCACCAACCAAAAAAAGTCCAGGACCAGACAGATTCACAGCCAAATTCTACCAGAGGTACAAAGAGGAGCTGGTACCATTCCTTCTGAAACTATTCCAATCAA
Organism: Homo sapiens; assembly: GCF_000001405.40. Taxonomy (NCBI): domain Eukaryota; kingdom Metazoa; phylum Chordata; class Mammalia; order Primates; family Hominidae; genus Homo; species Homo sapiens. Next base: position 13,693,360 of record NC_000018.10, read on the forward strand.
CAGAAAAAGAGGGAATCCTCCCTAACTCATTTTATGAGGCCAACATCATCCTGATACCAAAGCCTGGCACAGACACAACCAAAAAAGAGAATTTTAGACCAATATCCCTGATGAACATCGATGGAAAAGTCCTCAATAAAATACTGGCAAACCAAATCCAGCAGCACATCAAAAAGCTCATCCACCAGGATCAAGTTGGCTTCATACCTGGGATGCAAGGCTGGTTCAACATACGCAAATCAATAAACATAATCCATCATATAAACAGAACCAAAGACAAAAACCACATGATTATCTCAATAGATGCAGAAAAGGCCTTTGACAAAATTCAACAGCCCTTCATGCTAAAAACTCTCAATGAACTAGGTATTGATGGGCTGTATCTCAAAATAATAAGAGCTATTTATGACAATATCTACTGAATGAGCAAAAACTGGAAGCATTCCCTTTGAAAAGTGGCGCAAGACAGGGATGCCCTCTCTCACCACTCCTATTCAGCATAGTGTTGGAAGTTCTGGCCAGGGCAGTCAGGCAAGAGAAATAAATAAAGGGTATTCAATTAGGAAAAGAGGAAGTTAAATTCTCCCTGTTTGCAGATGACATGATTGTAGATTTAGAAAACCCCATCGTCTCAGCCCAAAATCTCCTTAAACCTGATAAGCAACTTCTGCAGGATACAAAATCAATGTGCAAAAATCACAAGCATTCCTATACACCAATAACAGACAAACAGAATGCCAAATCATGAGTGAACTTCCATTCACAATTGCTTCAAAGAGAATAAAATACCTAGGAATCCAACTTACAAGGGATGTGAAGGACCTCTTCAAGGAGAACTACAAACCACTGCTTAACGAAATAAAAGAGGACACAAACAAATGGAGGAACATTCCATGCTTACGGATAGGAAGAATCGTTGTGAAAATGGCCATACTGCCCAAGGTAATTTATAGATTCAATGCCATCAAGCTACCAATGACTTTCTTCACAGAATTGGAAAAAACTACTTTAAAGTTCATATGGAACCAAAAAAGAGTCCGCATTGCTAAGACAATCCTAAGCCAAAAGAACAAAGCTAGAGGCATCATGCTACCTGACTTCAAACTATACTACAAGGCTACAGTAACCAAAACAGCATGGTACTGGTACCAAAACAGAGATATTGACCAATGGAACAGAATAGAGCCCTTGGAAATAATACCACATATCTACAACCACCTGATCTTTGACAAACCTGACAAAAACTAGAAATGGGGAAAGGATTCCCTATTTAATAAATGGTGCTGGGAAAACTGGCTAGCCATATGTAGAAAGCTGAAACTGGATCCCTTCCTTACACCTTATATGAAAATTAATTCAAGATGGATTACAGACTTAAATGTTAGACCTAAAACCATAAAAACCCTAGAAGAAAACCTAGGCAATGCCATTCAGGACATAGGCATGGGCAAGGACTTCATCACTAAAACACCAAAAGCAATGGCAACAAAAGCCAAAATTGATAAATGGGATCTAATTAAACTAAAGAGCTTCTGCACAGCAAAAGAAACTACCATCAGAGTGAGCAGGCAACCTACAGAATGGGAGAAAACTTTTATAATCTACCCATCTGACAAAGGGCTAATATCCAGATTCTACAAAGAACTTAAACAAACTTACAAGAAAAAATCAACCCCATCAAAAAGTGGGCAAAGGATATGAAAAGACACTTCTAAAAAGAAGACATTTATGCAGCCAACAGACACATGAAAAAATGCTCATCATCACTGGCCATCAGAGAAATGCAAATCAAAACCACAATGAGATACCATCTCACGCCAGTTAGAATGGCGATCATTAAAAAGTCAGGAAACAACAGATGCTGGAGAGGATGTGGAGAAATAGGAACACTTTGACACTGTTGGTGGGACTGTAAACTAGTTCAACCATTGTGGAAGACAGTGTGGCGATTCCTCAAGGATCTAGGACTATAAATACCATTTGACCCAGCCATCCCATTACTGGGCATATACCCAAAGGATTATAAATCATGCTGCTATAAAGACACATGCACACGTATGTTTATTGTGGCGCTATTCACAATAGCAAAGACTTGGGACCAACCCAAATGTCCATCAACGATAGACTGGATTAAGAAAATGTGGCACATATACACCATGGAATACTATGCAGCCATAAAAAAGGATGAGTTAACGTCCTTTGTAGGGACATGGATGAAGCTGGAAACCATCATTCTGAGTAAACTATTGCAAGGACAGAAAACCAAACATCACATGTTCTCACTCATAGGTGGGAACTGAACAATGAGAACACTTGGACACAGGGTAGGGAACATCACACACCAGGGCCTGCGGTGGGTGGGGGGAGGGGGAAGGATAGCATTAGGAGATATACCTAATGTAAATGACGAGTTAATGGGTGCAGCACACCAACATGGCACATGTATACATATGTAACAAACCGGCACGTTGTGCACATGTACCCTAGAACTTAAAGTATATATATATAAAAAGACTCCTGGAACTAATATGCAAGTACAGTGATTTTATAAGATCAAATATATAAAAGTTAACTGTCTTTATAGATACTAGCAATGATACATAAGAATTTGAAGTTAAAAAATACCATTTATATAATAATATACTCTCCCAAAATAGGTAGTATAAACAACATATGTATGAGACCTATATAAGGAAAACCTCAAAACTCTGAAAGAAATCAAAGGTCTAAATAAATGGAGAGATAGTCTACATTCATAGATAGACTCATTATTGTTAAGATAGCAGTTTTTGTCAGTATGATCTACAGATTCAACAATAATATCCGAATCAAAATCCTAGCAAACTGTTTCTTGTATCAACAACCTGATTCTGAAGTTTATATGGAAAGCCAAAATACCCAGAATAGCCAACAAAATACTGGAGAAGAACAAGGATTGACATTCATTAGCAGACTCACATTATTAGACTTCACCAAAAAGCAGGATCTATGAATGAAAAAATTGGTAAGTTGGACTTCACTAAAAAAACATCTACAACTCTGCAACACATACTGCTAGGAAAATGAAAAGACAAGTCACTAAGCAGAAAATATTGTAAAACATTTATATGATAAAGGACTTGTATCCAATACAGTCATGTATCACAGAGCTTCAGTTTCAGCCAGTGATGGACAGCATGAAAGACGGTGCCATAAGATAAAAGAGCAGAAAAATTCCTATTGCTTAATGACATCATATTCACGTGTTTGTGGTGATGATGGTGGAGGTAGAAGACAGTGATACTGATGATCCTGCCCCTGGGTAGGCCCAGGCTAATGTGTGTTTGTGCCTTCATTTTTAACAAAAAGTTTAAAAAATAAAATAAAAATGAAAATATTAATAGGCAAAAGCTTATAAGCATAAAAATAAAGGTAAGCTAAAGTCAATTTATTACTAAATAAATTTTTAAAAATAAACTCAGTGTAGTCTAAGTGTACAGTATTTACAAAGTCCACAGTAGTATACAGTTATGTCCTAGGCCTTCACATTCACTCACTGACTCACCCAGAGCAACTTCCAGTACTGCAAGCTCCAATTCATGGTAAGTACTCTGGTATAGGTGTATCATTTTTTATACTGCATTTTTACTGTAACTTTTCCCCATTTAGGTATGTTTAGACAGAAAAATATTTACATGTTACAATTGCTTACAGTATTCAGTACAGTAATGCGCTGTACAGGTTTGTGGCCTAGGAACAATAGGCTGTACCATCTAGGTTTGGGTAAGTATACCCTATGATGTTCTCACAATGACAAAATTGCCTAACTATGCATTTCTCAGACCACATCTCTGTTAAGCAACGTGTGACTGTATACAAAGAACTCTTAAAACTCAACAATAAGAAAACAACCCATTTACAAAATGGGAAAAAGATCTGAACAGAGCCCTCATTAAGATCTACAGATGGCAAAAAACACAGAAAAAGATGTTCAATGCCGCATCATTAGAAAATTGCAAATTAAAAACACTAAGACACTACTACAAACTTATTACAATGCCTAAAATCCAAAAACATTAACACCACCAAATGCTGGTGAGGATGTGAAGCAACAGGAACTCTCACTTATTGTTGGTGGGAATGCAAAATGGTGCAGCCACTTTGGAAGAGAGTTTAACAGGTTCTTAAAAAGATAAACATACTCTTACCATACAATCCAACAATTGGCCAGGCATGCTGGCACACACCTGTAATCCCAGCTACTGGAGAGGCTGAGGCACAAGAATCACTTGAACCTGGGAGGTGGATGTTGCAGCCTGGGAGACAGAGTGAGACTCTGTCTCAAAAAAAAAAAAAAAAAAAAATTCCAACAGTTAAGTTCTATTCACCCACCTGAACTGAAAACTTATGCCCCCAAAAAACTGTACATAGATGTTTAAAGCAGCTTTATTCATAATTGCCAAAACTTAGAAGCAACCAAGATGTCCTTCAATAAGTGAATGGATAAACAAATTGTGGCACCTTCATACAAACAGAACATTATTCAGTAATGTGCTATTAAGCCATGAAAACACATAGAGGAACCTTAAATGCATATTGCCAAGTCAAAGAAGCCAGCTTAAAAAGGTTATTCTGGGAAAACACACTTTCTATACTCTCACACAACACCAAAACAGTTTTTGGTCAGGTACAGTGGCTCACATCTGTAATTCCAGCTTAAGAATTAAGAACTGGCCGGGCGTGGTGGCTCACGCCTGTAATCCCAGCACTTTGGGAGGCTGAGGCAGGTGGCTCACCTGAGGTCAGGAGTTCGAGACCAGCCTGCCCAACATGGTAAAACCCTGTCCTTACTAAAAATACAAAAATTAGCTGGGCATGGTGGCGGGTGCTGCAATCCTAGCTACTCGGGAGGCTGAGGCGGAAGAATTGCTTGAACCCAGGGGGCGGAGGTTGCACTGAGCCGAGATCACACCACTGCACTCCAGCCTGGGTGACAGAGTGAGACTCCATCTCAAAAAAAAAAAAAAAAAAAAATAAGAATTAATTCAGATTAAGAATATCTAAATATCCTAGGATCCTGAGAATATCCGAGGATCCTAAGATCAAGATCCTAAAATCAAGAATTAATTCAGAGTAAGAATATCCAAATATCCTAAGATTCATTCCTTTCCACCTCTTTTTATTTACTGCAGAGACAGGTTAGTCCAAACTGCTTTTGTAAGCCCCCCCGCCATTTTGCAGACCTTGGTCAGAGTGAAACATTCCGCAGGGGTTCAGGCCATGAGAAACACCCTGCCTAGCCACCTGACCAAAAGGCACAGGAACATTTTTATCATACCATGTCAGGTAAAGGCCCAACTGAAGGAACATCCCTATCATATCTTGCTGGGCAAAGGGCACAAGGAACATCCTTGGCCAAACCGCCAGACCACAGAAACATCTTATCGATATCCTCCGGGGCAGCAAGGCATACCGCCCAGACCCCTCCCCCCGATACCTATAAGTACTCCAGCCTGTAAGCGGCAGTGAGCACTGGCATTAAACTGGTCCCCAACCTCTCAGGTTTATGCTGGACATAAATGCCTGCAGTTGCTGTAGAGCCGCCCTCTTTCTCTGTGTGTGTGTCTTTAACTCTCGTCTTCCCTTCAAATCCTAACAACAGGGACTCGCTATGTTGCCCAGGCTGGTCTCAAACTCCTGACCTCACGCAATCCCACTTCAGCCTCCCAAAGTGCTGGGATTACAGGCGTGAGCCACCGCCTGGCCTCAATCTCTTTCTTAATCATACTTTGGCTGCTGTTTTAAATCAAATTCAGTTTGCTGCTTAGAGAAAGTAAAAAGGTGTGAAAGTCTGTTGACAGTACTTTCTGGGTTCTTACTTTCCTACTCCCTAATGCACTGATGGCTCCAATTTAATTTCTACTATATAATCCATCTCCTTCAGCCTATTCTGCTTTGGGGGCTTTCTAATACCACATTTGAACCACATAAACAAGCTGAATTAAGGATGAAGCCACTGCCAAATTCTTAATTTTCAGAAAAGATTAAATTATGCCCCCCCTAGTGAATTCCTATGGAAGTTCATTAATAATTCATTAATTTCCAGAGCAGTCTTAAATGTCAAGTGTACCACTTAAAAAAAAATCAATGATTTTTCCAAAATCACTAGATAAATCTACTCATTTATACAAAATATTTATATCTTTGTATCTTTTCAGAGGATCTAAGCCATGGTTATTATCTGTAATGGTGACATAAACCCAGAATCCACAGTTCCCTTGCATCCTTTCCTTTTCACTTCTGACAGGTTGCAGGAAGAATGGAGGCTTTGCCATCAGAAAGACCTGAGTGCTAACATTTTCTTAGCCTTCTCCTTATCAGTAAAATTAAGTTATCCTTTTATCGCGTGGTATTTATGAGATAAATGAGCTGGTTAAGTGTCTAGCACTTACTATGCTTTACCAATAATTATTAGTTCTAGCTCCCTTCTTCATCTTCTCATCTATGACCTGGTCAAACCAAGCTCATATTCTTCCTTCATCTAAACTTTTGCCATTATTTAATTTGGGTGACCATGCAAAATCCTACACTATGGGTAAAAAAACTCTTTTTCTCTCTCTACTCTCACACTCAATGTAGAATACTTCTACAACTAAATGTGAAGGAGTTTTCTCCACACATCAAGCAATACTCTAGAGGACACCAACTGGGTACCCTATAATTCAATTTAATTCTAACACTGTCTTATTTGAGTTAAGAGTCAGAATCCACAGATCAAGGGCTCAGTCCCACAAGACTACTCCTACTCCCCACTTCAGATGCAAATCACAAGTAGTAAGTTGTTACCCATACTTCTCAACAGGCTATACATTCAAGTTCCCACCTTGGGTTCAATTAATTTGATAACCCTTCCATTGGAGAAACTAATAAGATTTACAAGCCAGATTTTAGGCAGAATTATAGTTAGGACCTGACCAGGATGCATGCACTGGTGCACTCTGGCCCACTTCCCTATAGCTGCTGAGAGTCACATAGCATGCTGAACCACCTACTCCCTGCTGTTCCTATAGACAGAATCTCTGACACCGGACCTTTTAACCTAAGAATTGGTTAAGGTGTTTTCCAGATCCTGAATTCCAGCAAAACAGCTGACACCAAACTGTCTGAAGACCCCCACCAAGGAACTAACTCAGCAAAGGAATGTAGTTTCTTCATCTCCCTGTCACCAGACTTTACCTCTCACTTCTCGATTAATCAGCAATCCCCACACTTTAGCCCATCACTTGTCCAGAATCCTTAAAATCTTCATCTCCAAACCTCTCGGGAAGGCAGATTTGAAGTTCTTAAAGCAAACTAAATATGGCCTAAGAAGGACTCCATACTTCTATATTTGAGTCCTTGTGAACTGTAACCTAGCTTAAGAGGCAGACAAGACTGAAAACCAAACTTAGGAGTATGCACCTGTACAATAGCTGAGTCTTGACCAATTCCAGTGGCCAGCCATACTTCAACCACTCATAGACTGCTAAGTGTTCGAATAAGGCAAATGCCAACCTATAGCCAATCCAGCTGTTTCTATACGTTGCTTCTGATTTCCGTATATCATTTCCCTTTTTTTGTCTATAAATCTCCCACCACGTGGCTACATGGGAGTCTCTCTGAATCTGCTTTGAGCCTGGGGGCTGCCTGATTTGCAAATCATTCATTGCTCAATTAAACTCCTTTAAATGTAATCCAGCCTAAGTTTTTAACAGATGGTGTCAGAAGTGGGATCTGAAATAGAGCTTCTAATGATCTCCAGGAGCTCCGAATGAACAAGCAAGGTACCTGCTGGACCCACTTGTGTCCTTTGATCCCTCAGAGCAGCTGGGGATCATGGTAAGTTCTCTCAGATTTCGGAGCTCTACAGATTTGTGTTTTGAGCTCTTGAGTTTCTCTGAGCAAATTTCTGGTCCAAACTGGGTTTGGAAATCGCAACAGAAATCGAACTGGGTTCAGGATCAGATTAGATCTGGTAATTAACTGGTTTGGATCCAGTTAGAGGCCTCTTACATCTGACTGGGTCAGAAAGAAACTGATAGTAAATGGTAATATTGCAGGGGTTGTAAAATTTGGCTTTTAAAAATTTGCAAGGATTTTTGTGTTCTACCCCTTTGTTTCATTTTTCTTGTGTGTTTAAGTAGGGGCAAAAAAAAATCATTGGCTAAGTTAATCAAGGGAACCTGAGACTATAGCCAACATTTTAGGCAAAATAGGATCCTCAATTTCTGGAAATCTAAGTTCCTTCCAGCTTATACATTAGGCAGAGAAAGCAGCAAAGTCTTACAGAATGGCAAAATCTTACTAAAGCTAACTTACAGTAGAATGTTCTGAATAAACCACAATGCACTGAAGTGCATTTAAAAATGAGGTCTCTCAGAAATTAAATCTACTAACCTTTTAGCTTAGTTATTATCCAGATCCAAAGGAAATAGACTGCAGTACCAATTGGCTGACTTTGGATAAGTTATGGGGTACATTTTACTTGAGTAAAGGATGGAACTGGGTTAGAGGCCCTCCTGTCAGTAAAGTCTCTCTTGGATAAAAAATGGGTTAAAGATGACAGGGCCCAATCAGGGGCAAATTTGAACCTTGCCAGTTCGATAATTTGGCGCCCCCATGCAGCTGGTTGGGCAGCAACTTGCAAAATTAAGAGACTTTTACCCGTGGTTCCACAAAACAGAAAAAGATGATTTTGCTTTGTGTGGCGGCTTGGCCCCCAAGGCTGTGGTGCAGCCAGCCAGGTCACAGGGCCACTCAGAGGAAGGGAACTCAGAAGCCTGGCATGCCAGCAAAAGGGTAAGGCTTTCTTACCAGTCAGACTTCTACCTCTCTCTCCCTGTGCAAACTGGTTGAATGAATGGTAAAAATCACTATCTCTTGTAAAGTTTTGAGTAATGGGAAAAAGGATTTATGAGGCTAGTCTTAAGCTGCAGCCAATTTGGTATGCTTGCTATGTCTTCCTGTATCCTTCTGTCATAAAGACAGCTAACTTAGAACAGAACACGGGCTTGAAACCCCATAAGCCCGCTGCTCAAGACGGCCCAGCAAGCTGGTCAGTAACGAACTTTGCTGCAGGTCCCTCACACAAACAAAAAAACTGTACGAGGTCTCCATCGTGTTTTATTTCCTTCGGAGCTTGATCCTGTGACCACATGGCTACACTTACTCTTGGTCTCTGCCTTCCAGGGAACAGGAATTTTAAGGTTCATGTCACGGGTAGCTCTAAAAATCATCCTGAGTAGTTAAAAGCCTTTGCAAGCTCAAAATTAACTACTCTAGACTCCTTCTGGAAAGGGCAATGGAGGCTGCCCAGTGCTGTAGCTCAGTAGCTCATGTTTTCTCTTTCATAGTGGTGATCCGGGTCCAATACCTGGCTTAGGGAATGAGTTCTTTCCTGTTTGATATCTTCATAACTGTTACCATTTGTTGATTCTCTTCCCCTCCAGGAACTGCGGAATTCTCCTTTCTAAGAGCACCTGTGAGGTTACTTTTGATAAAGTTTAAATGCCAACAATATCAGCCATTTGGCCTGGCTAACGTTGGGTAATAGGAAATTTAAAAGGACTTTTTTAAAAAAAAGACCACTGTGGTTAAAAGTCAGCTTAATTACAAGCAGATATTCAAGCTCTAACAGCATGGGACCCCTTGGGAAAAACAGGAGGCACCAGAGACCCCATTTTGGGAAAAACTTCTGTTTTCCTCATTAAATCCCAGGAATTGGAAGTGGATAGATTTCTTTCAACATCTAAGGCTCTGTACTGTTTTGCATTGCAATATCTAACATTTTTTACTTTTGGGGGTATCAGCAATTACTTCACATTATGAAAGAGCTTTGGTATGTAATAATTAGGTAGGAAATACACTTTTAGGGATGTCTAGTGCCAGCTATGGGGAAACACTGAGCTCTGCACATTTGGATCAGAGAAGCATGCTTTGGGAAACCTAGGAAGTATGGAGATGTCCCCAACCCCACTGAAAGATAAGACTCCTATAGGGGGTGGGCTAATTACAAATGGGCTGATTGGTTTTGGGATGCCATACAATTAAATGCACAGTAAAAGCATTGCACTGTCTTTTCCAATAGTATCTCCCTCTTTCAGGGGACCCATAAAAATGGGACCCTTAATTTTGGGGATCTGTTTTTGCCTTCCAGCTGTGCCTGCTTGTTAGGCACTAGAAACTGCATGTTTCCCTAGCCAGTTCTTCCAAAGACTCCACCCTAAAGCCAGTAATCCAATTAAGAAACTTAGAAACTAGGAAATAAAAAAATCTTACAACTACTTAATTTTTTTCCATCTGTCTGTGTAGTTATATATGTGTTGTGTGTATAGCGTTTACGTAAAAAAGCTCTAATTAATTGGCTTAAAGAAAAACAAGCACTTAAACATTTTGAAAGAAAAATAAAAACTGTAGTATCTTTTAGTTCACATAACTTTAGTGATCTTTGGGAAATAAAAACAGCTTGGAAGGTTATTGGTAAAATAAAAACATTTGGTCTAAATTGTGCAGGTCAGATATTAGGTTTCCTAAATGCTTTAAGGTCATAAACCACTTCTTTGACTTTTAAAAAAGAGATTTTATAGGAGAAACAATCTTGTATGGTAAATTCTTTTCCCAAAGTAAAATAACTAGTTGTTTAAAAAGAGGCATGTTTAGGACAAGTCAAAGTCCAAGCATGCCATAGATGGTCTAAGTTGTGAAAGAAATTTATGCACCAAAAGTAAAAGCTGCTAAGAGTTATCATAATAACATGTAATTAAAACTACTAAAAAAAATAGTTTTACATGCAAGGCGTGTGAGGAAAGTGAAATGTGTTTTTGATAAAAGATTATAAGAAGGCATGGGAGTGTAAGTTTTTGCCTAGAGGGTGAAGGGGTTTTTTAATTAGATAACATAAAACTAAAGGTTTAAGTTGCATAAGGTTTATAAAAACTAATCTTGCAAAAAGAAATTCTGTTTGTGAACATATTGACTAAACTTAAAGGGGTGTTATTCAGCATTCCATAAATTAAACCTTGAAATAAAAGCACAATAGGGTTTTCTTAAAGAACTGATCTACTCTTTCACAAAAATTGCAAAGGGTTATATAAGGTTTATAAAAATCTCACCTCATGGTCAAACTGGTTAAGTATAATGTAGTGTTTTAAACCTTTAACATATTTGATAGGCTTCCGAAAATCAAATTTCAGCTTCAAAATTGTCTTTTCTAACTTCTAACTTTGGGATACTACAGAGGGCCCCTGAAGCATCCAAAAGAGAGGTAAGCACAGGATTATTTGACATGTTAAGTTACATGTGAAGAATTGTCAAAATAAAAAATTATGTTTAACTCTTTCAAGTTATATTTTAGTGAATGTTAATATATATTCCAAAATTGTATTGGATTTCTAAAATTAATATGTCTGTGTATATGCTATCCATAATTACAGTTATTATGTTGTTATAGACCATGGAAATAACCACATTTCCTTGTCATCTGTGTCTTTAACTATAACTATTTAAAGTCATTTCCAGTTAATTGCTTAATGCGGTTTCTAAAAACTTCATAAGCATGTAAAATCCTAGAATATGGTGTCTTTTAGGAGATTCATGAAAGGATGGAAAGGACCCTAAAAAGCACTCTTGAATACAGGTTTCTAATAACCTTAGAATCATATCATTTAATCTGGGTAAGAATTCCTGGAACTTTAATAAAAAGACTGACTGGTTCATAAAACTGCTAACCCAAGTAGACAGAAATTAATTGAACACCAAGAAAATACTTTGCCAGATTTTCACGTTAAATCAGCTGGTACTGAAATTGTTTAAATATACAATTTAAATGAACTCCATAGTCTAAGTCAAATTGCCTATGATAACCCATCAGTTATCAGTGCTATGTACCTAATTTGGAAAAACAACTGGCATTCAAGAGGACATAAGTCTAACGTTAATTAAGCATGGACACATGGAGAACCAGGATAGCCACCTTGTCCTTCCTGAGTCCTTACAGCTTTTGTTACTAAAAGTTATGCTTTCCATGACTCATCACGGAAAATATAAAATAATTCAAATTAAATATATTGGTGTGGTACCTTATACATTGCTAAAATAATTTTTTTTTCTTTTTAAGACAGAGTCTCACTCTGTCACCCAGGCTGGAGTGCAGTGGCATGATCTCGGCCCACTGCAACCTCTGCCTTCCGGGTTCAAGCAATTCTCCTGCCTCAGCCTCCCGAGTGGCTGGGACTACAGGCGTGTGCCACCATGCCCAGCTAATTTTTGTCTTTTTAGTAGAGACAGGGTTTCACCATGTTGGCCAGGATGGTTTCGAACTCCTGACCTCAGGTGATCCTCCCACCTCAGCTTCTCGAAGTGCCAGGATTACAGGCATGAGACACTGTGCCCAGCCTGCTAAAATAATTTCATAACCAATGTTTAGTTTGTCAAACCCACGTGCCTGAGAAGACCATGAAAGCTTCAGGTATATTTGGCTACCTGATGGGTCATTTAAACATTTGTAGAGGGATTTCATTCAATTGTCATTTTCAATGCATGTTTTCTGGTTGTATAAAAGCTTTCCCATGCAAGAGGACTGATGTTATAACACTAAGTTATTATGCCACAGTGTATTTTTATGGTTCACTGAGGAAAATCAACCCTTTCACAATCTAGAACCCAAAGACTGAATATTCTGAGGACATCAGAGAAAGATTGTCCTTGCTATCCATACTGCAGCAAAACTTCAGGACCTTGTATTTTGGCTTCATAATCTCACAATAGAGAAGGGTCCCTCCACAATCTTGGAACTGTACACCCACTGGAACCCTCAAGGTAAAGCTAACCAGGGAAATTTCTCCCCAGAAAAAGATGGCATCCTTGATGTGAACAGCTTTTCCCAAGATCACAGATGAAGAGTTCTACTACCATGAGACTCTTATCTTTAAATACTTTTCCCTTGTTTATGCCTCTATGAACAACAGAAATGAAAATGGGGGGGGGTCGTCTGTTGTGTGAACTTATGGGGTATACTTTTATTTGAAAATGATTTTGCAGCCAGCCTTATATATGGATAACCTTATACCTTCATAGATAAAACACGAAGCCCCAATGTAGGTAAGAAACTTTAATGGTACATATGTTGCCTCATAATCAGTCAGAAACAGCACATTGATTCACTCCTCTTAACCCACATAGGTTAAAGAGAACATTGCCAGGAGGCCTTCACTCTTCTAGAAGGGCAATGTTTGTTAGGTCCTTTTTTCACGGTTTGGAATAAAAGAGGGAATGATTTAAAATGTGTCCTTCATGATAGGCTTTATAGCAGTTTCTACTGTAAAGGCTATTGTTGCACAACAGACTTTAAATTCTCTTGTGAAGGTTATGCTAAAAAACAGAATTGGCTAAACAGAAAAGTATCTGTGCAGCTGCTGGCACTTGTGGCCTATGAAGAAATACGTCAAATGTAGATTATAAAAATTCCGTTGTAGGGGATTAACAGAAAAAACCACTTAGTTAAGCCAGTAGACTCTTCATTTAGCTCATTCTTTGATCTATTTGATTTTAGGTCGTTTGATTTACTGGGACCCTGGGTAAGAAGCATACTCCAAACTCTTGGTACTATCCTCCCGACAGTCATGATAACAGTCTCCCTGGTGTGCTGTATTCTCTCAGAGGTTTTAAATGTTTTCATGTAGCCATCTCTAAAACGTCACATGGTCTCTCTTCAACTGGAATGACAAGAGCTGAAAGAAATGTGCAGCCATGAGGACACCATAACCTATAAATGACATGCTGAATCTCGAAACCCAAAATAATGGTAACTGAGAGTGGCACTAAGGCCCTAAGTTTTGGTCACACTCTCACCTAAGTGAGAACCAGAACAGAAGGGGGAATTTTTTAAATTATAGGAGGCCATTGTTTTGGACTGAGCTCATGCACTAGGCCCCAACAGACCAAACCAAACAAAAGTGGAGCCACTCCTGTTAAATCTGACATAATCAAACTAAAACTTTAAGGAAACACATAGATCCTAGACCAGAACAGACCAGGTTTTGTTTTTCTCCTATAAACAGGACATTCTGGCATAAGGAGGTACCCTCTACTCAGTCCTTGTTCCTGCCTTTGCAAAACTCAGTTCTACTGTTTCCCAGTGGTTTTCAAAACCAAGTAAGTATATTTATGATGGTAATAGTGACATCAAGGACTAAAGTTTTGGTCAATCTCTCAAAATTGAAAGAATGACCAAAAGAGGGGAACTGTTAAAGCAAACTAAACATGGCCTGAGAAAGACTCTGTACTTCTACATTTGAGTCCTTGTGGATGAACTGTAACCTAACTTAATAGGCAGACAAGATTGAAAACCTAACTTAGGAGTGTGCGCCTGTAACAACAGCTGAGTCTTGGCCAATCCCAGTGGCCATACTTCAACCACTCATAGACTGCTAAGTGCTCAGTGTTCAAATAAGGCAAACGCCGACCTGTAACCAATCCAGCTGTTTCTATATCTCACTTCCGATTCCTGTACATCATTTCCCTTTTTTTTTTTGTCTATAAATCTTCTTCCACCACATGGCTGCGCAGGAGTCTCTCTGAATCTGCTGGGATTCTGGGGGCTGCCCAATTTGCGAATAGTTCATTGCTCAGTTAAACTCCTTTACATTTAATTCAGCTGAAGTTTTTCTTTTAACAAGGTTTCATCTTCTCATTTTGCTGCCCTACAGTTATTGAACTCTTTCTCTGCTGCGGTTCCCATTGTTTCTGCATATTGCTTGTCGCCTTGCAATGGGCAATAGAACCTGGTAGTCCTTTAACGCTGGGTTTGATTAATTTGCTAAGAAGGATTTACTGGATTATTATAAAAAATATTGCAGAGGATACAGATGAACAGCCAGATGGAAGAGATGCAGAGGGTAAGGTATTAGGGGGGTGTCTGGATGTCCATGCCCTCTCTGGGTGTGCCACCCTTTCGGCACCTCCATGTGCTTAGCAACATAGAAGTTTATCAAGTCTGTTGTTCAAGAGTTTTTGTAGAGACTAATCTCCAGCCCTAGCCTTTCCTGGAGGATGGTGGGGTGAGTCTCAAAGTTCCACCACTCTAATCCTCTGTATTTCTAGTGAGTCGCCCCATTCTGAAGCTACAGAAGCCCTACCCTAAGTTAGCTTATTAGCATAACCTGTTACGGGGATTGTTATTAATAAAACGTACTCCTATCACTCAGGAAATTCCCAATGGTTTTAGCAGCTCTGAGACAAGCATGGGGGAAAAAGACCAAATATATTTCATATTATACTATACCTAGCTTCTTCAGCAATTCATTTCACTGGTCATGCCCTTGGCCTTGAAATCATCTGATACTGCTCCACAAGTGAAATTCTGAAAACTACACTATCTCACTTTTAGCTACCAGCCTCCATTCCCTTCTTTTCTCCAGAGCCTAGTACTAGCGCCTTGCCTGACCCTGTCCTTTTCCTAGTTCAAATCTAACAGTTTCTCCTGGTTTCACGCTGAAATCTTTAACCAGCCTAGATTCTACAGCACATTACTTGAATTACCACCTTGCCCTTCAGCAAATCCAGTCCTATTATCTGTTTCTTCCACAGCCACATCTCAATAACTAATCACTGCTAACAAAACAACAGAGTAAAATAATGCCAGCATACATGATAGTACATCATCATATCTCAGACTGGCTCTGTCTGCTCCGTGACAGTCCATGACAATTTCTGATCAGATTCCTCTCACATTCTGCTCAGAAACTATTCCATACCTTTCCAAATCTCTTCAAGCCTCATATATAAGCTGACCATATATATGGCATCTAGGTCAGATCATGACTCTCCTCTTTTTAAAACTTTCCCATTTTTCTTTGAGTAACAGCCGAAGTCCTTAAACTGTAAGACCAGGTCCTAAGTAATCTGTACCCCCTCCACACACCCCTACCCATGACGGCATCTCTCTCAGTGTTCTTGCTCACTCTGCTCCAGCCACACTGGGCTTGCAGCTCTGCCCATAGGCTGAAAAGGTGCCTGCTTTAAGACTTTTTGCAGTTCCCTCTCCTTGGAACAAGTCATTCTCCAGATACCTACATGGCCAACTGCTTCGCCTCCTGGAAGCCTTTGTTCAATTGCCACCTGCTCTGTAAAGCCTACCTTGACCATCTTATTTAAAACTATAGCACCACTCATTTCTGGCCCCAATATCCCAGTCTTCCTTACCTTGCTCTATTGGTTTCATTTTTCCTACACCACTTATCTTCTAACTTCTTATACAATTTACTTATTTATTATGTTTACTACTTATGGTCCCCCAAGAGTAGAGCTTTTTCACTGTTTTTTTCATTGCATCCCAGGTGCCTAAAACTAAGGCTTGCTGGCACACAGGAGGCACTCAATAAATGTTTGTTGAGGGAATAAATAATTAGATGAAACTATTCCCTCCTCCCTTTGAAAGTGAACCCAAGTTATTGACCCCATTTTCCTTGTATTTTTCTACTGCCATTCTCTTTCCTGTCCCTTCAACTGCTCACTCCATCAAAAGTGCCTGTGCAAAGATTATGTCAGTGAGAGAAATCTAGCATGGCTGACTCCATCTTGCTGCTAGCCTTACTAGCTAGCTGTCCTCACTTGTTCCTGGGTGTAGAGCAAGCTAACCAGGGGAGGAATTTAGTTGACAGTTTAACTTTGAAGCCAAGATAATATCCCTCCCTAAAACTGATGTCCTCCTTGTTTGGGTACTGAAATTGCCTTTGTAAAACTAATGAAAGGCCACAAGATTAGAATTATGGGAAGGGCCTAAATTCTGATTAAATGTTGGCATAGTTTCTTTTTTCTTTTTTTTTTGAAACAAGGTCTCACTCTGTTGCCCAGGCTGGAGTACAATGGTGTGATCTCAGCTCACTGCAACCTCCACCTCCCATGTTCAAGCAACTCTCCTGCCTCAGCCTCTCGAGTAGCTGGGACTACAGATGTGTGCCATCGTGCCCAGCTAATTTTTGTATTTTTTGTAGAGACAGGGTTTCACCATGTTGCCCAGGCTGGTCTTGAACTCCTGAGCTCAGGTGATCTGCTCACCTCAGCCTCTCAGAGTGCCGGGATTACAGGCATGAGCTACCGTGCCCGGCCTAAATGTAGGCATAGTTTCTATAATCCCTTACTTCATGAGTCATGGGGTTCAGCAGTCACGGGGCCAGCGGTCACAAGATGTGTGACTTCCCTAATGGTTTCTATGGATAACATCATTATTGTACAACCTAAGATTGGTCTTCCTAAATATTTTTTATACTGACTCCACCTGGACTTGTGACTCATGACTCAACCAGTCCTACTGCCCCCATCCAGAGACAGGCTGGGCACACAAAGACCGTTTTCCACACCCTATGATTTCATCCTCAAAGCAATCAGCAGCACCCATCCCCTAGTCTTCTGCCCACCAAACTATCCTTGAAAAACCCTAACCTCTGAGCCTTCAGGGAGAATGATTTGAGTAATAACTCTATCTCCTGTATGGCCAGCATGACATTAATAAAACTCTTTGTGTACTCAAATAGCACAGTCTCAGGAAACTGTTTTCCATGCAGTGGGCAGGAAGAACCCACTGGGCAATTACACTACTGGCTTCTTTCCTTCATTGTTGTATAGATATGCCATCAAGAAAGTAGGTCTTTATGTGATGTTTGCCCAATTTTTCTTCTTCCTGTTACCAGCGAAGTGTCTTAAAACAACAGCCTTGGCCTGGCACGGAGGCTCACGCCTGTAATCTCAACACTTTGGGAGGCCAAGGCAGGCAGATCACCTGAGGTCAGGAGTTCGAGACCAGTCTACCAACATGATGAAACCCTGTCTCTACTAAAAATACAAAAATTAGCCGGGCATCGTGGTGGGTGCCTGTAATCCCAGCTTCTTGGGAGGCTGAGGCAGGAGAATCCCTTGAACCCAGGAGGCAGAAGTTGCAGTGAGCCAGGATTGTGCCACTGCACTCCGGCCTGGGGAACAGACAGGCTCAATCTCAAAAATAAAACAAAAACAAACAAAAAACAACCCCCCCAATCAAAAAACAAAATAAACAAAACAAAAAAACCAGCCTTCTCTTTTTCACTACCTCCCATACCAAAATGCTCCTATTAAAATCAGCAAGGAGCTTCTATTGATACCTTTTGGGCCTTTCATTCTGTTACACATAATTACCCTCACTACTTGCATCCTACTTGTTCAAAGTCTTTCAGACTTTCCTTTCTATAACTCCAGCTCCTTTCTTCTGCTTTTCTTATCATGGAGCTTCCTTCCTGGTCTTGGTAATAGACTCCTTTTTCTCTTAAATCTGAATGCAGGCTCTATACATTTTATCTGGGCAATAACTTTTATATCCATTAGGTGATGAACCCCAATTTATGTTTCCTGTCCAGATTTTTTTCTGACTCTCAGCATCCACCTGGATTGCTCAACATCTTTTGTATCTGGGACACAAAAGATCCTACATGGTACTCAATGACTACCTCTTCCTCCCACTCCCCAAATATGTGCCTCCTTTGGAGCCCAAGTTGTCCAAGACAAAAAGCTGTATCAAATTCAGCCAAGGATCTTCCTATTCCCTTGTACTCAGCAATTTATCAAGTCTCCTAAAATCGGTACTGTGGAGAGTACTGTGCAAACTAGAGAAGCTGTGTAAGAATAAAGAGAAATTGGTCAAGAAGATGAAAATGACAAAAAAAAGTTCACAAATACACAGATTCAAAAGAGATCTTAGGTTTCTAAAACTACAATTAGAAAAATAATGGTGAAAAGACCCCAGACTGCAAAATCAACAGGTTCAATATGTTTAAGGCAAATTAAATTCCTTACATGAACTTGTTTAAATTATAAGAAAAATATACTATTAAGACACAGGGAAAAACAGCTTGTCTTCATAGACCTAACTATCATGCTGGCCTTAGACTTTTCAGCTTTATTACGAACCAGAAAACAACAGAGCAATTAATGCAGAACTTAAAGAGAAAAGCATGTGACCTAAAAATTGTAAGAAAATTCAATTTGACAGTCATGTTAAAGACATTTTCAAATATTTAAAAGCTCCTAAATCCTGCACACATGCTATGATCTGAATATTTGTGTCCCTCCACATAGGAAGTCCTAACCTCCAAATTATGACATTAGGAGGTAGGGCTTTCGGGGAGGTGATTAGGTCATGAGGGCAGAGCATTCCTGAATGAGAATAGCGACCTTATAAAAAGAGACTCAAGAGAGCTCATGGACCCTCTATCATGCGAGGTTACAGTGAAAAGAGGGCTGTCTGTGAGCCAGCAAGTGGGCCCACACCAAACACCTTTATCTGCCAGTACCTTGCTCTTAGACTTTCCTGCCTCCAGAACCATGAAAAATAAATTTCCACTGTTTATGAGCCACCCAGTTTACAGTATTTTGCTACAGCAGCCTGAACGGACTCAGACACCACATATCCTTCCTGAGAAATTCCATCGATAGAAGGACTCAAAACTAAGTACTTCAAAACATGAAAGCTGCAGTATACAAAGACTGATAGCAGTGTGCTAACCTGAAAAAGGACAGATAGTGCTTGTGGACTTGGAACAGACAGGTCACCTACTGAAGTAGCTCATTTGCCGCCCTGGCTTTCCTCCAGCCCAGCTCTATCTTTCGTTGTTACAAACCCCGGAGATGTTAACAGCTAAGATGCTCAGATCCTGAAGGGATGACTTGGAGATACTCTTATCTCTACTTACAAGTTTGAACTATACATCTATAAGAAGGCCTCTTTCCTTACAGCACAACTTTTTTTACCAATAAAAAATTTAACTTTTTTGATGTTAAAACCATTACCTTCTCCTTAAAGCATAAATTAACTTTTGCTGTTCTTGCCTAAGTCTAGAATGTATGTTTGTATGTTGATACACAAATTCAACATAACTTAACAACATAACTTACAATTTCCATACCTGAGATAAGATTTTATGTTCTGCCACTCTCATCCTTTATGGCCTTTTGTCCAAGTTAGCATGATATATTTCTTCTATTCTTAGTCCTCCTCTTCCTTACTACTGATTTAAAATCTCTCAACCTTCAGAGTACTTCTTAAACTAGGTAAAATTCACACCAATACTAAAATCACCCCATGTGTACACATACATAAATAATCCTGAATACATTTAAACATGTGAATTAACAAAAATATATTTGCAGTTTCTGAAGGTAATGCCTGGTGAGTGAGCACAGACCATCAAACGATGTCTGAGGACAGAGGAAGCAGCTCCACCTCTTTCCTATCATCACAGTGAAAGGACAATGATTCCTCTACAGTCATTCCATCTTCCACTGCTTCCGTGATTAGTAGCGGGGAAGTATGTCACTATAAAACACACACACACACACACACACACACACGTTTAGAGACAGGGTCTTGCTCTGTCACTTAGGCTGTAGTGCAGTGGCACAATCATAGCTCATCAAAACCTCTGACACCTGACTCAAGCGATCCTCCTGCCTCTGCCTCTCAGGTAGCATACCACACAGCTCCTGGCCTGAAATATTTACTAAGCATCTCCCAGTTGCCCAACATTACTCCCGGAAATTTAACTCTTAGTTTTCTCAACTAAATTATAACTCCTCCAGGGGTACGAACCAGGGGATTTTCTTCTATATCTTCAGAGTACCTAAAATCTACTAACGTAAAACAGTTACAAAAGAACTTAACAGTGGAGCTTTTCACTGACCCCCTACCAAAGGGTGGACATTACACAGAACTGTAACCCTTTTGGCACCTAGAACAAATTAGTATAATATGTGTTTTCACTGTCTTTAAGTAGTTTACAATCTAGTTATAAACGGGTAATTAAATATTCCAAGATAGGAGACATGTCAGACATGAGTTACAAGTTTATAAACATACTATGTATTAGGGGAATAAAGAAAAGGCTAACTGAACTACAGTGGTCAGTTGAAGGCTGCAGGATACCTTCGAAAGAAAAACTTCAGAGCATTGGAAAAGAAGATGGAAAGTCATTCTAGGTTAAAGTGGAAATGGTACTTGGAAAGGCACAGAGTGTCAATATGTAAAGATGGGCCTTTTCAGGGTAATGAGAAATGAGGCTGGAATTCTAGAGGATTTTTTAATTCCTAAGGAGTAACTGAAGTTTTGAGCAAGAAAGTGATATGATAAAAGCAGGTTAATATACAGCAAGATGCATAAAGTGAACTCAGTTGCTTCTGAAACTGTATTTTACTTTATAGAGAAATCTGCTCAAAACAATTATCTGGCTATTCAGTCTTCTTTGACCTTGGATTTTGTACACAGGAGCCAGTTGAGAACTACAGGAACTTAATTTAGATCCTGGATTACTGCTTTCTGTATTACATGTAATTTTGCATTCTTTACCATCACCTTATGCATACACCATTAAAGAGCTACAAAAATATGAGTCTGAACAGCTGGATAAGAAATAATTCATTATCTTGGGGGATTTAACACCCCATAATTGATTTGGTTATTCTCTTACTCTTAGAAGCTTAGATTGTCCCCAGTTTTAATGCACTATGAATAGCGTCCTCATGTATAACATTTTTGTCCATATTTTAAGTTCTTCAAGAAATTCCTAGGAGTAGTATTACTAGGTTAGTGAAGATATATTGGTTACTGGATATATATATATATGCACATGTCCAATAACCTAGTTATATAATGTACATATATATATAATCTTATACATAAATATTTATTTATTTTTTCAGAGACAGGGTCTTGCTATTTTGCCCAAGCTGGGAGTACAGTGGCTATTCACACGTGTGATCCCACTACTGATCAGATGAAAGTTTTGACCTGCTCAGTTTCTAGACTGGGCTAGTTCACCTCTCTTTAGGCACTCTGGTGGTCCTCTGCTCCAGGGAGGTCACCATATTGATACCGAACTTAGTGCAGACGCCTGATCAGCACTGCACACTACAGCCCAGAACTCCTGGGCTCAAGTGATCCTCCCACCTTCCCACTAGCTGAGACTACAGGGGGACATAACTATTTTTAAGATACTTAATATAATAATTCTTTAGCCCTAATTCTGGTTTGACAGATACGGCCTCAGAATAGTGGAGACAGGATTATATCAAGCACATCTGTGATTGCACTAATACATATTCGTCTACATTCCCTGAAAAGTTTAGCATACTCTACTAGAATGACAAACTGGGCAGTCACTTTCATTATACTGTGAGATTCATTATCATGGGTATGTTACCACCACATAAAGTTGTTCACATTACAACATTTTCCATATTCTGAACTTCAAGATATCACCAAACTTGCACAGAGTTATTACACAACAAAAAATAATTTGTACTTTCTTAATGGAAAAAAGTATATTTTTAAAAACAGCTCTGATATTTTTAAGTCCTAAGTAGTATCAAACATTATATTCAATCACCTCAACATGAATGAATTCCTATTTCCCATTTCGGCTAAATTTCAGATCCTATAATCCCCAACATAAGATGAAAACCTAGTAAAGTAGGTGCTATCCTTGTTTCTACTGTGGCTCAATGCTTACACAAAAACTTTACCTGAAACAATTTAGAGCAGCTCTGTTCAACAGATTTTTCTGAAATGATGAAAATGTTCTATATCTGTGCTGTTCAATAAGGTAGCCACTACACACAGCTGCCTACTCAACACCCGAAGTGTAACTAGTGTGACTTAAGTACTAATTTTTCTATTTTAATTTTAATTACTTTAAGTTACAATACAATAGTAACAAGTGGCTGATGGCTACTGTATTAGACAACATGGCTTCATAGTATACAGAAAGACTTCCACTTTAAGATTGTCTAGTTACAAAAAAGAACAATAGATAAAACAGTGTTAACTAAATTACTGGTTAGATAAGGTAATGGAAAGTGTTGGCTGCCTACTAAGCATCCTCTCCCCTCTTCCCTCTTCAGAGGCCCTGTTCTGCTCAGGTAGCTGTCTACCAGAGCCCCCAGCTCCAATGATGGATCCCGATCAAAAGGACAGGGCTCATAGCATTGTGTGGCTGGCTGACTGTTATTGGTCCAGGGATGGGCATGTGACTTAGGGGAGTCTAAGGATTTTGAGAACTTACATTCCATGGTTTGGGGACCTAATTCTCTCTCCTAAACTGGGGGTGAGCAAGGAAACATATGGATTCTGGGGGTTCCAGCAGCCACTCTGTAACCTTAAAGGGACATAGTTTGGCTCTGTGTCCCCACTCAAATCTCATCTCAAATTGTAATCCCCACGTGTTAAGCGATGGACCTGGTGGGAGTAATTGGATCAGGGGGCAGTTTCCCCCTTGCTGATCTCATGATAGGGAGTTCTCACGAGATCTGATGGTTTTAAAAATGGTACTCTCCCCTGTGCCCTCTCCCTGCCTCCTGTTGCTGCCTTGTGAAGAAGGTGCCTGCTTCCCCTTTGCCTTCCACTATGATTGGAAGTTTCCTGAGGCCTCTCCAGCCATGCTGAACTGTGAGTCAATTAAACCTCTTTTGTTTATAAATTACCCAGTCTCAGGTAGTATTTTTACAGCAGTGTGAGAATGGACTAACACAGGGAGCCCGCCTAAGGACAAAGCTGACATGGACAAGGCAGAGCGGGAGCTCTGAACTGAGGCACTGGAGTGTGCTCTGTTTGCGGACTTCTTGTTACTATGTCCCTCTTTATTGTTAATGCCAACTTGAATCCAGTTTCTGTTACTTGCAGCTGAAAGCAGCTTACTGATGAAGCAAGGCTGGGGTGGATAGAGAGCATCCAATCCTCTTAAGGCTCTCCAGAATGCAGGAAATACCATCTGCCCTTTCTTACATTATATGTTAATCCCCCCAAGCAATGTTTACTATATGAAGTCTTTCATACTTGAACTGATAAAGGATCATTTTGAACTAGAGATTAGTGCCCGAGATTAGTGCCACCTGTCACCTACATTCAAGTCTAAGTTCTTTGTTTGTTTTTTAGAGACAGAGTGTCACTCTGTTGCCCAGGCTAGTCTCGAACTCCTGGGCTCAAGTGATCTTCCCACCCTAGCCTCCCAAAGTGCTGGGATTACAGGTGTGACCCACTGTGCCCAGCCCAAGTCTAAGTTTTGAACTTCACCACTGCACCGCTAACTACAAAGCAGGGTTTGCAGAATTACTCGAATTCTAAAGCACTTTGGACTTACGTTGGTCAGCTGCATGACAGACTGTGAAAAGAAAGGAAAAATACAGAATGTTTAGAAATCTACTATCAAAAGTCTGCCAAAAAAATAAAGTACAGAGAAGTGAATAAGAGGAAGATACATTTTGAATTATGGATTAGAGAGCAAAAAGCATACTCCAGTGAGTCATTTGGTAACATAAAGGTTAATCAACTTGCATGAAAACTGCAAGGGCCCAATGCACCAGAATGTCAGGTTTAAAAAGCAGTCTAACAGGCTCGAGAAAAGACTTATGGTATAGTAGACTAAATGGTAGAAAAGATGGAAAGGACTTCATCTTAGCAGACTGGAGACAGAGTTTTCTGCTGGCCTCAAGGAAACAAGGTACCGTATGATGAACTGCCTACGGACAGGGCCGCATACGGGGAACAGCCTCTAGTCCCTGAGGGAAGCCACCAGTCAACAGGAAGAAGACAGCGCCCTCACTCATATAGGCACAAAAGATGAACTCTGCCTACAACCTCAATGAGTTTGCAAACAGATTCTTCCACAGTTGAACCTCCAGATGAGAATGCAGCCTGCTTGACACTTTGAGATGCTAAGCAGCAAACCAGCTAAGATGTGCCCATACTCCTGACCCAGAAAAACTGTGAGACAATAAACCTGTGTTGTTTTAAGTTGCTAAATGTGGGGGTAATTTGTTACACAGCAACAGAAAATACAAGCCTACTCTCCTTAAGAAACCTTCCCACTGCATGAGTAAGGATTATTTTTACCTTCTCAAAGTCTTTGTTACAGGGACTACAAAAATGGAAGGCCACACAGAACCTGAGTACAACTGTATAAAAGCAGCAACCTTAGGTTTAGTCATAGTTGTCTGCATTAGAACTACAGAATGTTAAGAGTTGGAAGGAAACTGAGAGGCCCCTTAGTATCATCCTTTATGTTTACAGATAAAGAATGCAAGGACATGTAATAGTTCATAACTTGTTCCTGATCACATAGCTGATTAAAGGCCAAAAAAAAAAGAAAAAAGAACTGCTAATCTAGTGAATTTCCCACATCTTCACAAATTGCTCATATGTATAAATTGTGTCTTTTCCCTGAAAATAAAGGATTGAGAGCCAAACTATATAAATTTCATTTCTATCTTCTATCATGAAAATCAGTTTTAACATAAATTTATTGTTACTAGTTAACTAAAACATGCTTAGCAATAGGAATTTACTTGATGAATAAGGACTATGTTTGTTAAACCAAAAAAAGACATATGAGAAATTATACATATATTTTACACCAAGTAAATCGCAATAGAACCTGTTTCAGCTTGGCTTTGGTGAAAAATACTAGTAACCTTCTCTGTGGGGTTAACTAGTTTTGTCAGTGTTTACTGTATCAAGCATATTTCAGAAAATGTCATTTGATCATCAGAGTACCAGAAGCCATTGTTGCAATAAAGAGCTCTTGTATTCTGGGTCCAATTTTAAAATATCTTTTTAAAAACTTGCATTTACAGTGATGAAGATGGCAAGAAAAGTAAAATAAAAATTTGCATTTAGAACTTGACATAGGTCTGCTTTATTTTATAAAGTGTGCCACACAAATAAAATTTTTCTTAACATTATATATGACATTCATTTGGCAAACACTACATTGCAAACCCATCACTGTTTATCTAATTCCTCTAATTTTAAGAAATGAGTCAAATTACAATGCAGCTTAACTAGAACAAGAATTGCAGTATTTCAGATAGCAAGGAAGAGTTACTATAATTCATGCTTACATTAAAAATCAAGAAATCCAAATAAAATACCACGTTTAATTCAATTTATCACGTCCAAGAAGTTACAAAGGCAATGTAGAAGAAGTAAGTAAAAATGGGGAAGCCCTAATTTTTAAGTCTGCCTTGAAAACAATTTTTTCTTATCAATGAGACTTTCTAATAGGACTCATCTTGCCATTGGCACCCACAAAATCTAACCACCCACCTCCACTTCTCCGGGAGGATCCCTTCCTAATGTCTGATGCCTCTTCCCTCACCTCCATTCTTTGCCCACTGCTGCACATGCTTAAAGCCCAGCCACCCTTTCACCCACAGAGGTCATAGACCACTGCTACTATGGTTAATTCTCAGAAGTAATAAACTCAGAACCTGAAAGCACATAATGCCTACAAGACTGTTCACTATTTCAAACTTCTGCTCTGGTTTACATGAATTAAAAAAAAAAAAAATCACTCTATTTTTTCTGCTGTACCAAGGCAAAAAAATTCTACAATCACATTTAAAGGCATGGACTAATGACTTCACAAGACATTGCAGTAGCAGTTTCAGTTGTGTTAAGAGAAGCTAAAAATTAGCAGGTTCTGTGCTAAGCACTGTATCATCTCATTTATTCTATAAAATCGCTCCATGAGGAAATCAAAACACAAAGTTTGGCCACTTACTCAAGGATGACATGCTTAGTAAATATAACATAACCAGGATTTGAACACATGCCATCTGCTTGTGCTCTTAACTGCTGAAATATTCTAGTCATTTTTCTAGTCAGGTTGCATAACTTGGTGGCCCACGGTTAAGCGTAGAGTTTCTATTAAGCCCAGTAGCAAGCCCAAAAGCTGTTTCTTAAAAGAGCAGTTACCTGCAAAGGATGGAAAGGCTTTGCTCCAAAATCCTAAGGTTCTACACTGTATCTCCTATAGGGCCTGCAAAAGGTTCCTAACAGCATTTCAATCTGCCACTGACATTTCAAGCACCAGAAGATCTGCTGGGTCATATGGCCTGAGTGGCAGAGCAGTTTGCACAGCAGCCTGTACCTGTTGTAGAGGCGCCTTTTGTTCTGGGATCCACTCAAAACTAGCAGTATTTTAGGTCACTCAGTAAACAACCTGAAGTAGCACACCCAAATGAGGAATTTGTCATCTCCAAAATCCAAAGAGGCCCACTAAACCTTGCTTCTCTTTTTGTTATAGGTGGGAACATGCCCTACACTACTCCAGTGGACCCCTAGAAATTTCACAGGTGGAAGGCCCCTGAATATTTGTTGGATTTCCCACCCTCTGACATGCAAATGTCATACCAGTAAGTCTAGAGTAGTTGTTTCTTCTTGCCCACCAGGTCCAATCAGCATAATGTCATCAATGTGATGGGCCAGTATGATGTTTTGTGGAAGGGAAGCACAATCAGGGTCTCTATTTGTTTGCTACAGCTGCTGTAATAGAGAACCACAAACTGAGGAGCTTACAAAACAGAAATGTACTGTCTCCAGCTCTGGGGTTAGAAGTCCAAGATCAAGGTGTCAGTAGGGTTTGTTCCTTCAAAGGGGGTGAAGAAGAATCTGTTTCATGCCTACCCCCTTGCTCCTGATGGTTTGCTGGAAATGTGTGACATTTCTTGGTGTTCCTCTACTTCAGTTTCATATGGCATTCTCCCTGTGTGAATGTCTGTGTTCAAATTCCTCCTGTTTATAAGGACACCAGTTGTGTTGGATTAGGGGCCCAGCCTACTCCAGTATGACCTCATCTTATCTAATTACATTTTTAACTACCCTATTCCCAAATAAGGTCATACCCTGAGGTACTAAGGGCTAGGAATCCAATACATAAATTTTTAGAAGACACAATTCAACTCATAACAAGATCACAGAGATCTTGTTATGACATAGTGTTGGAAAGTTGACATTCCCGAGGTAGGACAGTGAAGGTGTATTTTTGGCTTTGTTAGTTGAAAGAAAACTGCTTTTGGTGATCTTTACTAACAGATACTAAGACAAAGCACTCAGCAGATCAATAACTGCATGCCAGTTACTAGGGGATAGGTTCTCAAGTAATGAAATGACATCTGGAACAGCAGCTGCAATTAGTCACTACTCAGTTAAGTTTATGATAATCCACTGTCATTTTCCAAGATCAATCTGTTTTCTGCACAGGCCAAACAGGAGGGTTGAATGCGAATATGTCAGGAATCATCACCCCTGCATCCTTAAGTGCACTCATCTCTGCAATTCCTCCTGGAATGCGGTATTGCTTTTGGCTTACTATTATTCCAGGAAGAGGCAGCTCTAGTGGCTTCTACTTGGCCTTTCCTACCACGATCGCCCTCACTCCACAAGTCGGGGAACCAGTGTGGGGATTCTGCCAGTTGCTGAGTATGTCTATACCAGTTATGCATCCTGGAACTGGCAAAGTAACCATAGGATGAATATGGGGACCCACTGTGAGGAGAACCTGGGTTAAAC
The DNA here is from genome assembly GCF_000001405.40 of Homo sapiens. Classification (NCBI taxonomy): domain Eukaryota; kingdom Metazoa; phylum Chordata; class Mammalia; order Primates; family Hominidae; genus Homo; species Homo sapiens. The sequence continues at coordinate 13,721,744 of NC_000018.10, forward strand.
TTCCATTGACCACCTAACCTCAACAAGTCCCTACTCTGAATGGCGGGCCAAAATGACACTTTGAGTGTCCTGGAATTAGTGTCAGTTCAGACTTAAGAGTTCAGTAATCTGTGAGAAGTCTAATTATTTCCTCTTCTCCAGTGCACACTTACCCTGATAAGCCATAGGTCCCTTTGGGAAACCTGAGAAAAAAATTAACGGTATAAATTCTTAGCAGCGCAATGGGGTCCTTCCTCAAAAGGATCCAGCCTCCCCTCAGTCAGGGGGTTCTGAGTCTGTAAAATGACTCAAATCTGGGAACTGATTGAGGGACCATGACTCTTTCTTTGGTAATTAAAGTAAAGCTTCCATTCACTTGACCTAGAACTCTTCTGCTTATAGAGATCAAGTCAGAATTCAGTAGACTGCCCAACGAGTTCTCTTCTAGGGACACCATGACCACCTACCCAATTAGGACCCCCAAGTCAGGCTGTTCAGATTGTTGCTTTGACTCCGCTGTCCCCCATGATGGCAACACACCTACTTACTCTTTGGTGATCACATAGCCCCTGCCATCCTAGATCCAACCATCCCTGCTGCAGCTAAGGACCCCCAGTCAGTGGCAACAGCTCCCACTGCAATCTCTGACCTGAAGAGAAAAGCAACCCCAGAGCTCTTCACGGATTCCTGAGGAAAACCGGCAATGTCTTGCAAGGTAACTACCTCAAGGGAGGTCATTACAGGTTCTTCAGGCAAAGCAGAGTTAACCTCCTCAGAGGTGGAAGAACTGCTTCTACTGGCAAAAAAGAGTGAGTCAAATTTAGGAGTTTAACATCCCCAGCTTCATCAGGATGTTCCCATATGGCCCTATTCCAAATGTGCAGATCCCATTCCTTCCCAATCAATGCCCTCATTTTAATAGCAGACCAAGGTGAGAAGGGAATTCAGTTAGCACTGTAATTCAGCCACCTACAGGATAAGACTCTGGATTTGGTTTTCACCAACCTCAGCTCTGTAGCTACAAGAGATACGGGTTTCTTTAGGGCAGACACAGAAACTTTTCAGGTCACTTATGTGGAGCTTCAATCGGGAATTTGAAGCCTTAAGCTCCCCTTTTCTTTCCTTTCTTTTTTTTTTTTTTGAGACAGTCTCACTCTGTCACTCAGGTTGGAGTGCAGTGGTGCAATCTCGGCTCACTGCAACCTCCGCCTCCTGGGTTCAAGCGATTCTCCTGCCTCAGCCTCCTGAGTAGCTGGGATCATCCTTTTCTTTTCTCACTTTACCCAGTACAGTTAAAAGCAACCAGCCTATCTTATTGTACTCATTAATTCGATTAAAATGTTCTAAGGTATCAAATACCTGATCATTCTGAATCTTGTCTATAAGCATGAGTGGGAGTATCTAATAGTGATCTTTTGCATATCTTTGTTGCCATATCACACCAGGGACTATCAGTGCCCTCTTTTCTACAGGGAATACTCATTACTGCCTTTGAATCTGATCAGTTTGGAAAACCAATTCCAGAAACACTATAATCAATTCAGAAAACTCATCCTTAAGATTCTGCTCACTAGAAGCACTCTCAGCACCCAAATTTGAATCAGTCAGGGCTCTACAGAGATACAGAACTGATAGGAAAAAATATATAGATGTAGATAAAAACATAAATATCTTCATCTACATATAGACAGATACAGAGATATTGGTATTTTAAGGAACTGGCTCACACAACTGTAGGGGATAGCAACTTCAAAATGTGTAGGGTAGATCTACAGACAGGAAACTTAGGCAGGAATTGATGCTGCAGTCTTGAGGAAAATACTGTCTTCTTCAGGACACTTCAGTTTTGGCTTTTTTAGCCTTCAATTGATTGAATGAGGTCCACCCACATTATTTAGGGTAATATCCTTTAGTTTAGGTCAACTGATTATAGATGTTAACCACGTCTTCAGAATACCATCATAGCATCAACCAAACTAGTATCTGATTAAATAACTAGGTATTATAGCCTAGCTAAGCTGACATAATAAAACTAATCATCACACACAGTATTACTCAACAAAATCTTATTTTCAACTGAAGGAAAAACCTTTTAAACAATAATATTTTATTTGTTCCAGAAAGACAATGAAATTTCAGTAGGAACACTTTCCTGAGTGGAACAGAGGAAAAGTCCTTCATCCAAAACTATTTGGAGGAACAAAGCTTCCATGAACCACCTCTCTTCACAGAACACTATCTTAGGAAACTATAACATTGTTTCTACATTTTTAAAACAATCTCTATGTTTCAAAAATATGATCTTCAACTCTACAACAGAAATCACACTTTAAAATTATACCTCTGAGAGAAGTACTCTCACTTTCTTACAAATGGGTTGAAATAAATCCTGCAGGTCCTTTCCTTGTCTTGGTGGAGCTCACATTCCAGCAAGATAACATCCTTATCTAACTATTTTCTCTCGGGACATCATAACCCAGGCATTAAGAAGTATCAAAACACTTTCTGAAAAATCTACTATTTGCTAGGCAACGTCCAGTTCTGAGTATGATCTTCTAGCCAGCACTGTTTCATTATTAGCAGAGTCTGGTCAATCAGCCAGACTGCCTGGGTCCAAATCTTGATCCCACTACTTAACAAGCTGCATGATCTTGGCCAAGTTACTTAACCCTCATCTGTAAAACAAACACTCATAACTATACCACTGGGTTCGGTTAGAATTAAACGAGTGCAAATGAATAAAGCACTAACCTTGGCACCTAAAAGGTACTCGAGTATTAGCTATTATTATTTTAATGTCCAGAAAACCAGAGATTACTCAGGCAATAATGAGGGAAAAATAACACCAATGGTAACTTTAAAATCATTTTTATCTGGCTCATTTACTTACATTAACTGCTTTCAAGAATCCTTCCCCTCTATTCTCAAATGAATTTACACAACTTCTAGTTAAGTTTTATAAAAACTGAAAAATGTAATCTCTATATATCCCATCATCGTGGAGTTTTCATAAACACATAGTTAAGAGGCTTTTAATCTAATAACTTTTTTTGTTTTGTTTAGTTTTTTTTGAGACAGTCTCGCTCTGTCGCCCAGGCTAGAGTGCAACGGCGCAATCTCGGCTCACTGCAACCTCCGCCTTCCGGGTTTAAGCGATTCTCCTGCCTCAGCCTCCTGAGTAGCTGGGATTACAGGCACGCGCCACCACGCCTGGCTAATTTTTGTATTTTTAGTAGAGACGGGGTTTCACCATGTTGGCCAGGCTGGTCTCAAACTCCTGACCTCGTGATCCAACCGCCTCGGCCTCCCAACGGCTGGGATTACAGAAGTGAGCCACTGCACCCGGTGTTTAAAAACATTAAAACATGTTTTTAAAAGTCAAAATTACACTCATTTTCTGTAAAATTACAACAGCAATTATCTCAAGAAACTTAAGCATCAGGAACAGGGAATGTAATTGCCTGGTTCTAATGCTTGTATATGCCTATAATGCATTCGATCTGTAAGACCTACACTTTTGCAGTTGTCAATATTCATGTAATGAGATTAATTCTCAACTTACCTCATTTCATATAATAACAAATACAAGCAGTCATCAGAAATTGATGGGTCATCCTTATTTGTGAAAAATAGGCCTCATTCTTGGTTCAAAGTTTGTAACCTCAAATGGGCTAATGCCCACAATTTAGAAGTGATTAGATTGGAAAGCACAACGCTGCAAATGCTGCCTTCCCCAAAGCCAGGTCTATTCATTAATATACCTGTGCCTACTGACAAGAAGGAAGGCTGGTAAAGCACATTTTCAAAGCTGTTTTAAATGGATCAATTTTGGTAAAGAGTAATTCAAGACGGATTGTAAATCTGATCAGTTTTACAACCTTGGAAGGTGGGGACTTGACGCACGACGTTAATATGCACACGCTTCAATAATCTATCCACAGGTAGTTTTGACCCTGATCTCAGGTTGAAAGTCCTCAACTATGGAGCTTTCGAGTTTCAGTACAGTAGGCGCTTTCACTCCCCAGTAGAAATCTGGGGTGATGGCCAAAAAAAGTGTGTTGTCTCCCCCAAACCACACCATGCCAAGTTCAGCCAACGCAGACTAATGCATCCTTAGGTATTTGTCAAGAAGAGGTATAGGCGGTCCCTTTTCTCAGAATCTAACAGGTAAGAATGGCCTCTTGTGGCTTCCCAAACACGGCGGTAAGGACCAGTCTGCCAGTCCCTAATAAGAAATTGCTAATTTTAAAAACCATTCCGAACGCGGGCGCTTCCGGGCCCCTCTTCAACTGGCTTCGGAAGAAGGGGGGAGAACACGGTGAAGGGTTACAGCAAAGGAGGCTGAAAAACAGTCCCAAAGCAAGATTTGCCAGGACACTGGCTCGACCCGGAAGGGCGGGGGGACCTCTCTCGGCCGCCGGGGTCTGTGGGGTCGGCGAGTGTGGACGACCCGTCTGGCAGTCGTACACTGCCACAGCCCGAAGAGCGGCGCACGCGGAGCAGTTGCCGGGTTCGCGCCGCGAGTCAGCTCCCGGACACACGCCCAGGGTTGAAGGTGCCCTCTAGACCCCTCCCGCTGCCCCACAGAGGCCTGGGCCCATGCTACCTCTTAGGACGCTGGAGCCGCCGCCGCCGCTTCCCGCCGCGCAGGCTGGACCACAGCTCCTCGGATGCCACGGCGGTGTCACTCAGCAGAGCAGCCCGACAAAGCGTGGGTCCGCGTGCAGGAACCCGCCGGGCTCAGCCGGACGCTAGCCCCCTGCCGCCCCCGGCCCCGCCAGCCGCGCCCACTAGCAACGTGCTCGCGACCTCCAGTGCCCGCTCAGTGAAGCTTCTGCATGCCGCGCGCGGCACGTCGGGACTCGTAGTTCCGGCGCGGAGGACGTGCGTCGCGGCACTCTCGCCTGACCGTCTCCACGTGACTCTCGCACCTCCGGAAGTGACGTAAGCAGACACGCGTGGCGCGGGCCGCCGTTTCCGCAAACAGAATCGCGTTTGGCTGTGCTGGTGAGTGTGACGGCTGGAACTCCGGCCCTTCCTTTCTTTGTGTTTGTCCCTCGGCCGCCGTGGAGGGGTGGAACTGGCACTCCCACCCCTGACATGGGCTCACTTCGCATTAGCCCTGTGCTTCACTACCCAACGCGTGGGTCTATTGCCTTGTGTCCTCAGTCCCAAGGAAAATGGGAACTCCTTGGGGTGGGCGGGCGCTGTTCCTCCTCCAGACTGGGCGAGCCCGGGTGGGAGAAGCAGCTCGAAGAGCTGCTCCAGCTCGCGCCCCAGGGCCGTGCTGGGGAGGGGCGTGGGGTCCGCAGGTTTGTCTTCAGCGGCGCTTCGGAAACCTGAACCAGAGGTTGAGTAACAGGCCGCGCTAATGACGGAGGGGGTGAACTTGGCTGGAGAAGTCCCTTCTCGCCTCTGTGCGTCCTCTCGGGCCCCGTGGTAGAGGGTCAAGCGGGCGGGTCGGGACTTAGAGCTTATCCCGCTTGGGCTTTATCCCGGCGGCCCTGGCGGCCTGCTCGCTCGTACCCTGAGGAGCTGAAATGACGCAGAGACATAGCTTGCTTCGGAGGTGTGACTGGAAAGCCGGGTCGAAATGTTCGTGTGGTTATTTATCGCGTGTCCATCTCCATGTCAGTCGACCACCTTTCGAAGGTTTCTTGAAGATTCTGAGGGACAGCTCTCTTCCCTATGGAGTGTTTTCATTATTCCACTTTGAGTTTGGTTTGGGTTTTTTTTCCCCCAATTTGTTAAATTGATACATAGAAGTTGCACATATTTGCAGGTGCAGGTGATACTTTGATACATGCATACAATGTGTAACGACTAAATCAGGGCAATTGGGATATTTGTCATCTCAAACATTTATCTTTATGTTGGGAACATTCCAATTTTTCTTTTAGCTATTTTGAACTACACAATAAGTTATTGTTAACTGTGTCCACCCCACTGTACTATCAGGCACTAGATTTTATTTCTTCTGGGGTTTTTTGTACCCATTAACCAATTTCTCTTCTTCATCCCGCTCCTCTTCCTGCTACCCTTCCCAGTCTGTGGTAACCACCAATCCACTCTTTACCTCCATCAGGTCCACATTTTTAGCTCCCACATGAGTAACAACATGATATTGTCTTCATGTGCCTGGCTTATTTCAGTTAACATAATGACATCCGGTTTCATCCATGTTGTTGCAAATGACAGGATTTCATTCTTTTTAATGACTAATATTCCATTGTGTATATATGCTACATTATCTTTATTCATCTGTTGATGAACGCTTAGGTTGATTCCATATCTTGACTATTGTGAATAAACTTGAGACTGCAGATATTTCTTAGATATACTGATTTCCCTTCTTTTGGATCTGTACCCAGATTTGCAAAACTGTTCATCGGACAGGGGATTAACAACCAGAATATAGAAGAAACTCATCTCAATAGCACTAGTTCTATTTTTTGTTTTTTGAAGAACCTCCATCATACTTTTCCCAGTATGTAAATTAGTGGCTGTGCTAATTTACGTTCTCCCTAACAGTGTACAAGTGTTCCCCCTTTTCTGCATCCTGCATCCTCATCAGCATCTTTTTTTTTTTTTTTTTTTTTTTTTTTTTTTGTGTGTGTGTGTGTGTGTGTGTGTGACGGAGCCTTGCTCTGTCGCCCAGGCCGGAGTGCAGTGGCTTGATCTCAGCTCACTGCAACCTCCACCTCCCGGGTTCAAGCGATTCTCATGCCTCAGCCTCCCGAGTAGCTGGGATTACAGGCGCACATCACCATGCCCGGCTGATTTTTGTGTTTTTGGTAGAGACGGGGTTTCACTATGTTGGCCAGGCTGGTCTAGAACTCCTGACCTCAAGTGATCTGCCCACCTCCACCTCCCAAAGTGCTGGGATTACAGGTGTGAGCCACCGTGACGGCCTCAGCATCCATTTTTTAAAAATCTTTTTGATAAAAGCCGTTTTAACCGAGATGAGATGGTATCTCATTGTGGTTTTGACTTGCATTTCCCTGATATTACTGATATTGAGCATTTTTTACGTATATACCTGTTGGCCATTTGTGTGTCTTTTAAGAAATGTCTATTCAGATCTTTTGCCCATTTGTAGTAGGATTGCTTCTTTTTTTTTGCTATTGAGTTGAGTTTCTTCTGTATTCCGGTTGTGAATCCCGTCAGATGAATGGTTTTGCAGATATTTTCTCCCATTCTCTAGGTTATCTCTTCACTCTTGTTTCCTTTGCTGTGCAGAAGTTTTTTAGCTTGATGTAATCCCATTTGTCTGTTTTTGCTTTTGTTGCCTGTGCTTTTGAGGTCTTACCACAAAAATCTTTGCCCAGACCAGTGTCTTGAAGCATTTCCACAATGTTTTCTTCAAGTAGTTTCATACTTTTGGGTATTAAATTTTTCAGTCCATTTTGATTTGATTTTTGCATATGGTGAGAGAGAGTGGTCTAGATTTCCCAGCACCGTTTTTTGAAGAGACTGTCTTTTCACTATGTACGTTCTTGGCACCTTTGTTGAGAACAAGTTGGCTGTAAACATGATGCTTGGTTTTAAACGTTCTTACTTATTTTTGTGGTCATCTGGAATGCTGTGTCATTTCTTCTGACCTAATTATGTTTTTATTATGTCACATCTGTGATATCATGAAAGTGACATAAGTAAAATTCATGCTTAAATCTCAATATTAATTTTAGGTAATAAATATAGCTAAAGATAAGTCACATTTCTTTATTTGAATTTAAAGCCAATTTCCATTAGGAAATCAATGGCAGAGGAGGAGAAATAGGAATTTGATAAGTTGGTATCCAGTTTTTCTAGATAATCATTTTAAGTATTTGTTCTGAAAATCACTTTTCTGATTTGTTGTTGTTGTTCTCTGATTCAGTTCTATTTGGTACTTCTTGGTATTTTGTTACCTCAAATGGTGGGTCATGAAAACTAATAACCATTGAAACCCTTACCCATTCATAGTGAGTGACTTGTTACCCATTCCTTTAAGCAACTTGATTTCTTATTCTTTTTCATTATCCAAAAGGCTTTTTATTTATTTACTTTTTTTTTTAAGCACAAACACTTCCTTCATGAAAAAGCTTTTTTTTTTTAAGTGGGGTCTCACTTTGTTGTCTAGGCTGGAGTACAGTGGCACAATCATGGCTCACTGCAGCCTGGACCTCCTGGGCTCAGGTGATCCTCCTACTTCAGCCTGCTGAGTAACTGGGACTAAGGCATGTGCCACCATGCCCAGCTATTTTTTGTAGAGACGGGATTTTGCCATGTTGCCCAACCTGGTCTCGAACTCCAGAGCTCAAGCAGTCTGCCCACCTCGTTCCCCCAAAGTGGTGGGATTACAGGTGTGAGCCACTGTGCCCAGCGAAAGCTTAACATTTTAATAGTGGTATATAAGCTATAAACATCTTGAAAACATGATTTACATTGAGCTTCTCCATAGTAGGAGGTCACTAAATTTGTTGAATGGCTTAATAAATGAACCACCATAATTCTTGCCCAATAGATAGTTCAGTTATTTCTCTCGCTTTCCCATCTTAATGTAGGTCTAAAAACATATTTGAAAGAGACTTAATGGTCATCAAACTGCAGGCTGAGTCCTGAAACTTGTCTAAAGCCATTTCTACTCTCTTCACTTTCTACCTAATTGGAACACCCATTATGAAATACGATTTCAGAATTCTTGCTGTAGAATCCCAAACTTTTTCTGTTCTTGATGCCCTTAGTGTCCATAGGCCAAAAGAAATATAACAGTTCCATTTATTAAGTAGTTTACCCCAAAGAATTTAAAAGTATTTATGGTCTAACAACTTTATGTCTGTTTAAAAAATTAACACACATAAATTGGGGGGAAAGGTAATGTTTCTGTTTTATTCTTGATTAATCACAATCCCTTACTAACAGGATGTGTGAACCTATTGGGTACTGTACAACTTCAAGCCTCGAAATCAGATAGGCACCACCAACCTCATTTCCTGTTTCACCTTGATTTTCTGTGATACCAAAATCTCAGCTTCACAAAGTCATTGAAAGGTATGTAGTGTAATCTATTCAGCTGGAACTGTGCTGTACTTAAAGCTGGTAGTTTCTGTGATATCTTCCACATTAGGTTCTGTGGTGCCTGTTTGTTATGGTGCCAACCATGCAGTTTGGGAACCAGGGTTATAGAGTAAGGATCAGAACCAAAATGGAACTAGTGCATGTGTATCGCCACTTCATTTGTCAGCTTTAATGCCAACAGTGACTTTTATGAATAAGATTATAGAATTTTGGGGGGATTATAATTAGTACTGCCATATTCAGAAATTCATACATAGTATCAGTTAACATTTTTTAATATGCTCTCTACAATGAGATTTTTTTAAACTCCTAGTTGATCAAATTCTAGTTAAAATTATTTTAGGCCAGGCGCAGTGGCTTACGCCTGTAATCCCAGCACTTTGGGAGGCCAAGGCAGGCGGATCACCTGGGGTCAGGAGTTAGAGACCAGCCTGCCCAACGTGGGGAAATCGCGTCTCAGCTAAACATACAAAAAATTAGCCAGGCGTGGTGGCAGGTGCCTGTAATCCCAGCTACTGGGGAGGCTGAGGCGGGAGAATCACTTGAACCCCAGAGGCGGAGCTTGCAGTGAGCCGAGATCATGCCATTGCACTCCAGCCTGGGCGACAAGAGTGAAACTCCGTCTCAAAAAAAAAAAAAATTGTTTTAAAGTCTTAGTGTTTACAAGTAATACCAATTTTTTTCCTATTCTAGTGTTGGTTCATGAAGTTTTACCATCAATTCAAGTAATCATAAATGGCAAATTCTGCAAAAGCAGAAGAATATGAAAAGATGTCTCTTGAACAGGCAAAAGCGTCAGTGAATTCTGAAACAGAGTCTTCATTCAATATTAATGAAAACACAACAGCTTCTGGGACTGGGCTTTCTGAAAAGACTTCTGTCTGTAGGCAAGTAGACATAGCAAGAAAGAGAAAAGAGTTTGAAGATGATCTTGTAAAGGAAAGTTCTAGTTGTGGGAAAGACACTCCATCCAAGAAGAGAAAACTTGATCCTGAAATTGTCCCAGAGGAAAAAGATTGTGGTGATGCTGAAGGCAATTCAAAGAAAAGAAAAAGAGAAACTGAGGATGTTCCAAAAGATAAATCTTCTACTGGAGATGGCACTCAAAATAAGAGAAAAATAGCACTTGAGGATGTTCCTGAAAAGCAGAAAGTATGTTCAGTGTATTTTCATTTATTCATAATAGAATATGTAAGTTTGAAATGTGGAACACCCGTGGATTCATACTGGTTTTTACATAATAGCTTAAGAATGTTCTATTTTTAATAGATATGGTCCTAAGACAAAGTAGGCTTTTAACTCTTATGATTTCTGTTAAGGTGAAACATCTCCTGCTAATGAGATAGATTTTTTAGTTTTTGTTTGTTTTTATTTTCTAATGAGATAATGTTTATCTTATTTTAGAATATTTAACTAGAAACTTTTTTTTCCGAGACAGAGTCTTGCACTGTCGCCCAGGCTGGAGTGTGATGGTGTAATCAAAGCTCACTGCAGCCACAACCTCCTGGGCATAAGCAGTCCTCCGGCGTTTTTAAAAAGACTAGAGTATGAGATCCAAATGATTTACCTATTTTTCTTTTTTATTAGGTGTTCAGCTCTAGTTTTTTTGTCAGAGGTTATCACTTAAAGGGATAACTTTTAAAATTATACCTAGCTTTACATCCCTTTATTAATGTAATTCCTTAAACAGTTTTCAGCTTCTTATTAATGTATTTTACATACTGTTTTAGTTAAGTGAATGCAAATGCCTAATATTTAGCAAAGATATTATAGGGCAAGTTGTTTTCATCTGGAAGTACCACATTAGAAAGGAATTTGAGGCAGAATCTGGAGTTAGAGGAAAAGATTACTTTAATGAGTAAATAAAATTCTGCCATTGGCCCTTATGAGGAAAGTGACTGATAGTGAGGCTTTTGTCATCAATGGAATGTGAATTCTTGTAACAGAGGGGAGCCCCCCCTTTTTTTTTTTTTTTTTTTTGGAGACAGAGTCTCACTCTGTCTCCTAGGCTAGAGTGCAGTGGTGTAAACTCGGCTCACTGCAACCTCCACCTCCCGGGACCTCCACCTCCCGGGTTCAAGCGATTCTCCTGCCTCAGCCTCCCGAGTAGCTGGGACTACAGGTGCCCACCACCATGCCTGGCTAATTTTTGTGTTTTTTAGTACAGATGGGATTTCACCATATTGGCCAGGCTGGTCTTGAATTCCTGACCTTGTGATCTGCCCACCTCAGCCTCCCAAAGTGCTGGGATTACAGGCATGAGCCACTGCGCCTGGCTGGGAGCTTGTATTTTAAACATAGTTTTCAAACTTTTACTAGCCCCAGAACCCCTTTTTCAACTGAAAATCTTACACTTAAACCTGTTACGTAAAATAGGTCAAGGATTTGTTTGAAAGGCCTTTCAGCACATCAGTGAGATTCAGCACTTTGGCTGAAAAGGGAGGTAGGAGGATCCGAAGCCCTTTACCTATCATGGCATTTTTACAGGATTTCTAGGGCCTCAGGAAGCACAAATTGAAAACTGTTGGGTTACATGTAACATATATAATAGCATTATTATAATAGAAATCACTAACGCTGCACATAGCCTACTGAATTCTAATCTCTCTTTTTTTTTGAGAGTCTCGCTCTGTTGCCCATGCTGGAGTGCGGTGGCCCGATCTCGGCTCACTGCAACCTCCACCTCCTGGGTTCAAGCGATTCTCCTGCCTCAGCCTCCTGAGTAGCTGGAATTACAGGTGTGCACCACCATGCCCAGCTAATTTTTGTATTTTTAGTAGAGATAGGGTTTCACCATGTTGGCCAGGCTGGTCTCAAACTCCTGACTTCAAGTGATCCTCCCACCTGGGCCTCCCACAGTGCTGGGATTATAGGTATGAGCCACCTCACCCAGGCCTAATCTCTTTATATACATTATCTTATTTAATTTTCACAACAGCTTTATAATAATAATGTAATTATAGCTTATTCCTAATTTATTCCTTTGTAGAAACACCAAACATTGACTGTCATTTATTGAACTGAATAAATCAGAACTCTGGAAGAGTACTGGGTTTATTAAGACATTGACACTAAAATTAATGCAGATGAAATATCACAATGAAAATTTTAAACCTAGAGATGTTTTTCAAAATAAGGTGATATGGTTTGGGTGTGTCCCTACCCAGATCTCATCTTGAATTATAGCTCTCATAATTCCCACATGTGTGGGAGGGACCTGATGTGAGATAATTGAATCATGGGCGCAGTTCCCCATACTTTTCTCATGGTAGTGAATAAGTCTCACGAGATCTGATGGTTTTATAAGGGGTTTCCCCTTTTACTTGGCTCTCATTGTCTCTTGCCTGCCGCCATGTAAGACCTGCCTTTCACCTTCCACCATGATTGTGAGGCCTCCCCCGCCACGAGGAACTGTGAGTCCATTGAACCTCTTTTTGTTTATAAATTACCCAGTCTCCGGTACGTCTTTAGCAGCAACATTAAAATGGACTGATACACAGGGACACAGAAAACAAATCTTAGGTCTAATGATAATTAGTGAGACTTCTGTGGTTAATTGCCATTGTTTAGTGAAGTTTACCAATTCTAATAGCATTTTATCCATTCACAGGTCAAATGTTCTGAGGCTTATTTTTACCATGTTCTGATCCTTGATTTTTTTCTATTCTCTTTTATTTTCAGAATCTGGAAGAAGGACACAGCTCAACAGTGGCTGCCCATTACAATGAACTTCAGGAAGTTGGTTTGGAGAAGCGTAGTCAAAGTCGTATTTTTTACCTAAGAAACTTTAATAATTGGATGAAAAGTGTTCTCATTGGTATGATCCAACACCAAGCTACTGAGTCTTTAATTCCTATTCATTTAATTATCAAACCTTGACTTTATAAAGCTAGAGCCAAGACTAGGTCTTGAAGACAAATTCTTCTAATATTTACTTTTGGTTGACTGTGTAAGATTTTAATGAGTGTTTAATTATTATGTTAATCAGGTTTTCAGAAGGCAATATTTTTTTTAATGCACAGAATTAAGGTTACCTAGTACTATTAAGTAATGATTCTATTTTACTCTAATAGTTTTGGAGCAACTGCATATTGTTGGTTAAACATTCAGGTTTCATTAAGTCAAGAAATAGGCAGTGTCTTGATTTGTTTAGGCCTTCAATTAGTTGATAAAGATCATGTGTATTACATTGAGGATAGATAAAAACATTCAACTTTTTTGAGCCAACATTTTATCTATGGAAACTCACCTTTGAAATTAAAATGAAAGTGAACAGAGAAAATATGATTCAGAATACAATTCTTGTCGGCACCGTAAGATAGGGTAAAAAAAAGAATATAATTATTGCTCTGTATATTTAGTGCATTAAGTAGACTCTTAGATAAATTTAGAGAACTTTAAAAAGTGGTTTGTTTTAAAATTTTTCATAATAAAGATTTTTTTAAAGCCAGTCAAAGAAGAAGTGAGAATGCTTTCTTAATTATGCTAGAAAGAATAAAGTGCTAATTATGGGTACTTCCTACTAGTTTTGATGATAATTTACTAATTTTCAAAGATAAATTACCTAATCTGATAAGTATTAGCAGTAGGAACTAACTAGGCTTACTTTGAACACATTTTAACATTTTGTATATCACTTGTTTTTAACATTCATGTTCTGTTACAAAAATATTTATTTGACTCTGCCATGTGTCAGCTTAGGCTAAATGAGTGTTCACTTTTTTTTTTTTTTTTTAAGATTAACGTAATGGCATTTTCAGTCTCTACTCACAAGGTTCTCTCTCTACCCCAGTCCTAATTTCTTTTCAGCCTTTCTCTTCCTTCATTACCCTCAATGATGCAGATAACTTATTGGATTTTTTATGAATACTTATTTATTCATGTATTTTTTTATTGAATAACTTTTTCGAGTCCATATTTTCCACATTGTTACATGTATTATTTCTATAATCAGAAAAGAGGTATTTTTTTTTAAAGGACTGAAGTCAGAGTTGGCAAAATTGTCTCTTGGCATATACAGGGTATTCTTTCCTTTTTCAGCTGTTCTAGCAGCTCTCTTGATGTGTGCTTTGCACCTGTGTTTAACATCCTAATACAATCAGTGTGATCTGTGCCAAGCTTTCTCTCTGGCTGTTTCCTTTCTCAACACTCATTCTTTGTCACTCATTTTCTCTTTTTTCTTGGTGCTTGTAGCTTGGTAAGTAAACAGTTGAGTATAGTTCTTGAATGTGATAAAGGCTTTTTTGAAATTGTTTCTTGATGATTTCCTCTCTCGTTAGTCTTACTGTATATAAATGCAGAGATTTTATAATTGTTTTTCGCTCTTTCAGTATTTTTATGCTATTAAGATTCATGGCAGAAAGTTAAATATTATGGAACATTTGTGCTTCTGTTGAAGTTACTTTAAGTTCCTGCAGAAGGTGAAAGTACTTGTACAGGATATTTTTAGCCATCAAAATAATACACACCTGAAAGTGTCCAGCTCAGTGATAAAGACAAGGAGAATGTATCTAGGATTCAGTATTGTATCAAGTTTTAGAACTGTTGAATACTTAACTTGCCTGAGAATATTAATATGCTTTTAATCGACGTTTGAACAATTTGCCTATTGATGTTTGGTTGCCTACTGATTTTATCTGTTGGCTGTTAATGTCATTTAGTAGACTGGGGTCTACCAAATACTGATGATGCTAAAACTAAAAGACATAGTGCTTTTTTTTTTTCTAGTTTTTATATTTCTCTTGGTGGTAAGCCTGACATCTTTGATAATCAGGCTCTTTTATCATTCCATAACAACTTTGATTTACTTACGTGTCTACTGTTAAACACCTAGCTATGGAAAGAGAAAGCTACAAAAAAAAATATGAATAATTAGTTTTTCTAATCCTTACTTAGCTTTTTCTCTCATCCTGAACAAGTGTTGTGTTGTCTTATATTAGAATTTTAAATATCTGCTATTTAAAATTCATTTTTGAAAGTTAACATTCAAAATGCTGCCTTTATTTTCCAAAACACCAGACACGTACTCTTTAATGATAGAGGATCAGATTAATCAACTCTTAGTCATATTTTTAGTTACTTATCAGAAGTTACAAATTACATAAATGGATGTGTAATAGTTTATGTTACATATTGGGCAAAAGATAGTAGGTTATTAGAGGTAACAGTTTATACTTCAGTAAAATTGAAGAAGAGGTAGTTTATTGTGACTGATTTCTCTCTTTTAGGAGAATTTTTGGAAAAGGTACGACAGAAGAAAAAACGTGATATCACTGTTTTGGACCTGGGATGTGGTAAAGGTGGAGATTTGCTGAAATGGAAAAAAGGAAGAATTAACAAGCTAGTTTGTACTGGTAAGATAAATAATGATATGGGAAAGAATAATTTGTAGTCAGATAAATGGAAAATAAGAAGGATTGTCTCAAATTGCAAGATATCTGGGACTATGCATGAGATGGGTTTTTTTTAAATTAATTACGGCCTGACGCGGTGGCTCATGCCTGTAATCCAACATTTTGGAAGGCTGAGGTGGGTGGATCACTTGAGGTCAGGAGTTTGAGACCGGCCTGGCCAACATTGTGAAACCCTGTCTCTACTAAAAATACAGAAAATTAGCTGGGCATGGTGGTGCACACCTGTAATCTCAGCTACTCAGGAAGCTGAGGCAGGAGAATCACTTTTACCTGGGAGGTGAAGGTTATAGTAAGACAAGATCGCACCACTGCACACCAGCCTGAGTGACAGAGCAAGACTCCGTCTCGAAAAAAAAAAAATTAGTTACAAGACTTTCCTGATAGTTTCATAGTAAGATTAATAAGCCTGGGATAACGTTTCCTTCCCAAAAGGAAGGAAGCTATCAAAGATGGTCGGAGTCATGTCTAAAGGGCAGACTTGAAAAGGTTTCCATTGGCAAAAATAGGGCAATTTTAACATTAAAAAAAAAATAGCAGTTGGACACATCAAATCAGAAAAACACATTGTTCACCCTTGAAGGTTGCTAAGAAACTATTCTGAAACTTATAAATTAAGGGGAGGAAATCAAACATTTGTAATCAGATGGTTGAAAAGGGCAGTTCCTTTTTTTTTTCAATCAGATAAAGAGGAATTATAGAATTAGAAAATCATAATTTTTTTCATTCTTTATGAAATAATAGATCTAGGCAATAATTTTTTTTTTTTGCTACGGAAGCCATTAAGGGAAAAGTCGATAGTAACGCAATGAATCAATCAATCAATCACCTTAGCCCGGTGGTTAGTCTTAACACTGAAGTGGGACAAGCAGACGTCAGCGTCTTTCTGATGTGGTGAGTTAAAAGAGATACATACCCCCACTACTGAAGTACTGCCCAAATTAGCAGTTCTCAGATTTTTTGGTTTTATGAGCCCTGTATACTTAAAAATTATTGAGGACCCCAGAAAGCTTTTTTGTATGTAATTATGGTAAGTAGCTACTGATATTTACTATATTGGAAATTAAAGCTGAGAATTTTGAAAATATTTTTTAGTTCATTAAAAGTAACAAGGCTGGCTTTTACATTTTTGTAAATCCCTTTAGAGTTTGAAATTGCAGGAGACAACTGGATTCTCACACCTGTTTCTGCATCCAATATGTTGTGATTTTATTTTGGTTGATAAGTAGTTGTAAAATAAAGAAGTATTTTAATAGCCTTTTTTGATAATTGTAGATATTCCTCTGTTACTACATCAAAACTCAGTAAGTGGTAGTTTCTTAAAGAGTAGTTACAATATGGAATCTGAAACCTTAGTGATGAACTTTTTATACCGTGTAACATTAAAATCCATTAATCTGTCTTGCACTTCCTGCATGATTTTATAGTACTTGGAAAATACTGTTCACTAAAGTTATGCAGATCTAATTGTTGAGAATCAAAAAATCACGTGTTTAATATCACTGCCAATCAGAAAAGTATTGGGAAGAAGTCCAGCCCACAGTGATCAATACGAGTTTTTCAGGGTTGTAATTCTTATTTGAAAGTCAATTTTATTTTTGGCAACAAATACACTGTCCCTTGTCTCCCTTTAAATTAGCGATCCCTAACCTTTTTGGCACCAGGGGCCGGTTTCATGGAAGACTGTTTTTCCACAGAAGCGGGGGGATGGAATTCTACCTCAGATCATCAGGTGTTAGATTCTCATAAGGAGTATGCAACCTAGCTTGCCTGCCACTCACCTCCTGCTGTGCAGCCTGGTTCCTAACAGGCCGTGGACCTGTACTGGTTTGTCGCCCAAGGGTTGGGGAACTTTAAGTGACAGGTTCACTTTGTTCATTTTCAAGAAAATATGTGCCAGGTACTGAAGTCTGCATAACCGTAGTTTGTCAGTCATTCAAGTCAAAATAATTTTCTCAGAAAAAAAGTGGCCAGTACAGCTCAAAACTCAGAACAGTCATATCAGTACTGTTCTTGAAGATGACCATCATACTTTGTTAGGTAGCAGAAATGTTTTGTTACTTCCCATTTCATCACACAACATTTTAAAAAGTGTGTATTCAAAAGCCCAGGTTTAATAAAATTAATTTTCACTATTTTATAAAGGGTATTCTTAAATGAAACTGTTTTTCTCCCCCTGCATATTGTATAGTGGTGAAGAATACATGAAGTACTGCCAGTACCATTTAGTGCTGCTACTTTGTATTTGTGATAAGATCCCATTGCCTTTGCATTATCAGTGTGAATCTTTAAACAGGGAAAAGGGCAGGCTGGGCACAGTGGTTCATGCCTATAATCCCCAGCACTTTGGGAAGCAAAGGAGGGTGGATCACTTGAGGCCAGAAGTTAGAGACCAGCCTGGCCAATGTGGTGAAACCCCATCCTCTACCAAAAATACAAAAAATTAGCTGGGCATGGTGGCACACAACCTATAATCCTAGCTACTCGGGAGGCTGAGGTATGAGAATCACTTGAACCCTGGAGGCAGAGGTTGCAGTGAGTGAAGATTGCACCACTGCACTCCAGCCTGGGCAATACAGCAAGACTCTGTCTCAAAAAAGAAAAAAAGAAAAGGGCTAATAACATTTTATTATAAAAATATACCCTTGGTATTTCCAAAACTGGGCTTATTGATAGTGTTAGGTTTTATAATTCAGATTGGAATAAAACTTTCTCCTTTTTACTTTGAATAAGCATTTAAAAATCATGATAGAACTTTTATAGCGTCCGTACCTATTGAGACGCTTTTAGTTCCTCTTGAAAACTGATAGGGTATTTGCGTCGGAACAAAGCCCTTTTCTTTTCTTTTAAAGGAAATAAAACCTTTTCACTGGTACTAAGGCTGACTTTTATGCCAGAGTTTGTCAGTTGAGATCAATGTCTAGATTTCTGGCATTCTGTGTTGATACTTACTAATACCCTTCCATCCTTCCAGATATTGCCGATGTTTCTGTCAAACAGTGTCAGCAGCGGTATGAGGACATGAAAAATCGTCGTGATAGTGAATATATTTTCAGTGCAGAATTTATAACTGCTGACAGCTCAAAGGTACAGTTTCTTTCTTTGGTCAATTTATTTTTTACATTTTTAGTTTGGGTAAATAATTTGTTTTAAAAATCAACTCAATTTTTACTTTTTTAAAAAAATTTACTCTTATTTTTTGAGACAGGGTCTTACTCTGTCACCTAGGCTGGAGCACAGTGGCACGATCTCAGCTTACTGCAACCTCTGCCTCCCAGGCTCAAGTGATTCTCCTGCCTCCCAGCCTCCTGAGTAGCTGGGACTACAGGCACATGCCACCACACCCAGCTAATTTTTATATATTTTGTAAAGATGGGGTTTTGCCATGTTGCCAAGGCTGGCCTCAAACTCCTGAGCCCAGGTGATCTGCCTGCCTCCCATAGTGCTGGGATTACAGGCATGAGCCATGGTGCCCGGCTACTCATTTTTTAAAATGTGTTTTGAAACTTTAAAAATCTTGGAATATGCATTTTCACTTTTGACTGGAAATTCTATTATGATAAATTCCCTTGAATGACTCACTGAATACTTGTAATTTTTTGCTTTTAATAATTTGAATTGAAATTAGCTGTTGCTTTTCGGTATGGACATCATTTATTTTCCAGTATTTTGAAATAGAACTGAACTTATACTATGTTTTGTTCACCTTGTAATTTATTAGTTTCCCAACATATCAGAGCCTGTTTGGTTTTTTCCTACCTTCCACCTGTT
Organism: Homo sapiens; assembly: GCF_000001405.40. Taxonomy (NCBI): domain Eukaryota; kingdom Metazoa; phylum Chordata; class Mammalia; order Primates; family Hominidae; genus Homo; species Homo sapiens. The sequence goes on from NC_000018.10 coordinate 13,740,964, forward strand.
TCTGAATTTCTTAAAAAGAACTGCTTCAAGGGTGAAAGTCTCACCATGAACTTTTTGTTCTTCATTGACTTATTGACTCACTGAACTGTTATAGATACCTTTAATCATACACATTTTGTTTGAAATTTGAAAGTGAAAAAGATAAGTGGGAGTATACTGCCAGAAAGTTGTAATACCTTTAAAACATTTTTGCATTTTTTAAAAAATGCCAAACGCCAGATGTTTTTTAACTCAAGTTATTGTTGAATGTCATTTTATTTTAGCTGTCAAGTAAAGTGATGAAAGGATCAAGTTGAAATGTCATAATTGACTAATATATTTTAAACATGATTTCAGAATTCCTCAGTTTTTAAATACTGTGAAAGTGGGAATCAAATTATTCTGTTAAACTAGAATACATGCATGATTTCTGTGTGTCCTTTATTGTACAAGGGAAAGATTGTGAGGGAAAGGAAGAACCTTACATTCTAGAAGTTAATTTACTAAAAAGTTTTTAATCTTTGTTGTAGTTACCTCACAATCTTAACTCATTTTAATTTGTTTCAGGAACTTCTGATTGACAAATTTCGTGACCCACAAATGTGTTTTGACATCTGCAGTTGTCAGTTTGTCTGTCATTACTCATTTGAGTCTTATGAGCAGGCTGACATGATGCTGAGAAATGCGTGTGAGAGACTTAGCCCTGGGGGCTATTTTATTGGTACTACTCCCAATAGCTTTGAATTGATGTAAGTACTTCTAAATATATTGTGGTTTATAAAATATTCAGTATTAAGTAGCAAATGTTTATCAGAGGTAGATTTTATTAAAATACGCTATTTTAATCTTATAAGTGTTGAACACTTTCATAAGATATTTGAGTAGACATTCAAAATTTAAATTCAATAGACAAATTTACAGGTGAACTTTTAACAGTTCATCTTTGTGTGTAAGTTAGAGACTGAAGTTATAGTGATAGACAAACTGCAGGTCAGATACACAGGCACAGAGATGAACCAGCTGTCATGAGAGTGATACCTACTTCCAGCTTAATTTTATTGGTGTGACTGTTGGTGATCTTTTAGTATATTGCTTCTTAAAAGTAGCTCAAATCAGGAGAGTGCAGTGGCTCATGCCTATAATCCTAGCACTTTGGGAGGCCAAGGCAGGAGGATTGCTTGAGGCCAGGAGTTTGAGACCAGCCTGGACAACATAGTGAGACCTTGTCTTTACAAAAAATTTACAAATTAGCCAGCATGGTGGCACGCCCCTGTAGTCCTTGCTCAGGAGGCTGAGGCAGGAGGATCACTTGAGCCCAGGAGTTGGTGGCTGTAGTGAGCTATGATCACACCACCACACTCCAGCCTGAATGACAGATTAAGACCTTGTCACTTTAAAAAAAAAAAAAAAAGGTAGCCCAGATATAATTAAAAGGCTAATCAAGTGTGCATCATGTAGTTTTTCACATGCATAATCTGATCAAAATAAGTCTACACTAATCACAATTTTAATCTTTTTATTTTGGTTGGGGGATAACCTTGATAGAAGACGCCTTGAAGCTTCAGAAACAGAATCATTTGGAAATGAAATATATACTGTGAAATTTCAGAAGAAAGGAGATTATCCTTTATTTGGCTGCAAATATGACTTCAACTTGGAAGGTGTTGTGGATGTTCCTGAATTCTTGGTCTATTTTCCATTGCTAAATGAGTAAGAAGTCATTAATCTGTTCACTCTTTTCTTTTTGTCTTAAGGGAAAGAAAAGCGGGGAAAAGCAATATTTATTTTACTCTTTATTTTAAATGAGGGCTAAAGAAAAAGTATAATCTTGTTTTTTTGTTTTTGTGTTTTTAAAAAAAAAAAACAAAACAAGACTAGCTTCACATCTAGGGGATTATTGCCATAGGTCTCATAATAGCCTAACTTAGTTTTCTCTCATTCCTGGAATTTTTTAATCCTGTGGGTGAAAAAGGGAACCAGTTGCCTTCAGCTTGTGGCACAAAATGCCTGACACTGCAAATAGCAAAAGTTTTTTTTTTTTTTTTAGTGACTACTGGTAACTTTGATGATAAACAATGAGTCTTCATAAATCAAAGATCCGGCCGGGCGCGGTGGCTCACGCCTGTAATCCCAGCACTTTGGGAGGCCGAGACGGGCGGATCATGAGGTCAGGAGATCGAGACCATCCTGGCTGACACGGTGAAACCCCGTCTCTACTAAAAATACAAAAATTAGCTGGGCATGGTGGCGCGCGCCTGTAGTCCCAGCTACTCGGGAGGCTGAGGCAGGAGAATGGCATGAACCCGGGAGGCGGAGCTTGCAGTGAGTCGAGATCGCGCCACTGCGCTCCAGCCTGGGCGACAGAGCGAAACTCCGTCTCAAAAAAAAAATAAATAAATAAATAAATAAATAAATAAATAAATAAATAAATCAAAGATCCTCCTTTTGACAGAGATGAGTATTAAAAGTTGTTTGCATTTCACTATAACTTTGAAATTGCCTATGTCTCACAGGCAATGTTGATGATAAAATCCTGATTCAGGAATGTATTCTCCCATGTGCCTGAATTCCTAGGAGTCCTGGCAAACTGTAGACACAGGAAAAGCTGGGGGTAACTGGGCCTTACCAGGTAAGGCTTCAAGGCCTTGTGATACACCTTGGTTTCCAGAGTTTCCCCGGTGGGGAGAGTATAAAAGTCAGCTTAAATGTAGGCCATGTCATGATTGATTGAACTTGATTTTCTACTTTTTAGAAACAAAAATCTTTTGTTTTGAATATTAACTGAGAAAAAGAAGAGGTATATTGTCTGCTTACTTCTGCTTGGTGCTTATTTTAATTGTAACTCAGTCAGTCTGTAAAATTAGGGTTACAGTATTTTCAGGAGTTCTATAATAGCTTATTCAATAATATAAGAAAGCCAAGTAGCATTGTGACTGAACATGAGGAAAATACTGTGCATAATTTTATAAATATAAACCATTTACAAAATTTAAAAATATCAATTACATTTTCCTTTTAATTTTTAAAACTAATAAACTGGGGAAATGTTACTGCTCTTCAACTTTATTTAAAAAAGAACTTAATTGTGGAATGTTATTGAGTATGTTTAATATGTTAGCTTGAGATTTTAGTTAACAGTTTGGTGATTTTAGTATAATCAAAAAGATAATAAAACAAAAGATTTGTTTTAAATGCTAAACAAGACCTAGCGGTCTTCTTTTTTTTTTTTTTTTTTTTTTTTTTGACTTAAATTGCCTAATGATGGTAAACCTAAGTCATCAGTTTAATATCTAATTTTTTAAAAGATTATTTATTGAAACAGTATTGGATGAAATAGAATCTGAAAATGTGTGGGGGTTTTGAGATGCCTTTTTGCCATTTCATTAAGAAATTTAACAGAAATAAGCTTTTTGTGTGGCAAAACTTATTCAAATTGGGCCTCAATTCTTTGAATCATGATTTTTTTAGGTGTAAAACTTGGTTTCATTTCTAAAGGGTTATTTTAGAGATTTACAAACGAAAATGAACTGCCTGGAATAAAAAACTTGGTTTCATTTCTAAAGGCTTATTTTAGAGATTTACAAAAGAAAATGAACTGCCTGGAATAAAAAACTTGGTTTCATTTCTAAAGGCTTATTTTAGAGATTTACAAAAGAAAATGAACTGCCTGGAATAAAAGACTTAATTTTGCTCATGTTGCCTTTCCAAGGAGGATTAATTGAAGTAACAGAATCCTGCCTTACGTATACCTCTTACATAGAAACCTCAGTGGCCCTCCAGTGTTTGCCCTTACCCTATCCCCTCAAATGCCACCCTGTACACGAGCCTTCCCACCTAATTTTCAGGGTTTCTCCCCTTCCTTCCACTCTTCCTTTAACTGCTGCCTGAAGTCATCTCCAGGCTCCCTCTTGTTGTCTACAGATACATGATTATAAACTTGGCAAATGCAGTGAGGAAAAAAACTACCTGAGAGTCTAACGGAGAGACCTAATATAATTAAGATTTAAGGAAGGTGCCTGTAAAGAATCGATGTTTGAGTCAGGATCTAAAGGATGGAAAAGTAGGTGGGCAGCTGAGGACTGGAGGGAAGAATGCTCCTGACAAGAGGACAGCGTGTGTGAGGGCCCAGCAGTGGGAAAGCTAGGCTAGTCCAAGATGTTGAAAGAAGGCCCATCCTGATTTATATCGGGGGCTGTCCCAAAATGAGGCAGCATTCCTTTACAGATGAATGTCTTCGAGACCATGTTCTGTATCCTAAGTGCACTGGAGCCCAGTGGAGGGTGTTAAGGGGGTAGTGACATGACTCAGGTCCGCATTTCTGAAAGCTTAATCTGGCTGCGATTGGAAAATTCATTGAGGGAGAGTAAGAATGGAAGCAGGGGACAAGCAAAGTGAGTTTATGGACTGGTGCCACTGAGTGGTGATGGTGACTGAAGCAGCAGGATGGTGCCAAATGCAGGAGGTAAGAAGTGGACCTATTTGAAATTGATGTTTTCTAGGTAAAATAGAAAGGACTTAGTGATGTGTATTGAGCACAGTGGGTAAAAGAGAAGGGGAGATGGCATGGATCACTAGGTGGATTTACTGAAATGGCAAAGATTGGCAGTAAAAGAGCAGTGATGTTCAGCCTTAGATGTGGGACGTTAGAGAGTGCCAGTGACACATGCAGGTGAAGATTTCTAATAAGCAGTAGAATCCATGAGTGATGAGAGACAGCTGAACTACCGATAGCTGGGGGGTGGAAGTGAGTAGGGCTCTGGACTGTACTCTACAGAACCTTGAAGTTTAGAAGTTGGGTAAAAAAAAACCTGTAAGTGAAAAGGAAAAAAAAAAAACCTGCAAAGAAGCAGTTCATGATGTAGGGGAAAAATTAATAGTGTATCTTGCCAGAGAAGTCGAGATGAAAGTGAATCTTTAAGAAGGAAGTTGGCAGCTGTTTGCAGTGCAGCTGTGAGAGATCAAGTAAAGTGAAATGGAATCAGTAGAAAAGAGTTTCCTACACTTTTTCCGCATCTCACAGCTCCGGAGACTCTCATTTACTTCCTGACCTTTATGTTATACTAATAGAGCCCTCTGAAACCCCTGAGATTTAGAATGCATGTTTCTTTTAGGTGTGATATGTTACTCTTGATTCATTTTGTATTACTGTATTGTGAATTTATCAAGGGAGTGGTAGCTTTTTTAGTTAAGTCCAGAAGATGTCATTGCTGTACAAAAGTAAGTTGAGGAATTACAAACATGTGGAAGCTTTTTCATTAAGTATTCTTTTTTGGACAGAATGGCAAAGAAGTACAATATGAAACTAGTCTACAAAAAAACATTTCTGGAATTCTACGAAGAAAAGATTAAGAACAATGAAAATAAAATGCTCTTAAAACGAATGCAGGCCTTGGAGGTGAGTATTTAGAAAAGATGTACAAATTTCAGTCATGGTGAACTTGTTTGGCTGTTCTTGAGATCCTTGCAAGGCCATCTGAACATGAAATAGTTATGTGTATTACGCTCTTCAGCACCTAGGACGGAGCTTGATACAGAAACTGCATGGTGAGTGCTCAGTAAATACTTGATGAAAGAATGAGTACTGGTGTTACCAAATTCTGTTTTCTAGGATAGTACTGCTTTAAAATAGGATTTCTCAGCCTCAGGACTGTTGACATTTTGTTCTGGATAATGCCTTGCTGTGGGATGCTGTGCATTGTAGGATATTCAGTAGCATTCCTGGCTTCTACGCACTAGATGCCTTCCAGTAACACTCTTGTCCCCAGTTACGATAACCAGAAAACTCTCTCCAGACATTGCCAAATGTCCCCTGGTGGACAAAATTGCCCCAAGTTGAGAACCAGTTCTTTACAACAGTGCCTTTTGGTTACGACAGTAATTTAGAACCTTCCTGGCCAGTGTCCAGACAAGCTCAAACCATACATAATTTTATTGCATGGTAATTCTTTAGCAGGGTTCCAGTCTTTTAGACTGTGTTGTTGCTGAGACCTCTCCTGTCCTAATGCAGCAGTGAAGGTATCTATATAAGCTTCAATTACACAGCCATTGATTGTTTTTCCTTTTTCTCCTTACCAGACAATGTTTGGTTGGACAGACCTAAAATATTCAGTGAGCATTTTTATTATTGATCAGTAGAATCATATTCATCAAATGGACATTAAACTTCCTTAGAGAGTTTATTCAGTTTAAGTACTTTAAGCATACTCTGACTTCTTTATCCTTATAATTACCTCCATGAAGTAGGCAGAATGGTAACTTTTCACTAATTTTTTTCCTATTTTTTTTTTTTTGTTGTTAATGACAGGATCTCGCTCTGTTGCCCAGGCTGGAGTGCAGTGATGTGATCACAGCTCACTGAGGCCTTCACCTTCTGGAAGGTGATCCTCCCACCTGAGCCTCCTGAGTAACTGACTACAAGCGTGTGTCACCACACCTGTCTCAGTTTTAAACTTTTTGTGCTGATGAAGTTTTGCTGTGTTGCGCAGGCTGGTCTCAAACTCCTGGCCTCATCAAGCAATCCTCCCGCCTTGGCCTCCCAAAGTACTGGGATTACAGGTGTGAGCCACTGCACCTGGCCAGTTTTCACATTTTTTTAGTGGGCAGCCTGAGGCTCAGAGGATAATGACTTGCTCAAGGCATACTAACCTTTAGATTTTCTTCAGTTTTTGTAGATGATACTCAAACAGAAGTCTCCTGTTGAAGTTGCACCTGCACCCAGCCACTCCCACAATGTTGAGTGGGAGGACTTTTTATAAATTCTAAATTGTCTTTTAAGAGACATAATCAGTAAAATTTCATATTCCTCATTAGTTATATTTCCTATACTTTAGATCTAAGAATGTTTTTATTGGCTTTATATTAGGAATGGATGCTTGTTTTGTTTGTCTTAAGGAAGAGGAGAAAACTAGCAAAACTATGTGTGGATAAGTCCCCCTGTCCCACATATACAGCATATCTTTAGCATATTGCCTTTATTTGATGGTGCTTTGCATGATAGTGGTCAATTATTTAGCCTTTCTCTTAGCATATGGGTAGTGAATTCACTTGTGTAATGTATGTCAAAATCTACTTAGGTATGGTAGGGTATGGGATAACAAGAATTTTATGGCATGTTATTTCAGTGAATAATGCAGTCCATGATGGGAACTGCAGTATTGAAGCATTCCAAGTGCAGTGAGTATATAAAGGGCCTTTTGGGAAGGAAGAAGATTGGTAGAGGACAGGCAGAGAAACCAGAGTGCACAGGAGATGTTTGAGGAAGTAGTGCTAATGGCCTTCACAGTTCTTCAGCAGTCTTCCTTCTCTCCCAGTACTGCACTTGGGGATATGACCTGTTACCATGGCTGTCTGGGGACAGAAGCAGTAATAGCATGTAGTTTGAAAAATCCTTTGGTTTTCCTACTTCTTGACCAAGTCACTCTGGTGGGCGTGTAAAGGACTTGGAGCAGGAAAGGACATGACCAGATAAGAGTTAGGACACTACTTGGGTGGCATAATGGGGGATGGTTTGGAGGGACTTTGAGACCAGACCAGAGGTGGAAAGAGCAGTCGGATGCCACTGCTTTCGACCAGGTCAGAGGTTTAAATGGATCTGTTTCTTGATATTTGTCCCAAAAAGTCTTTTCCTGAAGCATCCAGCTTTTATCTGGGTTCAGCACTAGAACCAGTACAACTTTTCTGCTTTCCTGGAGCGTTGGAACAGAGAGAAGAAAGAATGAAAAGATGTAGGCCATGGAACTGTAGGTCCTGACACCTGTTTTCTTTTTTTCACCAGCAAACATATTCTAGGGACAGTTCTGGAAAAGTAACTCCTTTTAGAGGAGACACTAAGATATATATGTTTTAATAAGTTTTGGTCCCGGCATGGTGGCTCATGCCTGTAACCCCAGCACTTTGGGAGGCCAAGGCGGGCAGATAACCTGAGGTCAGGAGTTGTAGAGCAGCCTGGCCAACATGGTAAAACCCCGTCTCTACTAAAAATACAAAATTAGCCAGGTGTGGTGGTGCATACTTGTAATCCCAGCTACTCAGGAGGCTGAGGCAGGAGAATCACTTGAACCCGGGAGGTGGAGGTTGCAGTGAGCGAAGATCACGCCACTGCACTCCAGCCTGGGTGACGAAACTGAAACTCCATCTCAAAAAATAAAATCAATTTTAAAAAATAACGATGTTTTACAGCTTTATAATCATGTATTGGTTGGTCTTTCAAAATGATCAGTAGAGAAGAGAAACTGGGTGTCCAGTGATAAGCAGATAATCACATGGAGGATAAGTTGAAGAACAAGTTTACAACAAAATAGTTTGACAGGCATTCAAAAACGAAGTTCTGAAGCTTTGTGATATGGTAAAACTACAATATGTGGAATTAAAGTTCAAAAAAAACTGATTGGTAATCTGTTCTTTCTTAGAGCCCTTTGTTGGGATGTGATACAAAGTAAAGTGGTTTATGCTAATGATACAGCAGTCTCAAATAGCTGAGTACTTCTAAAACAGCAAATAAATAGGTTAATTTCTAATGCCTAAACTTGCTGCAGGATGTTTATAAAGAAAAGAGACAAAGAAGATTGCAAAGCAGATATTCATAGATCATTTTCTTAAAAGTTTATTAGGGAGTTGTACGTTTAAAGTGCCTCCTTTCTAGCTGGTTTGTTGCAATAAGACAAAGAATTATAAAGAATTATAAATGAATTATTAAAAACATAAACTTTGTAGAGTAGATGGTTCTATTAAATGTTTTATGTAATTTATTATGTTTTGATTTGCATGTATCTGGTTTGTTTTTTGGTGAGAGAGTTGGGGAGACAGAGTCTCGCTCTGTCATCCAAGCTGGAGTGCACTGACACCATCTTGGCATCTTGGCACACTGCAACCCCTTCCCCCCGACCCTTCTCCCCCAGCCTCACCTAAACCCGGCCTAAGTGATCCTTTCACCTCCCCCTTCTGAGTAGCTGGGACTACAGGCACGTGCCACCACACCTGGCTACTTTTTGTATTTTACGTAGAGACAGGATGTTGAAATGTTGCCCAGGCTAGTCTCGAACCCCTGAGCTCAAGTGATCTGCCTTCCTCGGTCTCCCAAAGTGCTGGGGTTACAGCATGAGCTACCGAGCCAGGCCTGATTTACATGTATTAAAAGGCAAAATGCAGATACTATAAAGGGATATCACTTAAAATGAATTAAAAATGGCACTTGAAGTAACTTGGATAAACATTTGGCCAGCATACCCTTAAAAACACAGCATGTTTTTCTGACCCTTTTCCAGAGTCTTAGGTAAATATGGGAAATGTCTGTATTTTGGAGGCTGGATTATTAAACAGCGTTCTATGTTGTCTTGACTTTTTCATTTGTATTATTTGTAATTGCTATTTATGCTTTTCATGGCTATTAAATTGCCATCATTTTAATATTTAGCTCTTTTTATGACATCTTTAAGCTTTGTATTTATATATAAAGCCTTTGGCTAACAGTAGAGAAGGTGCAAGTGTTTGCTGCTAAATGGTTCTTGGTGGTGATTAAATTATGTAGCTTCTTTCAGCTGTGAATATCCTAAGATTATGATAAAAGTTGACCATAAGGCTGGATGTGGTGGTTCACACCTGTGATCTCAGCGCTTTGGGAGGCTGAGGTAGGAGAATTCTTTGAGACCAGAAATTTAAGACCAGCCTGGGCAACATACTGAAACCTTGTCCCTACAAAAAAATTTTTAAAAATTAGCCAGCATAGTGGCTTGTGCGTGTAGTCCCAGCTACCCAGGAGGTTGAGGTGGAGGATCACTTGAGCTCGGGAGGCCAAGGTTGCAGTGAATGGAGATCCTGCCACTGCAATACAGCCTGGGAGACAGAGCAAGACTCTGTCTCAAAAAAAAAAGATGCTAGTTTACATCTGATCTTTGACAAACCTGACAAAAACAAGCAATGGAGAAAGGATTCCCTATTTAATAAATGGTGCTGGGAAAACTGGCTAGCCATATGTAGAAAGCTGAAACTGGATCCCTTCCTTACACTTTATATAAAAATTAACTCAAGATGGATTAAAGACTTAAATGTAAGACATAAAACCATAAAAACCCTAGAAGAAAACCTAGGCAATACCATTCAGGACATAGGCATGGGCAAAGACTTCATGACTAAAACACCAAAAGCAATTGCAACAAAAGCCAAAACTGACAAATGGGATCTAATTAAACTAAATTAGATGTACTTATGCACAGCAAAAGAAACTATCATCAGAGTGAACAGGCAACCTACAGAATGGGAGAAAATTTTTGCCGTCTACCCATCTGATAGAGGGCTAATATCCATAATCTACAAAGAACTTAAACAAGTTTACAAGAAAAAAACAACCCCATCAAAAAGTGGGCAAAGGATATGAACAGACACTTCTCAAAACACGACATTTATGCAGCCAACAGACACAGAGGAAATGCTCATCATCACTGGTCATCAGAGAAATGCAAATCAAAACCACAATGAGATACCATCTCACGCCAGTTAGAATGGCGATCATTAAAAATTCAGGAAACAACAGATGCTGGAGAGGATGTGGAGAAATAGGAACGCTTTTACACTGTTGGTGGGACTGTAAACTAGTTCAACCATTGTGGAAGACAATGTGGCGATTCCTCAAGGATCTAGAACTAGAAATACCATTTGACCCAGCAATCCCATTACTGGGTGTATACCCAAAGGATTATAAATCATGCTGCTACAAAGACACATGCACACGTATGTTTATTGCAGCACTGATTCACAGTAGCAGAGACATGAAACCAACCCAGATGTCCATCAATGATAGACTAGATTAAGAAAATGTGGCACATATACACCATGGAATACTATGCAGCCATATAAAAGGATGAGTTCATGTCCTTTGTAGGGACGTGGATGAAGCTGAAAACCATCATTCTAAGCAAACTAACACAAGGACAGAAAACCAACCACCACATGTTCTCACTCATAGGTGGGAGTTGAGCAATGAGAACACATGGACACAGGAAGGGGAACATCACACACCGGGGGGCCTGTCATGGGGTGGGGGCCTGGGGGAGGTATAGCATTAGGAGAAATACCTAATGTAAATGATGAGTTGATGGGTGCAGCAAACCAACATGGCACATGTATACCTATGTAATAAACCTGAACGATTTGCACATGTACCCTGGAATAATATACCCTAGTATAATATTTAAAAAAAATTGGTTTAAGAGAGGATTCTTCCTTTTTTTTAATTTTTTTCTGTATTTCAAAAGTATGTATAGTTTGTATTCCTGAAGTAGTACTTACGGATTATTCTCCTAATTATGTTATTTCAGTGATTTAGCATGTTTAATTCTGAATTGTAAATTTCCGTTATTGTAACTAGGACTTTCATTTCTTTCCCCAGCCATATCCTGCAAATGAGAGTTCTAAACTTGTCTCTGAGAAGGTGGATGACTATGAACATGCAGCAAAGTACATGAAGAACAGTCAAGTAAGGTTACCTTTGGTAAGTTTTAATTTATGAAAGTATTTTATAGAGAATGAAAAAAAGAACATGCTTATATGGAGACATAGGAAATGATTTCACTTGTTTACAATACTTAGGCTCACTGACTTACAAATCAGTTGTTTCCACTAAGTGATGTTGACTTGTTATAACCACAGAATATGGAATAAAATTTATTTCAATGGACTGAGAATGGAGTGCTATATCTAAGGCAATGAGGACAGTGAAAAAATTACAGGGTTGGTGTGCAAGTTCCCTGCTAATGTAGGCACCAATGAACCACAGCATTTCATACATAGAATGCAGCAGTCCAGGAATTTAAATGGGAAAAAATTACATCTTCACCTATACTAATTTCTGCGTAAAAGTTTACATTTTAAGAATGATTACTACAATAGTACCACAGTGGTATTAGCTGCTGCTGTGACTTTGTCATCAGTAGAAGTTACAGATATTTTCATAGCACATTTTTGCTAATATCTTAGAATATTGTTTTCATTTATCACATCTGGAAAAATGACATCACTAGAACTGCCACTAGATCTTGTTATTATAGTTAATGGTGTGTGCAAAGCAACACATATCTTTAATATTTTGATAGCTACATAAATATAATTTATTTCCTTTGTGTGATATGTACTTTATTTTGTTATTCCTTTGAAAAAACACAAAAATTGTATTTTTTCCACCAGTGCTGTTTGATATTTCAAGATAGGCCTTTTTTATTTTTTCATTTTCCAAATTAAGAATACAAGATAGGGCCGGGTACAGTGGCTCACGCCTGTAATCCCAGCACTTTGGGAGGCCGAGGCAGGTGGATCATGAGGTCAGGAAATCGAGACCATACTGGCTAACAGTGAAACCCTGCCTCTACTAAAAATACAAAAATTAGCTGGACGTGGTGACGGGCCCCTATAGTCCCAGCTACTTGTGAGGCTGAGGCAGGAGAATGGGGTGAACCCGGGAGGCGGAGCTTGCAGTGAGCCGAGATCGCAGCACTGCACTCCAGCCTGGGCGACAGAGCCAGACTCTGTCTCAAAAAAAAGAAAGAATACAAGATAGGCCGGGCGCAATGGCTCAACGCCTGTAATCCCAGCACTTTGGGAGGCTGAGGCGGGCGGATCACAACGTCAGGAGATTGAGACCATCCTGGCTGACACGGTGAAACCTCGTCTTTACTAAAAACGCAAAAAGTTAGCTAGGCGTGGTGGCGGGCACCTGTAGTCCCAGCTACTCGGCAGGCTGAGGCAGGAGAATGGCATGAACCCAGGAGGCAGAGCTTGCAGTGAGCCAAGATCACGCCACTGCCCTCCAGTCTGGGCGACAGAGCAAGGCTCTGTCTCAAAAAAAGAAAAAAAAAATAATACAAGATAGATGCATTTTCCAGTTACACACACACACACACACACACACACACACACACAATGCCCTCTTCACACACATTCACCCTTTGGATGAGAATTTGAGAATTTGGCAGGAGGATAAAAGTCTGAGAAGATGACTTTCAAAGTGAATCTCACCGATTTCTTTTATATGCTCAGGTCACAATATGATTAACAGTGAATCGAATGTGTATTTACAGTGAAGTTAGGGTCTTTTGGCCATCTCTGCCCATTATTTAGAAATAAGCATATGTTTACTTCCATATTGAATCTAAAATTTTCTTTTTCTCTTTTGTAATTTTAGGGAACCTTAAGTAAATCAGAATGGGAAGCTACAAGTGAGTATATCATCAGCATAGATTAACTGATAATTTCAAAAGTCCTGTTTCAAAGTGATCATTAAAACCTGAAAAAAGGCTGGGCACTGTGGCTCACACCAGTACTCTCAGTATTTTGGGATGCCGAGACAGACAGATTCCTCGAGCCCAGGAGTTGAGACCGGTCTGGGCAACATGGCAAATGCTTGTCTCTACCAAAAATACAAAAAAATTAGCCAGTCATGGTGGCATGTGCCTGTAGTCCAGCTACTCAGGAGGCTGAGGTGGGAGGATTCCTTGAGCCTGAGAAGTCAAGGCTGCAGTGAGCTGTGATTACATCACTGCACTCCAGTCTGGGCAACACAGCGAGACTCTCAAAAAAAAATCTGAAAACTTTGAGTTTTTCTGACATTTTAGGTTGTGTTTGTGTTTACACACACACACAAATACGTATATCTCTACATATGTCTAATCCTCCTTTCTTGCACAGCTGTGTAGTGCCAAGAGAAGATACACTGTACACAGGGTCTTCCTCAGCATAAACTTGAGTGAGCATGTGTAAACATTCTCATTGCCTATTTGTTACTAAGTAGCCATCTCCATTTGAAGTGTTTACCTCAGATTTCTACTGGAATTTTTGGCTTATAGAATACTTGCATGTCTTTTTTTTATTTGGCCACTCTGATGTGACAGTGAAGGCATAATAATACTAGAACATTCAATGAAACATCCATGAGCAGGATGTGTTAGAGGTGTGCATGATAGGGGACAAATGTGGTGCAAAGATATTCTGAAGTGAGGTTCCTGTGTTCAGAAGAGAAGCCAGAAGCACAGCAAATCTGTGAAGGCCTGTGGTTCTTCAGCAGTGGGTGTTGAGGAAGTCAGGTTGCAGAGCCTCATTGTTACTGTAGGAATCCCCTTACATGGTTGTTGGTGATGTTGAGGCACAAGTGGTCATTAAGGACAATCCATTTGATAAACATTATTGATTTACGTGAAGTTCTGTGAAAGGTAAAGTAAAATAAAGATGTTAAATCTCTACCTTCTAGAAGTCTACACTGTAATGGAAGGAACAGGCACAAATAAACACTACTAGGCAAATTTTTAAGTGCTAATGATACTGTAGTGGGGCACAAAGGTGAAAGAGAGCTTAATGAAAACTAAACTAATGACATCTGGGATGTAGTAATATTGATATTACTGAGTGTTGAACATGTGCAGGTGCGTGTAACGTTTTTAATCCTTGTAATAACTCACATGTTGTAACTCATTTAATCCTCACAATGACTTTATGAGTAGAGTATTATATCTCCTTTCACAGATGAGAAGACTAACAACTTAGCTAAGATCACAGAGCTAACCTGTGGTTAGCTTACCTAAGTGATCTGTCATTTTAACTATGGTTTCATGGAAGCCTGGCAAAAGGAAAATCTAGTAAGACTTCCTGAGTTGGATAGAGAAGAAGAGGAAAGGAGTCAAGCAAGACCAGTATTTTGAGGCTATTTGTCTTTGAACATTGGTACTATTACTAGAAATCGGACTGGAGGATGTTATACACATACGATCATGCTTGACACACTGGTGAGCATGTGCATAAACTATGGATTTTATTACTTTTTCCCTGCAGTGGAGACTGGTTGCCTGTCTTAGACATCCTGCTGGTCCCAAAGTAGAGTGTAAATTTTGATCACGAGTCATCATGATGGCGGTACTGGCTGTGGCTTAGAACTGTATTTTTATATTATTAAGTGTGGACTTTAGTCATCATGTACAAATGAAAAATTAGATGGCCCCAGACAATTGGAAGAGATGGGCTGGACATGCGAAGAGAGCAGTGGCCAAATTGCACCTCGGGTGTAGCACCCCAGGATTGTTTGGCTGTTTGATGAATTGCTCTGTTCTAAGCTAGAGGGCTTCGTGGGTTGAGCGTATTTTGCATGCCATCACGAGTCTAAAAGGCCCAGGCTACATTTTAGACTTCTACTGGTCTGATCATTAAGCTATCACCAGAGCTGCTGCTCCTCTAGAAGATGGCTTTAAATGAGAAAGGAGAGAATTGCTATTGATTTATTTCTGGAAGTGGAAGTGGTTCACGATTTGATTTTTTTAAATCCCAATTGAAATGCCTGCATAGAAGGCATTTTATACAATAAGTGGGACTTTTTAGGAGTTTCAAGTTAGAAAGAAAGTTGCTATTATGTATTGAAAATCAGACTCTAGCATGTTAGTGGTTTCAAATGACCCTAAATGAGGACAGGACAGGACTGAGGGGTTGTTTGCAATTGCTATGGGTGTGTGGGGGGTGGGATTTGGCAGGGCTGGGCTGCACAAAGGTCACACAGAGTGGGGGACAGCATGAGTGATACTGGCCAGCTGTGAGTGCTGACATGCTGTGCACGCTGATGTGTTGCAAGTGCTGGGGACTGCTTTGTCTCCTTACCTTCTGGCAAGAACCACAGAATTGATGAACACCCTGCCTGTTTTCTGTCCTATCGCTGTGCTACTAGCCACATTTCATTTCAACTAAAAGAAATTGGAAACCGGTAAATAAGGTGACCAAAGTAGTATTTTGGAAAAACTGCTATGGTGTTCCTGTACAAGTTGGGTTGGAAGAGCAAGAAGCTGGAGTCTTGGGAGGCCATCAGGCAGTTAGCTGTGTTCATCTACCCTCCCTTCAAAAGAAGTCATCTCAAGGAGTGAGGCCTCCAGCTTAGATGGACTTGATCTTGACTCACTGTTGAGTATCCTAGCACATGCCCCAAACATCCTTGTGATGTTTGCAGGATTTGTCACCTTTGCAGGTATTTTCTTGCCCTAAAATCTATTGGTATTTTATTAGAAGATATACAGGCATACCTTGGAGATACTGCAAGTTCAGTTCTAGACCACCACAATAAAGCAAGTCACTCAGATTTTTTGGTTTCCCAGTGCATATAAAAGTTATGTTTACTGTAGTCTGTTAAGTGTGTAGTAGTGTTGTGTCTGAAAACCATGTACATACCTTAATTTAAAAATACTTCATTGGTAAAAAAATGCTGATGATCATCTGAACCTTCAGTGAATCTGAATCTTTTCTGCTTGGTGAAGGGTCTTTCCTCCATGGCGGAAATACTCTTGATGGATGGTGGTTGCCGAAGATTGGTGTGGCTGTGGCAGTTAAGACAATGAAGTTTGCCTCATTGATTGACCATTCTTTCACAGAAGATTTCTCTGTAGCATGCAGTGCTGTTTGATAGCGTTTTACCCACTGTAGAACTTATTTCTAAATTGGAGTCACTCCTCTGAAACCCTACTGGTCTTTATCAACTAAGTTTTTGTAATATTAATATTCGAAATCCTTGTCATTTCAACAATGTTCCCAATGTGTTTACCAGAAGTAGATTCTATCTCAAGCTCATCCATAAGAAGCAGCTCTTCATTTGTTCAAGTTTGATCATGAGATTGCAGCAATTCAGTCACATCTGCAGGCTCCACTTCTAATTCTGGTTCTCTTGTTGTTGCCATCCCGTCTGCAGCTACTTCCTCCACTGATGTGTTGAACCCCTTGAAGTCATGCATGAGGGTTGGAATCCAGTTCTTCTAAACTTGCGTTCATGTTGATATTTTGACCTCATCCCATGAAGCATGAACATTCTTAATGATATCTAGAATGGGGAATCATTTCCATCAGGTTTTTTATTTACTTCATCCAGATCCATCAGAGGAATCACTATCTATGGCAGCTATAGCCTTACAAAATGTATTTCTTAAATAATAAGACTTAAAAATGAAAAGTACCCCTTGATCAATGGGCTGCAGAATGGATGTTGTATTAGCAGCCATGAAAATAACATTGATCTCCTTGTACATCTTCATCAGACCTCCTGGGTGACCAGGTATATTGCCAATGAGCGGTAATATTTTGAAAAGAATTTTATTTTTCTGAGCAGTAGGTCTCAACAGTGGGCCTAAAATACTCAGTAAACCGTGATGTGAACAGATATGCTGTCATCCAGGCTTTGTTCCATTTATAGAGCATGAGCAGAGCAGATTTTACATAATTCTTAAGGGCCTCGGGATTTTTGGAAGGATAAATGAGCATTGGCTTCACCTTAAAGTCACTAGCAGCATTAGTCCCTAACAGGAGAGTCGCCCTGTCTTTTGAAGCTTTGAAACTAGGTATTGACTTCTCTCTAGCTATGAAAGTCCTAGATGGCATCTTCTAATAGAAGACTGTCTCGTCTTCATTGAAGATCTTATTTAGTGTAGCCACCTTCATCAATGATCTTAGCTAGATCTTCTGCATAACTTGATGCAGCTTCTACATCAGCACTTGCTGCATCATCTTGCACTTTTACATTATGAAGGTGGCTGCTTTCCTTAAACGTCCTGAACCAACTTCTAGTTTCAGACTTTTCTTGTGCAGTTTCCTCACCTCTCTCATCCTTCATAGAATTGAAGAGAGAGAGTTAGGGCCTCTGAATTAGGCTTTGGATAAAGGGAATGTTGTGGCTGGTTGATCTTTGCAGACCACTCAGACTTTTTCTGAAAATCAGCAGTAAGGCTGTTTGCTTTCTTATTCCAGTGTGTTCATTGGAGTAGACTTTTATTTTAAGAACTTTTCCTTTGCATTCATAACGGCTGATTTCAAGCCTAGCTTTTTGCCTATTTTAGCTTTTTACATGCCTTGTTCACTAAGCTTAGTCATTTCTAGCTTCTGATTTAAAGTGAGAGATGTGCAAGTCTTCCTTTCACTTGAACATGTGGAGACCATTGTAGGATTATTAACTGGCCTTATTTCAATATTGTTGTATCTCCAGGAACAGAGAGGCCAAGGAGAGGGAGGGAGAGAGATGAGGGAACAGCTGATTAGTGGAGCAGTCAGAGCACACATGACATTTATGAGTTCTCCATCTTATAAAGGCACCTCGATAAAGTTTGTGGCACCTCAAAACAATTACAGTAATAACAGCAAAGATCACTGATTACAGATCATCATGACAAATAATAATGGAAAAGTTTGAAATAATGCAAGAATTACCGTAATGTGACATAAAAACCCGAAGCGAGCATGTGCTGTTGGAAAAATGGTGCCAGTAGACTTGCTTGATATGGTATTGCCACATACCTACAATTTGTAAAAAACACCAATTTGTAAAGCTAAATAAAGCTAGGTATGCCTTTAATAGGTTTCAACTTGATTCAGAACAAGGAATCCTAAATTCATTTAGCTGTCTTTGAGTCAAAGCAGGAAACCTTATTTCAGGGAGAGAGCTCTTGGGGCTAATACATGTAGAAATAGAAATAATATCTCTGAAGTATTGATTGTCGTAGAGCTTTTGGCTTACTTTCTTCACAAGGCCCTACAACACAATAATTGGATAATTGGGTGAATTGTTAACATGTCATGTTATGTATGTTCCTTTAATTCTAGTTTTCTAAAATATCTTTAATATTTTTAATTCTAGTTTTCTTTGTTATACTTATTTAAAATTTAATTTTATTATAATTTTAATTTGTTATACTTCTAATTTAGTTATACTTTTATTTTTCTTACCTTAAACTGATTTTTAGAGCTGTTGAACTGGTTTTCCCATGGGCTGCAATATCACTGAGTATTATAGTAAGTAGATAATTGTTTTAAAGTAAGCAAGTACCATCCCATGTCTGCCTAAAAATGATTCAAATAATAGAGGAACTCTTAGAATTAATGGGGATTTTCCTCTTCAGAAGCTGCTTGAGAGCCTAAGAATTTTCACCAAATTATGAACAAGACAGATTGTTTTATTTATTGTAATCATATGAGAAACTGAACTCTTATTTATTTCTTCTTTAGGTATTTACTTGGTGTTTGCCTTTGAGAAACAGCAGTGAGCACATAGGCAGTAGTCCCAGAGGGGCCGTGTTCTGTCCTGCACAAATTTGAACAACTCATCTCGATATATTTGATATTTCTCTGTCTGTTGATTTTAATTCTAAATGTGCAGGATGCTGCCAGAAACTCCAATGTAGAAATTCAACATTTGCTGTCTGTGACAGATGAACTTTTGCATGTGTATATAAGAATGAGTTGGGACCTCTGTCTTTAAAAATCTATTTTTAGGTAATGTTCTAAGAATTCCATTTGCCTCTATGATCTTAGCTCATAAAAATATAATATGACTTGATAAAGCAACTAAACTCTTTCCACAGTGTTCAGATTTGTCCTGTGTGTGTTTACAGTATTCAATTTATTGCAGTTATAGAATTGGTCAGAGAGCATTTTCATAGTGTGCTCATTTCTATGGTTTTGTTATATAGCATTTTTCAACATTTAATGGTCTGTACAGTTGAATGTAAGTGTTCAATATGTATTGCTGAAGTTATAAGTTTAAAACTCAATTTCAGATGCTCATAAAAGTTACTTAGCTAAAATTTTAGCAATTTATTGCATTTTGAAATAATCATTAACATGCTGCAATTCAGGAGCTGGTTAGAACATTTTAAGTGGCAGCATAGAATTTTGGAATTTTGGGGCTTTCTTTTCAGAAATTGCTACCATAGTAATTAATGTTTCCAGTTATCAAGATTGTGATTAGACACATTTACCTTTCTTCATTGAACAAATGGTGCCATAGTTATTTTTCTCAAAATTTAGTGAAAATCCCTCCCATGTAGACATGTTGCACATTTTTTCCAAATTTATACATGGAACTGCAGTAGGAATATTCTCACCATCTGATGCCATGTACCCACTTCAGAAATAAGCAATACTTGTTCCTCTGTTACAACCTCAGCACTTTGCACCGTAGGAGCCATTGTTAAAGTTGTCACTTGTGTAACTGACTGCTTTTCCAAAACTGGTACTTATGTGAACTGTTGTCCTTGCTTTACACCACCATTTGGAAAACTTACCAGTTTTTAGATGTAGATGTAGTGAAAAACTTCAAGAATGAAGCAGAGCAATTGAGTATTCTTTTTTAAATTATTAAGCCATGATTTACAAAAACATTACTTTCTGTAATTCACAATACTTGTTTTAAAAACATAGTGTCTTCATTAGTGTGCATCTATTAACTGTTCATGGTGTTAGAGTTGCAAACTTTTTAGCAAGAAAATATGGATTTCCTCATTTCAGTTCCTTCTGCAGCCTGTGAATCTCCACAAAGTGTTACCAGTTTACAAAAATAAGTCTTTTTGCCTTAAGTCATTTTGGAAATAAGTAATACTGCATCTGACTCTGGTGGCTGTATTAGCTAGGAAAGGTTTGTAAATGGTGTCAGTGAGGTGGGGAAAGGAAGTCTTCCTGTCACATATGCAGGTTCGTTTTCATTCTAGGGCAGTGCCAGGAAGTATATTGATAGCTTTGTAGGTACAGGAAAAACATCATCATTATTTCCTCTGTTCACATTTACTGGTCTTAATTAACAGGTAATAATAATACATGTACTTTTAGCCTGAAACCTCTTCCACGCCATGGGTAACTTGGGGGAGAGAAGAATCCTCCAAACGATGGAGTAGCCAGTGGTAATACAAAGCAGGGAGAACAGAAAGGTAGAGTTACTAAGGCCTTCAGTGAACAGAAAGGAGCAGAGAGCAAGATTAGATCTGAGAAGATGCTCTGGGGACTGAGCCCACTGTTGTTGGTGTCAGGGAGGCTTACTGGAGCCACACCTGCAGGCGCTGTGTTCAGGCACCACCTTCCTCCTTGAGCTTTGCCTGTCTCTTGCCTTATCAGTTCTTCCTCCACCACCCTACACCCCCCTCCCCCCGGCCCCAAGCCCCTGTGTCTCCTTGTTACAATTAAGTTTCTGGATATTGACTTAAGAACTGTTAGGAAGAGGACTAGAAAAGGCTTCCCCTGCCTATCCTCTCCGATCACCAAGGTGGAAGGGAGCTAGTAGGACTCTTCCTTGACACACCTTGTCGTCTAAATGTTCGGTATTCTATTCAGGACTTACGGTAACTATTATGAGGGAGGCATGGCTTTCCACCGTCGGGCCAGGAAGAGCACCTGTTGCTGCAAGCTCAGTGAAGTGGGGCACTCCCAGACCTGCCATGCAGTTTATCCTCTGAGAATGGAATTGGAAATGAAGACCTAACCAGCTATTGGTGGGAATGACGGAACTGGGGATTGCGATGATTGATCTGGGAACATGGCTGGATTGTGATTTAACCAAGAATGCTGATGTTGAATTCTTTGGGCCTAGAATATACTTGAGAAAGCACTAGTGGCTTGTGTTCAGGGAGAGGAGCTGGCAGTTTTTAACCACTTCTGTGGGAGCCGTGTTCTAACCTGTGGAAAGTATTGCAATTCTGTGAGAGTGACTCTGCAGAGTCACTGCACCATCAGGCTTGGCCCTGCTGTGCCTTCAGTACCCAGCCAGGTTCTCTGGGTCCAGGGTGACTCTCCAAAGAAATTGGCCTTCAGCTGGAGAAAACATTGGGTGGAGACTCTCACTTATGTTAATGCAATCTTGAAATGACTGAAAGGTAGATTGCCAGCACAGTGAGTTTCCCAGCCTGCTCCCCCATCCACACTTGGAAATTGAGGGAGCATGACCGCTCTCTGACTTCACATGTTAATAGAGGATCAGAGCAGAGTTGGGAGTATATTGGTCAGGATCATAGAAAAGAAGACAAAGCTTGCTCAGCCATGAGATGGCCAGGTATCCAGTTTTGTTAACTCTCTTTGGGAATTTCTTTTTCAGCCTGTTTTTTAGCTTAGTGCCATTATGTCATTTTGATTTGTATTCAAGTACTCTTCAAGTATCTTTGTAATGAAGGTTTGGCTACTTGTATAGGTCTGCCTGCAGGGTGAAAATGCCAGTGTGAATATTCTAGCTACCAAACATTGTTTTTTGTTGAAAAACTGACTTTCTGTTGTCTACCTCAGGCCTTGTGCATTTGGGTTATCTCAAGCCAGTCACCACAGAGGGTCTCTAGGGTCTGCAAAATAGAGGCCAAATCCAGGGACCAGGCCCTAATAATAGAAGTTGTACCAAAATGCCTGTGGTACTTGATGGCCTGTTGGTCAAATAGGAAGTACAAGTGTGTGATGTTAGAACCTCCCTAGTTGCTGCTATATCAAACACTGCACACTTGACAAGTGTTTTCATTCCCCGCCCTCTGACAGAACAACATTCCTAATTCTTTGAAGGCAACCAGTGCAAAGGCTACTACACTTGTGTAATGATATTTAGCAGATGCATACAGGACTGGATCCCAGGGCACTGTCAGTTCTTCCCTCCCTCTCGTGCTGCTCAGTTTGTCCTCTGCTCCCATGTAGGCCTAAAGTCACCCCACTCCTTAGTGCCTGCACCTCACCACGATATTGAGGAAGCACAGGACATCCAAGGGTACTCTCCAGTTTGGCTGTGGAGACTTGAGCAAGCCCTAAAGTCCCCTGCTCCCTGGACTTCTCCTGGGTTGTGCTTTTTTGGGGGCAACATACCTTGGACAAAGCTGAGCTGACAGCTAATGTTTATTAGCCTCCTACCTAAGTCAGTCACTTTGCTAAATTCTTCACCTGTGGTAACTCATTTTGATTGTTATAACATCTCAGCACCGTTATTCCCATTTTAATGATGAGGAAACTGAGTCATAGAGGATACAGACTTGCCCAAAGGAGAGCCAGGATTTTCACACCCCCTCCTCAAGCTGGGCCTGCCCTCCAAGTGCTTGTTATATACCTCCACGGGTGTCAGCCCAGATGACTCCTCACCCATCCACCACCTGCAGCTTGAGATGTTAACTATTAGAGCTCCATTCTTTTGGTTCAAAACGTTGATACTTACTTAGATGTTCCCTGAGAGGAGTGTTTATTTCTGAGTAAGGGGCTTTGTTGAAAGAGGGGGTTAGAGAGAGCAAGACAGCACTTGAGTGCACTGGCAGGAAGCAGAGATAAGACTTGAATTTCAGTTTGGTAGACCACCTTCTTTAGCAGCCCAACCTGTAGCAAATCTAGTTTAGCCTGCATGGCAGGGAGAGGGATTCTCTTCCCACCCTCACCATTTGCAAGTGGCAGGAGCTGAGAATGCCAGTACGAGAGTGTAGCCAAAGTGAGAGGCTGAGAGCAAAGGAGACATTTTTTTCAGTTTTGAGTCGAGTATCCAGACAGAGGCAAATCATTTTGTTTAACTTTTTATTAAAGTGTAACTATAGAAACACATCAATGATTTTTCACAAGTGGAGCACGTGCATACAATCGGCACCCCAGAAGCCCCCCGTCAGATTCCCTTCCAGTTAACTACCTCTCCAAGGGAAACCACTATCCTGAGTTCTAAGCGCATAGATTAGTTCTGTCTGGTTTGGGGAGATATATAAATGGAATTATGCATTCTTCGTATCTGGTTTCTTTTCACCAATATTATGTTTGTGAGATTTTTGTTGCATGTATTTGTACATGGATTTTCATTCTCATGGTTGTATAATATTTCATTGTGTGAATAAACCACATACTGTTTATCTGACAGCTGTTTGGTTCATTTACCATTTGGAAACTAGTACTGATCCAGATATTCTAGTACATGAATTTTGGTGCACATAGGTACATACTTCTGCTTAGGAATGTGCTACAATTTGAATGTTTGTCCTTCTAGATCTTATGTTGAAATTTGATCCCCAGTGTTGGAGGTAGGGCCTAATGGGAGGTGTTTGGGTCGGGGGGCGGGTCCCTGATGGATAGATTAATGCCTTGCGGTGGTGGGAGTGTGAGTTCTTGCTCAGTTAGTTCCCAAGGACAAGTTAATTGTTGTTGCCGATTAACAACAATGACACCTGGTTGTTTAAAAGAGCCTGGCACTTCCCCCATTTTTTGCTTTCTCTCGCCATGTGATCTCTACAACCAGCTCTCCTTTGCCTTCCACCATGAGTGGAGGCAGCCTGAGGCCCTCATCAGAAGCAAATGTTGCAGGATCTCACTGGGCCTTTGTCTTCTATGCCTACATGTCCACTGCTCGGTTACTCTCTACTGCTCCTTTGCCTTTGCTCTGTCACCCTGTTACCTGCAAGTGTTGGGAGATGTGTAGGGAAGATACCAGTACACTCCAGAACCAGGAAGTGGAAACAGGAATACCAGAACATTGAAGATCAGTACAATAATGCTTGGAGAAATCTAAGAGAGTTGGGGAGGGAGCTAAGATGGCTGACTAGATGGGGCCAGGAAGAGCATCTCTCACCAAGAGACCAGACCATCAAGAAAACTGGCACACTCTGAGCAGACCTTTGGAAGGAAGGTGTTGAGAGTGGACAGAGGGAAAATACAGACACTGGGCTCAAGGGGAAGGAAGCTGGGAACCCTGCCCAGGGCAGGTGAGCACTAGGATTTGTTCCTGGTCCCCAGTGGCTCCTGGGTAAGGGGTGAGTTAAATAGGCGAGTGACCCACTCTCACCATGGACCTCCAGAATCCTAACTGCAGGAAACCCCACAACCCCTACGGACATTTAAGCTGACGGAGAGTTGTTCGGAGCAGTGGCGGGGAAAGGACTCCAGCCTTTGCAGAACCCAGAGGGTTTGGCACGGGAATGGCTACAGCAGAGTGCAACCAAGGACACCCATCCCCTAGGGCTCACCACACTCCTCTGGGTGACTTTGGCTTTGTCAACTGTCAGACCTGGACAGAGCAGGGTGGTCTTGCCCTTGGGACAAGGCCAGTCTACCTGAGTGCCCCTGCTCCTCTAATCTGCTGACCTCTCTGGGGGTCCCTTCCTGGCCATGCCCATTTGCAGTGCAGCCACAGATGCCCAATCAGGGTGCTCCCCAGTGGCGGCCAACAAAGCTCCTTTACAGGCCAACCATACCTAACTGCTAGAGAGCTCCAGCAGACTGGCCTCTACCGGTGGGCACCCACAC
Source organism: Homo sapiens (assembly GCF_000001405.40). Taxonomy (NCBI): domain Eukaryota; kingdom Metazoa; phylum Chordata; class Mammalia; order Primates; family Hominidae; genus Homo; species Homo sapiens. The sequence continues at coordinate 13,765,939 of NC_000018.10, forward strand.
ACCCACAGCCTCCTCCCACCACAACCTCCCTGCACCATTTGCCGGCATCCATGGGTGGTCTCACTATCCTGCTCCCACCAGTACCTGACCTCTGCTGACACACGCACACCCCACTGCACTGCCAGTTACACCACAGTCAAACCCTCAAGGGCATCAAAGAAGATAAAAGCAGGCTGGGCACAGTGGCTTACACCTATAATCCCAGCACTTTGGGAGGCCAAGGTGGGCGGATCACAAGATCAGGAGTTCGAGACCAGCCTGACCAACATGGTGAAACCCCATCTCTACTAAAAACACAAAAGTTAGCTGGGCATGGTGACGCATGCCTGTAATCCTAGCTACTCAGGAGGCTGAGGCAGGAGAATCTCTTGAACCTGGGAGGTGGAGGTTGCAGTGAGCTGAGATCACGCCACTGCACTCCAGCCTGGGCAACAGAGCAAGACTCCATCTCAAAAAAAAAAAAAAAAAAAAAAAGAAAAAAAGATAAAAGCAAAATACCCTATCAAAAAAAACCAGCAACTTCAAAAGATTAAAGGAGCACCAGCACACACAGGTGAGAAAGAACCAGCACAAGAATTCTGGCAACTCAAAAAGCCAGAATGTCTCCCTACTTCCAAACAACCACACTAGTAACCCAGCAATGCTTCTTAACCAGGCTCAAATGGCTGAAGTGACAGATACAGAATTCAGAATTTAGATAGGAACAAAAATCATTGGGATTCAAGAGAAAGTCAAAACCCAATCCAAGGAATTGAAGGAATCCAATAAAACAATATGAGACCTGAAAGACAAAATAACCATTTTAAGAAAGAACCAAACAGATTTGCTAGAGCTGAAAAACTCACTGCAAGAATTTCATAAAATGATCAGATTTATTAATAGCAGAATAGATAAACTGAGGAAAGAATCTCAGAGCTTGAAGACCAGTTGTTTGAAACTTAAACAAAAATAGAGAACAAAGAATATAAAAGAATGAACAAAACCTCTGAGAAATATGGGATTATATTAAAAGACCTATGACTCAAACCTATGGCTCACTGGCATCCCTGAAAGAGACAAGAGAGTAAGCAAGTAACTTGGAAAGCATATTTGAGGATCTCATCTACAGAAATTTCCCCAGCCTCACTAGTGAGGTCAACATTCAAATTCAGGAAATGCAGAGAACCCCTGCAAGGTACTATAGAAGACAACCATCCCCAAGACACATAGTCATCAGATTCTCCAATGTCAAGATGAAAAAATATTAAAGGCAACTAGAGAGAAGGGGCAGGTCACCTACAAAAGAAACTCCATCTGACTAACAATGGACCTTTCAGCGGAAACCCTACAAGTCAGAAGAGATTAGGGCCTTATATTTAGCATTCTCAAAGACAAGAAATTCCAACCAAGAATTTCATATCCAGCCAAACTAAGCTTCATAAGTGAAGGAAGATTATTTTCAGACAAACAAATGTTAAAATTCATTACCACCAGACCTGCCTTACAAGAGGTCCTTAAAAGAGTACTAAATATGGAAATAAAATATTGTTAACAGCCACCACATAAACACACTGAAGTACATAGCCCATTGACACTATAAAGCAACCACACAAGTCTGCATAACAACCAGCTACCAGCATGATGACAGGATCAAATCTGCACATATCAATAGTAACCTTGAACATAAATGGGCTAAACACTCCACTTAAAAGACGCAGAGTGTCAAGTTGGATAAAGAAGCAAGACCCAATTGTATGCTGTCTTCAAGAGATCCACCTCATATGCAAATGACACCCATAGGCTCAAAGTAAAGGGATGGAGGAAAATGTATGAAGCAATTTAAAAAAGAACAGGGGTTGCTATTCTAATTTCAGACAAAACAGACTTTAAACCAACAAACATGAAGAGACCAGGGCATTACACAATGATTAAGGGTTCACATCAACAAGAAGAGTTAACTATCTTAAATATGCACCTAACACTGGAACAACCAGATTCATAAAACAAGTTCTTAGAGACCTTCAAAGAGACTTAGATAACCACACAATAAAAGTGGGAGACTTCAACACCACATTAACAGTATTAAACAGATCTTTGAGGCTGAAAACTAACAAAGATATTCCAAGACCTGAACTCAACACTTGAGCAAATGGACCTAACAGACAACTACAGAACACTCCACACAACAACAGAATATACATTCTTCTCATTTGAACATGGCACATACTCTGAAATTGACTATACATTGGCCATAAAACAATTCTCAGAAAGAAAAAAACATGAGAGCAAAAACATATCAATTACACTCTGAGGCCACAGTGCAATATAAATAGAAATCAATATTAAGAAAATCACCCAAAACTATACAATTACATGGAAATTAACCTGTTCCTGAATGACTTTTGGGGAAACTATGAAATTAAGGCAGAAATCAAGAAATTATTTGAAATGAATGATAAAGATACAACGTAGCAGAATCTGGGACACAGCAAAGAGTGTTAAGAGGAAAGTTTACAGTGCTAAACACCCATATTAAAAAGTTAGGAAGATCTCAAATGAACAGCCTCACATCATACCTAGAGGACCTAAAGAAACAAGGCCAAACCAACCCCAAAGCTAGCAAAAGACGAGAAATAACCAAAGTCAGAGCTGAACCAAATGAAATTGAGATGTGAAAAACCATACAAGAGATCAATGCAACCAGAAGTTGGTTCCCTGAAAGAATAAATAAGACTGATAGACTGCCAGCTAGACTAATAAAGAAAAAGAGAAGATCCAAATAAACACATAGATGACAAAGAGGACATTACCGCTGACCCCACAGAAATACAAAAAATCCTCAGAGACTGTTACAAACACCTCTATGTACAAAAACTAAAAAACCTACAAGAAATGGATAAATTCCTGGAAACACACAACCCTTCAAAATTGAACCAGGAAGAAATTGAAACCCTGAACAGATCAATAACAAGTTACAAAATTGAATCAGTAATAAAAAGGCTGCCAACCAGAAAGTCCAGGGCCAGGTGGATTCATAGATGAATTCAACCAGACAGATAAAGAAGGGCTGAGTGGCGGGCGGTGGCTCACACCTGTAATCCAGCACTTTGGGAGTCTGAGGCGGGCAGATCACGAGGCCAGGAGATCAAGACCATCCTGACTAACACGGTGAAACCCTGTCTGTACTAAAAATAAAAAAATTAGCCGGGCGTGGTGGCAGGTGCATACAAAAAATTAGCCAGCATGGTGGCGGGCGCCTGTAGTCCCAGCTACTCAGGAGGCTGAGGCAGGAGAATGGCGTGAACCCGGGAGGCGGAGCTTACAGTGAGCTGAGATCACGCCACTGCACTCCAGCCTGGGCGACAGAGCGAGACTCTGTCTCAAAAAAAAATAAAAATAAAAAAGAAGGGCTGGTACCATTACTACTGAAGCTATTCCAAGAAAAATTGAGGAGGAGGGACTCCTCCCTAATTCATTCTATGAGGCTAGCATCATTCCAGTACCAAAGCCTGGCAGAGACACAACAACAAAAACTTTAGGCCAATATCCTTGATGACTATAGATGCAAAAATACCGAACAAAATACTAGCAAACCAAATCCAGCAGCACATCAAAAAGCTAATCCTAATCCACCACAAAAATGGAGGCTTTATCCCTGGGATGCAAAGTTGGTTCAATGAACACAAATCAATAAATGTGATTTATCACATAAACAGAAATGAAAACAAAAATCTTATGATCATCTCCATAGGTGCAGAAGAGGCTTCCAATAAAATTCATCATACCTTCATGTTAAAAACCCTCAACAGACTAGGCACTGAAGGAGCATACCTCAAAATAATAGAGCCATCTATGACAAACCCACAGCCAACATCACACTGAACAGGGAGAAGCTGGAAGCATTCCCCTAGTGAACCAGAACAAGACAAGGATGTCCACTCTCACCACCCTTATTCAACATAGTACTGGAAGTCCTAGCCAGAGAAATAAGGCAAGAGAAAGCAATAAAAGGGATCCAAATATAAAAGGAAGTCAAACTATCTCTGTTTTCAGATGATGTGATTTTATACCTAGAAAAGCCCATAGTCTTTGCCCAAAAGTTGCTTGATCTGATAAGCAACTTCAGCAAAGTTTTAGTTTACAAAGTCAATGTACAAAAATCAGTAGCATTTCTGTGCACCAACAACATCCACACTGAGAGCTAAATCAGTAACATAACCCCATTCACAATAGCTACAAAAAATTAAAATACCTAGGAAATACAGCTAACCAGGAAGGTGAAAGGTAGCTACAATGAGAAGTACAAACCACTGCTGAAAGAAATCAGAGAAAACACAAATGGAGAAACATTCCTTGCTCATGGAGAGGAAAAATCAACACTGTTAAAAGGGCCATACTGCCCAAAGCAATTTACAGGTTCAGTGCTATTCCTATCAAATGACCAATGACATTTTTTACAGAATTAGAAAAAAAAGTATTCTAAAATTCATATGGAACCAAAAAAGCCTGAACAGCCAAGGCAATCATAAAGAGAACAAAGCTAGAGGCATCACATTACCCAACTTTATACTAGAAGGCTACAGTGACCAAAACACCATGGTGCTGGTACAAAAACAGACACGTAGAGCAATAGAACAAAACAGAGGACCCAGAAGCAAAGTTGCACATCTACAACTACCTGATCTTCAACAAATTTAACAAAAACAAGCAATGTGGACAGGACTCCCTATTCAATAAATAGTGCTGGGATAACTGGCTAGCCATATGCAGGAGATTGAAACTAGACCACTTCCTCACACCATATGCAAAAATCCACTGAAGATGGATTAAAGTCTTCAATGTGAAACCCAAACCTACAAAAACCCTAGAAGAAAACCTGGGAAATACCATTTTGGACATAGGCCCTGGCAAAGATTTCATGATGAAGATGCCAAAAGCAATTACAAAAAAAAAAAAAAGACAAATGGTAACTACACAAAAAACTTTCTGCGCAGTGAATGAAACTATCAACAGAGTGAACAGACAACCTACAGAATGAGAGAAAATATTTGCAAAATATGCACCCAACAAAAGTCTATTATCCAGAGCCTATAAGGAACTTACACCAATTAACAGGCAAAAACCAAACAACCCCATTAAAAAATGGGCAAAAGACACGAACAGACACTTCTTAAAAGAAGACATACAAGAAGCCAGCAAACATAAAAAAATGCTCATCATTACCAGTTATCAGAGAAATGCAAATCAAAACCACAATGATATATCATTTTCACACTAGTCAGAATGACTTTTGTTAAAAAGTTAAAAAAGAAAAAAGATGTTATGAAGCTGCAGATAAAAGGGGGCACTTATACACTGTTGGTGGGAATGTAAATCAGTCCAGCCACTGTGGAAACCAGTTTTGAGATTTCTCAAAGAACTACCATTTGACCTAGCAATCCCATTACTGGATATATGCCCAAAGAAATATAAATTGTTTCACCATAAAAACACATGCATGCGCATGTTTATCATAACACTATCCATAATAGCAAAGACTTGGAATAACCTAAATGCCCATCAATGGTGGACTGGATAAGAAAAATGTAGTACATATACACGATGGAATACTATGCCGTTATAACAAAGAATGAAATCACGTGCTTTGCAGCAACATGAATAGAGGTGGAGGCCATTATCTTAAGCAAATTAACACAGGAACAGAAAACATGTTCTCACTTCTAAGCAGGAGTTAAACATTGAATACACATGAATACAAAGAAAGGAACAGTACATACCAAGGCCTACTTTAAGGTTGGGAGTGGGAGGAGGCTCAAAAAACCTATCTATCAGGGAAGTCCCATTCCGGCTCCCCTCTCTCTTGCAAGAGAGAGAGCTGTTCTCTTTTCTTTTTCTTTCACCTACTAAACCTCCACTCTTAAATCAAAAAACAAACAAACCTACCTATCAGGTACTATGCTTATTACCTGGTTCACAAAATAATCTGTACACCAAACCCCATGACCTGGAATTTACCCATATAACCTGTACATGTATGCCCTGAACCTAAAATAAAAGTTGGAATAAAAAAATGAGCAAATGTTGGTACCATGCATCTTGTACAGACTGCAGAACCATGAGCCAAATAAACCTCTTTTCTTTACAAATTACCTAGCCTCAGATATTCTTTTATAGCAACATTAGATAGATTAAGAATGGAATTGCAGGGTCATAGTACATACATCATGTTCATTTTTAATGAATACTGCCAAACAACTTTCCAAAGTTCCAATTGTCCAACATCTTCAGCAAACTTAGTGGTGTCAGTCTTTCATGTTATTCTGGTAGGCATGTAGTGGTACCTTATGGCATTAGTTTTCATTTCACTGATTATTAATGAGGTTGTGCACTTTTCAGGTGATTATTGGTTTTTGTCCTGGTGTGAAATAGCTGTTCAAACTCTTGCTCACTTTAGGAGGCTGAGGGTTGCTTGTCTTTTTTATACTGACATGTTAATTTTTTAAAATATATTTTTGTGTTCTGTGTACAGTTCCTTTGTTGAATATATTGTGTTGTGAGAATATGTTTAAGGAAAAAAGCTCTTAATTTTAAGGTAGTACATTTACCGATGTTCTTTATAGTAAGCATATTTTGCTTAAATGTTTGTCTGCTCCAAGGTCATGAAATGTTCTGTATTTTCTTCTTTTTTTTCATTTTTTTTATTATTACTATTTTTAGACAGTGTCTCGCTCTGTCACCCACGCTGGAGTGCAGTGACATGATCTTGGCTCACTGCAACCTCCACTTCCCAGGTTCAAGCGATTCTCCTGCCTCAGCCTCCCGAGTAACTGGGACTACAGGCGCATGCCACCACACCCAGTAATTTTTTGGATTTTTAGTAGAGATGGGGTTTCCCCGTGTTAGCCAGGATGGTCTCGATCTCCTGACTTTGTGATCCGCCCACCTCGGCCTCCCAAAATGCTGGGATTACAGGCGTGACCACCGTGCCTAGCCCTCTATGTTTTCTTCTAAACTCTTGTTTTAAATATTTAAATATGAAATCTTACTGAATTGATTTTTGTTGATAGTGTGAGGTAGGGTTTAAGCTAAAAGTTTTTCCTTATGAATTTCCAGTTGGCCCAGCATCATTTTTTTTCTCCAAGCAACATCAGAACAGACCAGCACCATTTGTTGAGAAAAATCATCCCTTCCTTGCTATACCAGTTTTACCTTTGTCATGTGTAAGGTGATCATATATGTGTGAGTATATTTCTGGACTCCATTATGTTCACTGATCAGCTTGTTTCTTCTTACACCAGTAGCATACTGTCTTAATTATTATGTTTTTATAATCAATCTTGATAGTATATTGTGTAAGGCCTCCATATCTGTTTCTTGGTTCTTTGCATTTCCTTCATGATTTTAGAATCAGCTTATAGACAGGGCAATCTTGATATGCATTTGCTGCCACCCACCAAACGCATCATTCAACTGCCTCTGCAGTTTTAACCAGACAACTAAGAGTAATTTATTCCTCTTTTCACCTTAAATGTAACCACTTAAATGAGGCATTCTAAGCTTCCTAACAACACATGAACAAGCAGGACTGAAGCAGCCTCTTGAGGCACAAATCCATAGGTACTTAGGAAATTTAGACATACTTTCTTTATAAGGCCATTCTTGTATGGCTATAAAAAAATACTCAAGACTGGGTAATTGATAAAGAACAGAGTTTTAATTGGCTCACAGTTCTTCAAGCTGTATGGTAAGCATGGCAATGGTGTCTTCTTGGCTTCTCAGGAAGCCTCAGGGAACTTTAAATCATGGTAGAGGGTGAAGTGGGAGCAGGCACATCACATAATGACAGCAGGAGCAAATGAGAAAGAGTTGGTGAAGGGAGAAGTGACCCACATTTTTAAACAATTGCATCTCATGTGAAATCAGAGGGAGAGCTCACTTATCACCAAGGGGATGACCCAAACTAGTAATGAGGAATCAGCCTCCGTAATCTAAACACCTCCCACCAGGCTCCATCTCCAGCATTGGGGATTACAACTCAACGTGAGATTAGGGCAGGAACAAATATCCAAACTGTCATTCTGCACCTGACCTCTCCCAAACATCATGTCCTTCTCACATTGCAAAATAAAATTATGCCTTCCCAATAGTCCCCCCAAGTCTTAACTTACTGCAGCATTAACTGAAAATTCCAAAGTTCAACGTCTCATCTTGGACAAAGCAAGTTCCTTCCAACAGTGAGCCTGTAAAATAAAAAACAAGCTATTTACAATGGGAGTATAGGCATTGCATAAACATTCCTGTTCTAAAAGGGAAGATCTGGCCAAAAGAAATGGGGCTACAAGCCCCACACAAGTCTGAAACCAAGCAGGGCAGTCATTAAATCACAAAGCTCCAAAGTCATCTCCTTTGACTCCATATCCTACATCCAGGGCACACTGGTGCAAGAGGTGGGCTCCTGTATTAGTCCATTTCTTACACTGCTATAAACCTACTACCTAAGACTGGGTGATTTATAAACAAAAGAGCTTTAATTGACTCACAGTTCTGCATGGCCGGAGAGACCTCAGGAAACTTACAATCATGGCAGAAGGTGAAGGGAAAGCAAGGTATATCTTACTTAGTGGCAAGAGAGACAGCGTAAGGGGGAACTGCCAAACACTTTTAAGCCATCAGATCTTGTGAGAACTCACTTACTATGATGAGAACAGCAAGGGGGAAACTACCCCCATGACCCAGTCACCTCCCACCAGGTCCCTCCCTTGACATGTTGGGATTACAATTCAAGACGAGGTTTGGGTGGGGACACAGACCAAACCACACCGGTTCCACAGGCCTTGGACAGCTCTGTCCCTGTGGCTTTGCAGGGTGCAACTCTCCCAGCTGCTCTCACAGTCAGGAGTTGAGTGCCTGTGACTTTTCCAGGCACAGAGTGCAAATTGCTGGTGCATCTATGATTCTTGGGTCTGGAGGGTGGTGGCCCCCTTCTGACAGCTCCATTAGGCAGTACCCAGTGGAATCTCAGTGTGGGACTCTAATCCCACATTTTCCCTTGTCACTGCCCTAGTAGAGGTTCTCTGTGATAGTTCTGCCCTTGCAGCAGGCTTCTGCCCGGACACCTAGGCTTTTTGATACATCCTCTGAAATCTAGGTGGAGGCTGCCAAGCCTCATTCACTCTCACATTCTGTGCACCCGCAGGCTTAACACCACATGAAAGCCATAAAGGCTTATGGCTTGCATTCTCCAAAGTGGCAGCCTGAACTGGCCCCTTTAAGCCCTTACTGGAGCTGCAGTCGCCTGGATGCAGGTAGCAGTGTCCTGAGATTTCACAGTACAGCAATGACCTGGCTCTGGCCCATGAAACCATTCAGCCCTCCTAGGCCTCAGGGTTTGTGATGGGGGGTGCTGCTGCCAAGGTCTCTGAAATGCCATTAAGGCCTTTTCCTTATTTTCTTGGCTATTAGCACTTTACTCCCTTTTAGTAATGCAAATTTCTCTAGCAAGTCGTTGCTCCACAATCTGCTTGAATTCCTCTCTCTCAGAAATTGCTCTCTCTCTCTGAGAAATTCCTTCCAATGGATACCCTAAATCGTCATTTTGAAGTTCAAACTTCCACAGATCCTTAAGGCATGAATGCAGTGCAGGCAGGTTCTTCGCTAAGGCCTAACATGCACGACCTTTTCTCCAGTTCCCAGTAAATTTCCCATTTCCATATGAGACCTTGTCAGCCTGGAGTTCACTGTTCATATCACTATCAGCATTTTGGTCACAACCATTTTACCAGTCTCTAAGAAGTTGAAAACTTTCCCTCACCTTCCTGAGCCCTCCAAACTCTTCCAACTTCTGCCCTGTACCTAGTTCCAGAGTCACTTCCACATTTTAAGGTATCTTATAGCAATGCCCCACTCCTTGGTACCAATTTTTTATGTTAGGCCTTTCTTGAATTGCTATAAATACCTGAGACTGGGCAATTTATTTTAAAAGAGGTTTAATTGGCTCACAGTTATGCAGACTGTACAGAAATCATGGCAATGGTATCTGCTCAGCTTCTGGGGAAACCTCAGGGAGCTTTCAATCATGGCAGAAGGCAAAGTGCGAGTTGGCACATCATATGGCAAAAGCAAGAGCAAGAGAGAGATAGTGGTGGGGAGGTGCCCCACACTTTTAAACTACCAGATCTTATGTGAACTTAGAAACGAGAGCTCACTTATCACCAAAGGGATGGCCCAAGCCATTCATGAGGGATCTGCTCTTATGATCCAGTCACCACTCATCAGGCCCCATCTCCAACACTGGGGATTACAATTCAACATGAGATTTGGGTAGGGCAAATATCCAAACTATATCACTTTCCCTTATCAACCATGGCTTCTCAGATTTAAAGGTAGATTTCCTACCACCCTTATCAGTGGGATACAATTTACTTTGTAAAAGCAAACACTCGGGGAGTAGTCAGCAAAGAGCAATTGGCCACTTACATAAAGGTTAGATGTCAGGAGGTAATAAGCCTGCAGAAAGAATTGTAAAGGCAGAAATGTCACAGCCTGGCTTGTAACTCTTTTTTTTCTTCAAGACGGAGTTTCACTCTTGTTGCCCAGGCTGGAGTGCAATGACATGATCTCAGCTCACTGCACCCTCTGCCTCCCAGGTTCAAGTGATTCTCCTGCCTCAGCCTCCTGAGTAGCTGGAATTACAGGCACGCACCACCGCGCCTGGCTAATTTTTTGTATTTTTAGTAGAGACGAGGATTCACCATGGCCAGGCTGGTATTGAACTTCCGACCTCAGGTGATCTGCCCACCTCAGCCTCCCAAAGTGCTGGGATTACAGGTGTGAGCCACCATGCCTGGCAGCTTTTCTCCAGACAACTTTTCATATTATTTATAACTATTAATTTTTCCAGCAATGGCAATCCAATCATACCAGTAAATTGAATAGAATTTTTAAGAGTTTTTTCCCAAGATTTTTTTCTTTCTTTCTTTTTGGCATGTATTACTTCTCCTAAACTGGTAATAAAATGAAGTTACCACTATATGCAAATACATTGCTCTTCTCACAAAAGCGAATATATCACTTTTAATCACATGGTAAATGTTTTCACTATTTTTTTTTTTTTTAAGAGATAAGGTCTTGCTCTGTCGCCTAGGCTGGAGCACAGTGGTACGGTCATAGATCACTGCAGTCTTGAATTTCTCAGCTCAAGCAATCCTCTTGCCTTAGCCTCCCAAATAGCTAGGACTACAGGCACATGCCATCACACCTAGCTAATTCAAAAAATTTTTTGTATAGACAGGGGTCTTGCTATGTTGTCCAGGCATGTTGCAAACTTCTGGCCTCAAGCTATGCTCCCACCTCAGCAGTTGAAAGCACTGGGATTACAACCATAAGCCACTGTGTCAGGCCTTTTCCATTATGTGATGATAATAGTGATAGCTAATATTTTAAAGCAGATACCATTAATTACATCATCTTTTAACTCTTGCCAGCATTAATACAAAATAAATGCTGTATTATAATTATTATTATTTTTTCTTTTTCTTTTTGAGACGGAGTCTTGCTCTGTCCCCCAGGCTAGAGTGCAGTGGCGTGATCTTGGCTCACTGCAAGCTCCGCCTCTCGGGTTCACGCCATTCTCCTGCCTCAGCCTCCTGAGTAGCTGGGACTACAGGTGCCCGCCACCACGCCTGGCTAATTTTTTTTTTCTTTTTTTGTATTTTTAGTAGAGATGGGGTTTCACCGTGCTAGCCAGGATGGTCTCGATCTCCTGACTTCATGATCCACCCGCCTCAGCCTCCCAAAGTGCTGGGATTACAGGTGTGAGCCACCATGCCCAGCCTATTATTATTTTTTTAATGATGCTGATGAAGAAAACAAAGTTGAATGGAGCTAAATGGCCCAAACTCAATGAATGAGTGTTGATGCTGAACTTCCATCCAGACTTGTGAGAATACAAACCCAAATTTCCTAACCTCACTATATTGTGTGTATTGACTATGTATTTATGGTCATCTGAACTCCAAGAAACCTTTAGAAATTATACAGTCTTGCACCTTTACTAGGGAGCATTTGAAAGTGAACACTTAAAGCATCAGATGGATGAACATGGATTTAAATTTAGCACCAGATATTGAGATCTCTTGGTGAACTACTCATGATTTATCAAAGAGGCATTCCAAGAATAATTATTGTTATTTACATTAAGTCTTCATTCTGGAATTTTACTGTACATGACAGATAATTAATTTTACACTGTATTGGCTGAATGGTATTAGAACTTTTCCAGATTTTTCTTTTTTAGAAAACTTAAACAGAAATATTTTGAACAACACAGGTTTGAACTGTGAGGATCCACTTTTCTGCAGATTTTTTTCAACCAAACATGGATTGAAAATACAGTATTCACGAGATGTGAAACCCACATATACAAAGGGCTGACTTTTCATGTACACAGGTTCTACAGAGTTAACTCCGGGACTTGAGTATGCAGGGATTTTGGTATACTTGAGAAGTCCTAGAACCAATCTCCCATGTTTACTAAGGGATGACTGTATATAGTCTTTCAAATTTCTTATATGATAGAATATAATTTTAAGTTATGTATGTTTAATTTAGATCAACATATTAAAGTCCTATAAATGTTGTTTATAATGTCTTTCATATATAGAAGGATATTTTTTTCTAGTTTTTTTCATTTACTAAGTCAAATGCCTTTATTTTAAATCATGAAAATATTAGTATAATTTGTTAAATATCATTTGAAATGATACAGTTTTTGGTTTGGGTACAAAATATATATTAAAATATATTTAACTTTTAATTTTTAAAATATATTTTACAGGTTATGCCATTAACTTAACATATATTTTTAAAGTTAATGGCATAACCTGTAGAATTAATGGCAATTTCAATCTGTCCACATATGTTCTAAAAAACACACAGGTGGCCAGGTGCAGTGGGTCACTCCTGTAATCCCAGCATTTTGGGAGGCTGAGGCTGGTGGATCACAAGGTCAGGAGCTCAAGACCAGCCTGGCCAAGATGGTGAAACCCTGTCTCTACTAAAAATACAAAAATTAGCCAGGCATGGTGGCGGGTGCCTGTAATCCCAGCTACTTGGGAGGCTGAGGCAGGAGAATCGCTGGAACCCGGGGGGCAGAGGTTGCAGTGAGCCAAGATTGCACCATTGCACTCCAGCCTGGGCGACAGAGTGAGAATCTGTCTCAAAAAAAAAAAAAAAAAAAAAAAAAAGAACAAAACAAAAAACAAACAAAAAAATCCCCCACATAGGCTAACAAGAAGAGTAAATAAAAATTACCCATAGCTCACACATACAGCTTAACTAGGAGACAGAATACTATATAAACTACAGTTTCCATTGAAGTAGTTGGAGGTTGGGGTGGCGTAAATAGAAATAGCTCCAGAGTCTACACCAGAGCAGTTTCAGAAGGAGACAGTACATAAAATAGAGAGGGCAGTAATAAAATAACCATCAGAAATTGAGAGTGCCACCCTGAGTAGACGAATGATGAAAACAATAAATTTCTTCCGTGGACTCATGAAAACAGCTATTATCTGGCAAGCCCAGCAGGTGGGCCAGGGTACAGAATGACCACTGGTAAATTTAGATAGTGACAATGCATAAAGAAAGTCATCAGAATGATTTGATAAAAAAGACTTAGTGGAGGCGGAGTAGAAAACAGGTTTGAAGCTGGGCGCGGTGGCTCATGCCTGTAATCCCAGCACTTTGGGAGGCTCAGGCAGGTGGATGACGAGGTCAGAAGTTTGAGATCAGCCTGGCCAACATGGTGAAACCCTGTCTCTACTAAAAATACAAAAATTAGCTGGGCGTGGTGGTGCGCATCTGTAATCCCAGGTACTCAGGAGTCTGAGGCAGGAGAATTGCTTGAACTGGGGAGGTGGAGGTTGCAGTGAGCCAAGATTGCACCACTGCACTCCAGCTGTGGGCAACAGAGCAAGACTCCATCTTGGGAAAAAGAAAAAAAGAAAGAAAGAAAGAGAGAAAGGAAGGAAGGAAGGGAGGGAGGGAGGGAGGGAAGAAAGAAAGAAAATAGGTTTGATTGTTGGAGAAGATCTCAAGAGGTAGCATTTGAGCTCAGACCCGAATAATCATATAAGGCAAGAATGCCCCAGTCTAGGAGAATAGCAAATGCAAAAGCTTAAGTCAAGAATAAGACTGCAATTTCAGAAAATGAGAGTAAGTTATTTGAGTTAATTGAGTAAAGTGATGAGTGTTATATAATGGATGCATAGAGATAGGCAGGGACCAGGTAATGTAAGACCCTGTAGGTGGTGGAAAAAGTCTGGATATTTTTCTGAAGTCAATGGAAAGCCACAAGGGGTTTATGAGATATGAATGTAATCATCCATTCTATGTTTTTGGTAACCAAAGCAGCAGGATATTGGTATAAAAATAGATACATTGACCAATGGATCAGAATGGAGAACTGAGAAATAAAGCCACATATTTACAGCCAACTCATCTTCAACAAAGCCAACAAGAACTTACATTGGGGAAAGGGCACCCTCTTCAATACGGTGCTGAGAAAATTGGAGAGCCAGTTGCAGAAGAATGGCGCTGGACCCTTATCTCTCATCATATACAAAAGTCAGCTCAAGATGGATTAAAAACTTAAATGTAATAACTGGAACTTTAAAAATACTAAAACCTAGGAAAAACTCTTTTGGACATTGGTCTACGCAAAGAATTTATGACTAAGACCTCAAAAGCACAGGCAACAAAAACAAAAATAGACAAATGGGACTTAATTAAACTAAAAAGCTTCTGCACACAAAAAGAAATAACAGAGTAAGAGACAATTTGTTGAATGGGAGAAAATATTTGCAAACTGTTCATTCAACAGAATACTAATATCCAGAATATACAAGAAACTCAACAGGAATTCCATTAAAAAGTGGGCAGAGGGGCCGGGTGCGGTGGCTTATGCCTGTAATCCCAGCACTTTGGGAGGCTGAGGCGGGTGGATCACGAGGTCAGGAGATCGAGACCATTCTGGCTAACATGGTGAAGCCCCATCTGTACTAAAAATACAAAAAATTAGCCGGGCTTGGTGGCGGGCACCTGTAGTCCCAGCTACTCAGGAGGCTGAGGCAGGAGAATCGCTTGAACCCAGGAGGCAGAGGTTGCAGTGACCTCAGATCATGTCACTGAACTCCAGCCTGGCAACAGAGCAAGACTCCATCTCAAAAAAAAAGTGGGCAAAGGATACGCATAGACATTTCTCAAAAGAAGACATACAACTGGCCACCAGGTATATGAACAAATGCTCAACATCACTATCAAAGAAATTCAAATGTCAATAAATTTTAAAGTATTAAAATCATATACAATATTTTTCTACCACAACAGAAATTTATAAAAGAAGAAAATTTGGGAAATCCACAAATATTTGGAAATTAATACACTTTTATTTTCATGGACCAAGAGAGAAATCACAAAATATATTAAGTGGAATGGAAAAAACACATCAAGACACATGGGATGCAATGATAGCAGTACTTAGAGGGAAATTTATAGCTACAAATACATATTAGAAAATACGGATGTCACATCAATAAACTAAGCTTTCACTCAGTAACTGGGAAAAAAAACTAAACTCAAGACAAGAAGAAAGAAGCAAATAATAAAGATTAGAGTGAAAAATCAATGAAATAGATAACAGAGAAGCAATAGAGAAAGTTGGTGAAATTAAAAATTAGTTTTTTAAAAAATTCAACAAAACTGACAGATCTTTAGCTAGACTGATCAAGAAAAAAAGACAAATTAGTAAAATGAGAAATGAGAGGACTTCACTATCAAATTTATAAAAATTAAGGGACTATAGTGGAATAACATGAACATATTTAGGTCAACAAATTGGACAACTTAGATGGAATAGACTAATTTCTCCAAAGATAAAAATACACTCAAAATACTAAAAATGACTCAAGAAGAATGAGAAAATCTGACTAGTAAAAAAAGGTAATCAGTGCCTTAAAATCTCACCAAAAAAGCCCAGGCCCAGATGGTTTCACTGGTGATTTCTCTCACATTTAGAGAAATAATACTAACCCTTTATAAACTCTTCCAGAATAGAAAGGAGAAGGGAACAATTCCCATCTCATTCTATGAAGATAGTATTTGCATATCAGAGGCAAAAAAAGGGCATTATTTTTTAAAAACCTACGGACAAATATTTCTTACAAATGTAGATGCACAGATCCTCAACAAATCACTAACAAGCAGAATGCGGCAGCATATACAAAGAATTGTACACCATGATCAAGTGGAATTTATTCCATAGTGCAAAGGTGACTTAATATCTGAAAAGTAATATATTGCACTGTACTAATAGAATGAAAGATAAAACCACATAATCATCTCAATAGATGAAGCATTTTTACAAAATCCAACATCCCTTCATGATGACACTCAGTAAAACTGGAATAGAAGGGAGCCTCTTTAATCTGATAAAAGCATCTACAAAAACCTACAGCTAACATTATAACTAAAGATAAAAGAAAATAAGAAACGAGGCAAGGATGCTCAATCTCATCACTCCTATTTAACATGGTACTGCAGGTTTTAGCCAGTGTAATCAAGCAAGAAAATCAGATATGTATAGATAATCCTTGGAAATTCACAAAACTGTGAGTTCAGCAAAGTTACATGATACAAAATCAATATGCAAAAGTATTTGTATTTCTATGTCTTAGCAATGAACAAATTAAAGATGAAACTGAGAAAAAATGTAATCGACAATAATAATAATGCAGGAATAAATGTAACAAAGTGTAAGGCTTGTACACTGAAACTATAAAAAGTATTGCTGAGGGAATTAAAGATCTAAATAAGTGGAGGGATATTTCATGTTCGTGGATTGGAATGCTCAGTATTGTTAAGATGTCAGCTCTCCTCAAATTAATCTATGGATTCAACATAATACGCATAGAAACTCCAGCAGGCTTTTTTTTTTTTTTTGCAGAAATTAACAACCAGATCTGAAACTCTATAAATTAATGCAAATGACCCAGCATAGTCAAAACAATTCATAAAAGGAACAAAGTGAAAGAACTTATACTTCTTGATTTAAAAAATTACTATAATTCCAAATAAGACAATGAGTGTGGTATTGGAATAAAGATAGACATCCAGATCAATAGAATGAAATGTAGAGTACAAAAATAAACCCTTATATTTAGGTCCATTGATTTTCAAGAAAGGTGCCAACACATATGGGGAAAGAATAGTCTTTTTGACAAATAATGATGAAACAGTTTTAAATCTTACCTCACACTATATGCAAAAATTAATTCCAAATGGATTTAAAACCTAGTTTAGGAACTGAAACCATAGGATCTTTAGAAGAAAACATAGAGAAAAATCTTCATGACCTTGGGTCAATCAAAGGTATTTTGGATATGACACTAAAAGAATACATTACAAAAAAATTGACAAATTGGACTTTGTCAAAATTTAAAACTTTGTGCATCAGACAATGTCATTAAGAAAATAAATAGACAATCTACATAACGGTAAAAAATATGTGCAAATAATATTTATGACAAAAGTCTTCTATTCAGAATATACAAAGAACTTTTACAACTCAATAATAAGGCAAACAGTCTTGTTTACAAATAGCCAAAATATTTGAATAGACATTTCACAAAAGATATGAATGGCAAAAAGCACAGGAAAAGATAGTCAACATCATTAATCATTCAGAGATTCAAATTAAAACACAACACAATAACACTTTTCACCCGTTAGAATGGCATAATCAAAATAGACAGTACTAAGTATTGGGGAAGATATAGAGAAAAAGGAGCTCTTGGCTGAGTGCAGTGGTCAAGCCTGTAATCCCTGCACTTTGGGAGGCTGAGGCTGGAGGACCACGAGGTCAGGAGGTCGAGACCAGCCTGGCCAACATGGTGAAATCCTGTCTCTACTAAAAATACAAAAAATAGCTGAGCATGGTGGCGGGCATCTGTAATCCCAGCTACTCGGGAGGCTGAGGCAGGAGAATCATTTGAACCCCGGAGGCAGAGGTTGCAGTGATCCCAGATCGCACCATTGCACTCCAGCCCGGGTGACAGGTGATAGGGCAAGACTTCGTCTCAAAAAAGAAAAAAGAAGAAGAAAAATAAAAAGGAGCTGTCATACACTGCTGATGGGAATGTAGAATGGCACAGCCACCACTTTGGAAAGCAGTTTAACATTTTCTTAAAATGTTAAACATAAATTTACCATATGACCCAGCAATTCCACTCCTGGATATCTACCCAAAGAAAATGAGAACATATGTCCACACAAAGACTTGTTTAGGAATCATAACAGCTAAAAGCATTATTCACGACAGCTAAATGCACATGTCCATCACGTGGTGAATAGATAAACAAAATATGATATATCCTTATAATGGAATATCATTAAATAATAAGAAGGAGCTAACTTGTTATCCACGGGTGAACCTCAAAAACATGCTAAATGAAAAAAGTTGGATTTGAAACATTACATATTATATGATTCTATGTACAGGAAATGTCCAGAAAGACAAGTCTACAGAGCAGATATCAACAAACATTTGGCATAAAGGGCAATACAGTAAATATTTTAGGTTCTGTTGGCCATAAAACAAAGCTCTCTTACAACTATTCAATTCTGCATTTTTCAGGAGAAAGCAGCCACAACATATATGTAAATGAATGGGCAGAACTGTGTCTCCGTAAAACTACAGTTGATCCTTGAACAACACAAGTTTGAGCTGTGTGGGTCTACTTATACATGAATTTTCTTTCACCTCTGCTACTCCTGAGACAGCAAGATCAACCCCTCCACTTCCTCCTCCTCAGCCTACTCAATATGAAGATGACAAGGATAAAGACTTTTATGATAGTCCACTTCCACTTATTTGTGATAGTCCATACTATTATGAATAGTAAATATACTTTCTCTTCTTCATGATTTTCTTTATAATGTTTTCTCTAGCTTACTTTATTTAAGAATATAATAGATAATACATATAACGTGCAAAGTGTATGTTAATCAACTATTTATTTTATTAGTAAGGCTTCCAGTCAACAGTAGGTTATTAGTAGTTATGGAGTCAAGTTATATGTGGATTTTTGACTGTGCATGGAGTTGATGTCCCTAACCCCTACATTGTTCAAGCATCAATTATATTCATAAAAACAGGCCACAGACTGGATTTGGCCCATGACAGTAGTTTGCAGACTCCTGCTATAGAGGAAAGAGTACATTAATGGTTGTCTGGAGCTGGGTGGGGGTGAGGAGGGTGACAACTGCAAGTAATTGAAAAAGGTGAAGGGGAATATTTTGCAGATAACAGGAGTTGCAAACTACTATTAAAGAAGAGCAAGAGGAGAAAAGTCAAAGAAGAATATGCAACAGAGAGGATTCTGTGAAGACAATGGAGTAGGAAGCACCAGGAGTAATCTCACATGCCCAGGGAAAGGCACAGACTCAGAAAATACCTAAGAAATCTTTAAGTTTACACCTCAAGCTAATCCTTGGCACAGAGACAGCCTACAATAATAAAAATCAATACACAAATAAAAACAATAACAAAAAAACCCCCACAGTTCTCTCTCCGTGCAGCAGTCTCCTCTCTGGTGGGGTGCCTGGAAGTGCTCCAGCCACTCTGACTCCCAGCTCTGCCTGACTCCTGGCTAGCTGGCTAGCCCAACTAGCAGCCTGCCTCCCTGAACTTCCAACTCTGCTCCTCAACTCAAGGAGGCTGCCTGTGTTCCCAGCTCTGTGCCATATCCTGGGAACTCTCTAAGCAATAAAACTGAGGCAATCATAGGACTCACCCGGATAGTGAACGTTGTACCAAATAGGTAGTTTTTCAGTCCTTGCCCTGGCCCTCCCTCCCTCCCTACTTTTGGAATCCTCAGTCTCTACTGTTCCCATCTTTATGTCTGTGTGTACCCAAGGTTTAGGTCCCACTTATAAGCGAGAACATGCAATATTTGGTTTTCTGTTTCTGCATTAATTCTCTTAGGGTAATGGCTCCCAGTTGCATCCATGTTGTTGCAAAGGACAAGATTTCATTTTTTATGGCTGCATAGTATTCCACAGTGTATATATACCATATTTTCTTTTTTTTTAATTATTGTACTTTAAGTTTTAGGGTACATGTGCACAACGTGCAGGTTTGTTACATATGTATACATGTGCCATGTTGGTGTGCTGAACCCATTAACTCGTCATTTAGCATTAGGTGTATCTCCTAATGCTATCCCTCCCCCCTCCCCCCACCCCACAACAGTCCCCAGTGTGTGATGTTCCCCTTCCTATGTCCATGTGTTCTCATTGTTCAATTCCCACCTATGAGTGAGAACATGAGGTGTTTGGTTTTTTGTCCTTGCAATAGTTTGCTGAGAATGATGGTTTCCAGCTTCATCCATGTCCCTACAAAGGACATGAACTCATCATTTTTTATGGTTCCATAGTATTCCATGGTGTATATGTGCCACATTTTCTTAATCCAGTCTATCATTGTTGGACATTTGGCTTGGTTCCAAGTCTTTGCTATTGTGAATAGTGCCACAATAAACATTCGTGTGCATGTGTCTTTATGGCAGCATGATTTATAATCCTTTGGGTATATACCCAGTAATGGGATGGCTGGGTCAAATGGTATATACCATATTTTCTTTATCCAATCCACCATTGACAGCCACCTAGGTTAATTCCATGTCTTTACTTGCTTTTTAGAATCAATTCCTTACCCATACTTTTTCAAAGTTGTTTAGTTTTTTTCTAGCCTTTTGAAATGAATGCTCAATTCAGTGATTTTAATATATTGTGTATAAATATTACCTCCTTTAAGGCTATGAATTAGCCTCTGAAAACAGCTATATAGTCAGCCCTTCATATCCATAGGTTCTGCATCTGTAGAGTCAACCAATTGTGGATCAAAAATATTTGGGGAAAAATGATGGTTGCATCTATACTGAACTTGTACAGACTTTTTTTTCTTGTCATTATGCCCTAAATAATAGAATATAGCAAATATTTGTAAAGCATTTACATTGTATTAGGTATTATAAGAAATCTAGAGATGATTTACAGTATACAGGAGGATGTGCATAGGTTATATGCAAATACTGTACCATTTTACATCAGGCACTTGAGCATCCATGGCTTTTGGTATCCGTGGGGAGTCCTGGAACCAATTCCCCATGAATACACAGAGACAACTGTATTAGCGTATTGGTTGTTATGCTTCAAGCTACAAGGAATGGAAAACAACTACAAGTAGCTTAAACAAGAGAGAATTATTATCCCATTGTATTAACTATATTTTGTTATCTTCTGCATTCATGATAATCTGGCATTTGAGGCCTTGATGCTGGAGAAACTGCCCCTCCTAGGATTAGCTCGTTCCTAAAAAGCAAATGACTCCCCTGCAATCACACCTTTTTTATACAAACCAACCGATCCAGAGCCCACAGTTATACCTACTTCATAGGACTGGTGTAAGGAGTAAATGATTATGTGTGTATGCATATATGGGTGTATGTATGTATGTATGTATGTATCTGTCTGTCTATCTATCTATCTATCTATCTATCTATCTATCTATCTATCTATCTATCATCATCATCTCTATGTATAGGCCAAGTTAAAAACATATAGTGGATTCTCAATGTTTATTTCATTCTCCCTTTTATAGTTGTAGCTAATATAAAATCAAAAACTTTTCACATCTTGATTCTTTTTAACAACAGTTATTTGAGATATACTCCACATAATAAAAATTCACCCTTTTAAAGTTTATAATACAGTGTTTTCTTAGTATATTCACAGAGTTGTGCAACCATAACCACTAATTTTAAAACATTTTAAGCACCCCAAAAAGGAACCCTGCACCCATAAGCAGTAAGTCCCTTTTTTCCCCTCTCCTAGCACCCGGCCACCATTAATGTACTTTCTGTCTTTATGAATTTGCCTATTCTGGACATTTTATATAATTGGGATCATACACTATGTGGCCACTGTAACTGGAGGAGATTTTTATTGGACTTGTGCTGAGTCTGTAGGTCCATTTGGAGAGGATTGCCACATTGGTAATATTGTGTGTTCTTATGCATGCATGTGGGATATCTTTCCATTTATTTAGATCTTTAATTTCTTTCAACAATATTTTGTAGTCATTAGTGTACAAGTGTTAGACTATTTGTTAAATTTATTCCTAAGTGTTTTATTCTTTTTGTTGCTATTGTAAGTGTAATTGTTTTCTTAAATTTTCAATTATTCATTGCTAGGATACAGAAATACAATTGACTTTTGTATATTATTTTGTACCTGCACTTTTGCTGGACTTATTTTTTTAGTTCTAATAGCTTTTTAGTGGATTTCTTAAGATTTTCTGTATACAAGATTATGTTATGTGTAAACAGAGATAGTCTCACCTCTTCTTTTCTTATCTGGATACCTTTTATTTCTTTTACTCGTCTAATTGTCCTGGCTGGAACCTCCAGAGCAGTTTTGAATAGAAATGGCAAGGGTGAACATGCTTGTCTTTTTCCTGAGCTTTGGGGGAAAGCATTCAGTCTCATCATTAAATATGATGGTGGCTGTTTTCATAGATGTCATTAGTGAGGCTGGGGATGTTCACTTGTCTTTCTAGTTTGTTGAGTGCTTTTGATCATGAAAGGGTGTTGGATTTTGTCAAATAGGTTTTCTGCATTGATTGAGATGATCATTTGATTTTTTTCCTTGTTCTATTAATGTGGAATATTGCATTGATTGGTTTTCATATTTTGAACCACCCTTGCATTCCTGGGATAAATCCCACTTAGTCATGATGTATAATTTTTTTAATATGCTGCTGGACTTGGTTTGCTGGTATCATGTTGAGGACTTTTTATGTCTTTATTCATAAGAGATATTGGTCCATCTCTTATGTTTTTCTTGTGATGTCTTTGACTATCAGGGAAATATTAGCTTCATAGAATAACGTGGGAAGTGTTCCCTCCTTTCTTATTTTTTTGAAGAGTTTGTGAAGGACAGATGTTAATTCTTCTTAAGCCATTTGGTATAATTTATCAATGAAATGATCTAAGCTGGGGTGGGAAGTTTTTTGATTACTATTTAAATATCTTCACTCATTACAGGTTATTCAGATTTCCTATTTCTATTTCTTCTTGTGTCAATCTCAGTAATTTGTGTCTTTGCAGGAATTTGTCCATTTCATCAAGGCTATCTAATATTTTGTCATGTGTTGTTCATAGTATTCCCTTATGCTTCATTTTTATTTCTGCAAGGTTGGTAGTGATGTCCCTCCCTTTCATACTAATTTTAGTAACTTGTCTTTTTTCTTTTTCCCTTGGTCAATCTACCTAAAGGTTTGCCAATTTCATTGCTCTTTTTAAAGAACCAACTTTTGCTTTCGTTGATTTTCTCTGTTTGTCTAGTCTCTAGTTCATTTCTTGTCACTCTAGCCCTTATTACTACTTCATTATTTCCTTCTGCTTATTTTGGTTTTGTTTGCTGTTTCTCTAATTCCTTAAGGTATAAAGTTAGGTTTTGTTTTTTTTCCCTTGGTCAGTCTAACTAAAGGTTTGCCAATTTCATTGCTCTTTTTAAAGAACCAACTTTTGCTTTCATTGATATTCTCTGTTGTTTGTCTAGTCTCTAGTTCATTTCTTGGCACTCTCGCCCTTATTATTACTTCATTATTTCTTTCTGCTTATTTTGGTTTTGTTTGCTATTTCTCTAATTCCTTAAGGTATAAAGTTAGGTTTTTGATTCCCAAATCTTTCTTTTCTAATATAGGCATTTTCAGTTATAACTTTTCTTATCCTAATTACTGCTTTTACTGTATCCCATAAATTTTTGTATGCAGTGTTTTTGTTTTTATTCATCTAAAAGTATTTTCTAATATCCATTTTGATTCATCCTTTTATCCATTGGCTACTGAAGAGTGTATTGTTTAATTTTCACATATCTATAAATTTCCCAAAATTTCTTCTGTGATCAATATCTAATTTTATTCCATTGTAGTTGGGCCATATACTTGGCATGATTAAAATCCTTTTAAGTTTATTAAGACTTGTTTTATGGCATAACATATGATCTTTCTGGAAAATATTCCATGTGCACTTAAAAAGCTGTGCATTCTGCTATTATTGTGTGAAGTGTTCTGAATAGGTGTGTTAGGTCTAGTCAGTTGATCGTGTTCAAGTCTTCTACTTCCCTGTTAATTTTCTTCCTAGTTGATCTATCCATTATTGAAATTGGGGTATGGAAGCCTCCAACTTTTTTTTTTTTTTTTTTTGAGACAAGGTCTCACTCTGTCCCTCAGGCTGGAGTGCAGTGGTGTGATCATGGCTCACTGCAGCCTCAACCTCCTGGGCTCAAGCGATCATCCCACCTCAGCTTCCCGAGTAGCTGGGACTACAGGTGTGCACCACCAAGCCCAGTTAATTTTTTGTATTTTTAGTAGAAATGGGGTTACACCCCGTTTCTACTAAAAATACAAAAAATATTAGCCAGGCATTGTGGTGGGTGCCTGTAGTCCCAGCTACTCAGGAGGCTGAGGCAGGAGAATGGCGTGAACCCGGGAGGCGGAGCTTGCAGTGAGCCAAGACCGTGCCACTGCACTCCAGCCTGGGCGACAGAGCAAGATTCCATCTCAAAAAAAAAAAAAAAAAAAAAAGAAAAGAAAAGAAATGGGGTTACACCACATTGCCCGGGCTGGTCTTGAACTCCTGGGCTCAAGTGATCCACCCACCTTGGCCTCCCAAAGTGCTGGGATTACAGGCATGAGCCACCACGCCTGGTGCCTCGAACGATTATTGTTGAATTGTGTATTTCTCCCTTTATTTCTGTGAGTTTTGCTTCATGTATTTGGGGGCTCTGTAGTTAGCGTGTAAGTGTTTATAGTTATGTCGTTCCAATAGATTGACACCTTTACTATTGTAAGATGTCTTCTTTGTCTTTAGTAACAATATTTGTCTTAAAGTCTGTTTTGTCTGGTACAAGTATAGCCACTGCAATTCTCTTTTTCCTTATAACAGCTTTATTGAAATATAATGCATATATCATATAATTCACCCATTTAAAGTATAAAATTCAATGGGTTTTAGTTTAATCTGCGCATACAGACTTGTGGAATCTTCACCAGGTTCAATTTTAGAACATTTGTGTAACTCCAAAAAGCAAACCAGCTCACTGCCGCCTCGACTGCCAGGGCTCAAGTGATACTCCTGCCTCAGCCTCCTAAAGCACCAGGATTACAAGCATGAGCCATCACGCCCAGCCAAACAAAAAGCTTATGCTAGGTTGCTGGTTTCTGACAGCATTTCAAGCAGCCCTCAAGCTGCTGCCGCCATACCATGACTGTGAGGGGAGGGATGTTTAAAGCTAAATGAACGGGTGTGAGATTCCATTGCGTCACAGTCCATCGAATGCATTGAAGTGTTGTAAGTGTAACTCAGTGAATCACCAAGCAGAGAACACACCCATGTAATCACCCTCGTCAAGAAACAGAACACCAGAAGCCTCCCTCATGCACTCCCACAACCACTATTCTCTTTCTGCCAAAAGTTACTCTACTCTGACTTCTAATGCCATAACTTAGTTTTCCCTGGTTATTAACTTCGGATAAATAGAACCATATGGCGTGTAATCTTTTAAGTCCGGTTTCTTTTGTCCAATATTATGGTTGTGAGATTCATCCATATTGTTATGCGTACCTACATTTTATTCATTTTCTGTGATATAACGTGCCATTGAATGAATATCACAATTTTTATCTATTCTACTGTTGATTGATATTTGGGTTACAGTGGGCCCTCCATATCCACAGGTTCTGCAAATTCAACCAACCAAGGATGGAAAATATTTGGAAAAATAACAATACAAAAATACAAATTTAAAAAATACATTATAACAACTATGTACGTGGCATTTACTTTTTATTGGGTATTATAAGTAATCTAGAGATGATTTAAAGTATACGGGAAAATGTGCATGGGTTATATGCAAGTACTATGTGATTTTATGTGAGACTTGAGCATCTGCAGATTTTGGTATCCTCAGAGGTCCTGGAACTAATCCCCCAGGGATACCAAGGGACTACTGTATTTCCATTTTCTTAGTTATTACAGTTATTACAAGTAATGCTGCCATGATCATTCTTATATATTTGCTGTATATATGCACAGCGTGCATTCTTTTTTCTTTCTTTCTTTCTTTTTTTTTTGAGATGGAGTCTTGCTCTGTCACCCAGGCCGGAGTGCAGAGGCATGATCTCAGCTCACTGCCACCTCCGCCTCTCGGGTTCAAGTGATTCTCCTGCCTCAGCCTCCCGAGTGGGTGGGATCACAGGTGTGTACCACCACACCTGGCTAATTTTGTTATTTTCATTAGAGACGGGGTTTTGCAATGTTGGCCAGGCTGGTGTCGAACTCCTGACATCAGGCGATCTGCCCGCCTCGGCCTCCCAAAGTGCTGAGATTATAGGCATGAACCACCCCGCCCAGCCCACAGGAGTGCATTCTGTTTGGTGCACTCCTAGCAATGAAACTGCCTGACTGTTGGGTATTGTATATTCCACTTCGGTGACTGGACAAATTTGCACACTCACTGGAGCTGTATAGAAGTTCTTGTTGCATTACTTCTTTGTCGACACTTGGCATTGTCAGTCTTTTTCATTTTAACTCTTTTGGTGTGTGTGTAGTGGAATCATTGTCAATAGTTATCTTTTAAAAACTTTTATTTTCTACTTGTTGCTGATACATAGAAATACATCTATTGTTTGTATTTTGACCTTTCATCCAGCAAGCTTACTAAACTCACTTATTAATTCTAAAAATTCACCTGTAGATTTGTTGGCTTTTCCACATACCTAATCATACGATGTGTGAATAGTACCATCTTTATTTTTTCTAATTTTTATTTCTTTTTATTACCTTATTCTGTGTAGGGTGCACAGTACAATGCTGCGTAGAAGTGTTGATAAGAAAGCATTTGATAAGGTTGCATTCTGCCTTTCACCATTACACGAGACAGCCACTTCAGGGTTTTTGTAAAACATCCTTTATGAGAATAAGGAGGTTATTTTCTATTTCTTGTTTTCTAAAAGTTTTCATCATGATGAATGTTAAATTTCAAGTGCATTTTTTGATCTACTGAATGTAGACCAAAAATAAAATTTGAAGGCCCCCTGCAACCATCTAAATGTACTCCCTCGTTGACCAGGACACTAAAATTTAACCTGAAAGGCTGGTGCAGGCCATGGCAGGAAGTGGGGGTCTGACATGCCTCATGCTACCCTCCTCCCTTTTGGATTTCAGGAAAAGGCGATCAGCATTGAACATCAACACAGACCTTAAGTATGATAAGAAACATTTACAAAATCTATTTTTTCTGAAGCCTGCTACCAGGAGGTTTCATCTGCATGATAAAACTTTGCTCTTCAAAACCTCTTTATTGCAACCCAGACATTCCTTTCTATTGATAACCAATTGCCAATTAGAAAAATTTTAACTCTACCTATAATCTGGAAGTCCCCCCGCCACATTGAGTTGTCCCGCCTTTCTGGACCCAACCAATGTGTACCTCAAATGTATTTGATTGATATCTCATGACTCCCTAAAATGTATAAGACTGAGCTGCGCCTTGACCACCTTGGGCACATGTTCTCAGGACCTCCTGAGGGCCGTGTCATGGCCCATGGTCACTCATATTTGGCTCAGAATAAATCTCTTCAAATATTTTATGGAGTTTGACTCTTTTTGTCGGCAGTTTGTTGTTTTTGTTTTTGTTTATTTGTAGTCTTTCTCATCAGATTTGTGTTCCTTGACAGAGCTGGGGAGAGGTGTGCTTTATTTAGGGTGTGTCCGGTGCCTGGCATTTTTATTTGGCATTTAATAAATACTTGACAAATTAATAAGAATAAGAGCTCTCTGGACAGATAAACTACAAGGAAATGTTTGAGATCGTTGCTAAAAGAGAGGTCCGTAAGCCGTGGGTCCGGAAAGAAAGTTCCCCTGGGCAGGGACCCTCATCCTATTGCAAGCAGAGTTTCTTGTGAATAGGCTGCCATCTGCAGGGCCCTGGCCCACTCTCTTCATCAAGATTTCCTCACAGCCCCTTACCTCCCCGTCCACCTGCTCCTCTTGCTCCCGTTTCTGCTTCTTCTGAGGTTTATCCATGTGGCATCGCTAATGGTCTCCCTGCTAGTGGGAATTTTGTGACAATGGGACCTTGTTTATTTTACTGCTGTATCCTGATTGCCTAGAACCCTGCCCAGGTGGCCAGCACACACTTGCTTAGTGCATCATGTGCTATTTTTCCCCAGGGAGAAATGTTCAGATTTTTTGTTTTCCTTTCTTTTTTTTTTATGGCTTTCTTTTTTTTTTATATATATATATTGTACTTTAAGTTCTAGGGTACATGTGCACAACATGCAGGTTTGTTACATATGTATACATGTGCCATGTTGGTGTGCTGCACCCATTAACTCGTCATTTGCATTAGGTATATCTCCTAATGCTATCCCTCCCCCCTCCCCCCACCCCACAACAGGCCCCAGTGTGTGATGTTCCCCTTCCTGTGTCCAAGTGTTCTCATTGTTCAATTCCCACCTTTGAGTGAGAACATGCGGTGTTTGGGTTTTTGTCCTTGTGATAGTTTGCTGAGAATGATGGTTTCCAGCTTCATCCATGTCCCTACAAAGGACATGAATTCATCCTTTTTTATGGCTGCATAGTATTCCGTGGTGTATATGTGCCACATTTTCTTAATCCAGTCTATCATAGATGGACATTTGGGTTGGTTTCAAGTCTTCGCTATTGTGAATAGTGCCGCAATAAACATACGTGTGCATGTGTCTTTATAGCAGCATGATTTATAATCCTTTGGATATATACCCAGTAATGGGATGGCTGGGTCAAACGGTATTTCTAGTTGTAGATCCTTGAGGAATCGCTGCACTGTTTTCCACAATGGTTGAACTAGTTTCCAGTCCCACCAACAGTGTAAAAGTGTTCCTATTTCTCCACATCCTCTCCAGCACCTGTTGTTTCCTGACTTTTTAATGATCGCCATTCTAACTGGTGTGAGATGGTATCTCATTGTGGTTTTGATTTGCCTTTCTCTGATGACCAGTGATGGTGAGCATTTTTTCATTTGTCTGTTGGCTGCATAAATGTCTTCTTTTGAGAAGTGTCTGTTCATATCCTTTGCCCACTTTTTGATGGGGTTGTTTGTTTTTTTTCTTATAAGTTTGTTTGAGTTCTTTGTAGATTCTGGATATTAGCCCTTTGTCAGATGAGTAGATTGCAGAAATTTTCTCCCATTCTGTAGGTTGCCTGTTCACTCTGATGGTAGTTTCTTTTGCTGTGCAGAAGCTCTTTAGTTTAATTAGATCCCATTTGTCAATTTTGGCTTTTGTTGCCATTGCTTTTGGTGTTTTAGACATGAAGTCCTTGCCCATGCCTATGTCCTGAATGGTATTGCCTAGGTTTTCTTCTAGGGTTTTTATGGTTTTAGGTCTAACATTTAAGTCTTTAATCCATCTTGAATTAATTTTTGTATAAGGTGTAAAGAAGAGATCCAGTTTCAGCTTTCTACATATGGCTACCCAGTTTTCCCAGCACCATTTATTAAATAGGGAATCCTTTCCCCATTTCTTGTTTTTGTCATGTTTGTCAAAGATCAGGTAGTTGTAGATGTGTGGTATTATTTCTGAGGGCTCTGTTCTGTTCCATTGGGCTATATCTTTGTTTTAGTACCAGTACCATGCTGTTTTGGTTACTGTAGCCTTGCAGCATAGTTTGAAGTCAGGTAGCATGATGCCTCCAGCTTTGTTCTTTTGGCTTAGGATTGTCTTGGCAATGCGGGCTCTTTTTTGGTTCAATATGAACTTTAAAGTAGTTTTTTCCAATTCTGTGAAGAAAGTCATTGGTAGCTTGATGGGGATGGCATTGAATCTATACATTACCTTGGGCAGTATGGCCATTTTCACGATATTGATTTTTCCTATCCATGAGCATGGAATGTTCTTCCATTTGTTTGTGTCCTCTTTTATTTCGTTAAGCAGTGGTTTGTAGTTCTCCTTGAAGAAGTGCTTCACATCCCTTGTAAGTTGGATTCCTAGGTATTTTATTCTCTTTGAAGCAATTGTGAATGGGAGTTCACTCATGATTTGGCTCTCTGTTTGTCTGATATTGGTGTATAGGAATGCTTGTGATTTTTGCACATTGATTTTGTATCCTGAGACTTTACTGAAGTTGCTTATCAGCTTAAGGAGATTTTGGACTGAGATGATGGGGTTTTCTAAACATACAATCATGCCATCTGGAAACAAGGACAATTTGACTTCCTCTTTTCCTAATTGAATGGATTTTTTTGTTTTCTTTAAATTCTTCAACGGGGTATGACCTTCTCCCCAAGTCGAGAGCCACTGCTTTTTCTCGAATCACCTCTTCTGTCCCTTGATCCCCCAAACTGGTGTGCTACTTGCCACAGTGAGGGTGACTGGTTTTGCTCTGCTTGGCTTCTGGAGGGGCTCAGGGTGCCCCCATGAGGGTATGGAAGTGGGATCAGTGAAAACCAGGTGGGGAGTTGCAGCCATTCCCAGGAAGGAAGGCAGAAAGGCCCCGGGCCATGTGAAAGAAACAAGTAGGGTGCAACAGAGACGGTTGTGCAAGCCTGGCTGCGGTGTGGGAGCCCCGTGAGGCACCTTGCAAGGACAAGTGGAGGCCCCTGCACTCTGACGTGCCTGCGGGGCTGAGACCCCCCGGGGTCCTCCAGGGCCGGTAGAGGGTGCTGCTGCAAGCTCCCGCAGAGTGTCTGTGGGCCTGGCCACCACCCTTCAGCTGCTCCCCTAAGACGCCGTGGTATACGTTTTCCTCTTAATTTGTGTTGTGTTGGTGACAACTGCATGCACAGTACCACCTCCCTGACTCGTTTTCTCCTTGGCTGCTGACTGCACAAACCGAGACTGGTGGCAGAAAATGGCGAATTCTGAGAGAAAAAAGTGTTTTTCTAAGTCAAACTTCCTGCCATTTCCACGGAGTTTTCTATGCTACATAAGTCAATCCATTTATGTTTTGAATTTTAAAAGATTTTGGAATGTTTGAACAGAGAAGCTTCCTTGCACACATGATTTTTCAAGATTCTAGGGAATTTTTATCTACCATAGGAGAGAGAAATATTTCATACATCTAGTCAAAATGAAAATAAATACCAATTACCCATGTATCTCTCTCGCCCAAGTTCTTGCGAATCTTAATGGAATTCTCCTGGCAACGTGCAGCTTATTGGATCTTTGGAGGCAGGAAATACTCAACATATTTAAAGCATTACATTGTCCAACAGGTGAGGAATGGGGGAATACTTATATCAGTTACTTGGACACAGTCCAGTTAACTAGAGAGGCTCTATGTGTTTTGAAGATCTAGTTCCTTGAAGCTATGTAAATATGTTTTAATATTACCAAGATGAGCAGATGGCATTTTTTTTCTAAGGGTCAGGGGCCAGGGTGGTACAGGGAAGCTATTTCCCCACAAGGGAAAGAGGGGGTTTGTCAGAAAACCAGACAATGGCCAGAGGCCAGGGACCTATTGTTTTCCAGTCACAGGACATAAATCCTCTTGGGCCCAGGTTGAATTGCTCAGGGTCTCAGTATCCAGGAAATGAAGCTGTGAGAAGAGTGAATCTGAACATGAGCCCAGGACTTCCAAGTTCATTGAGAATTCACCAAGGAGCCCCGGAATTAGACAGGAGCAGTAAGGAGTAAAAAAAAAGAAAAAAAAAAAGAGGTATTCTTCAGCATTATGGACATTGCATCTGTAAGGGGGCTCTTGGCGACAAAGGAGGCTTCACTTGTGGGCAGCGTGGGGTGTCATTCTCAGGGAAAGAGCTGTCTGCATCAGCTTGGTAGAAAACCCACCTGAACTTATCCAAATAGGTTCTACTAGGTAAGGTTGTCAGTCTTTCTCCCCCCTCTAATTTTTCCCCCCTTACTGGCTTTTTCTGCTATCAGAACCCTTCTTGATCAAAGCAATGAACCCGAAACCAACAACTTCTCACCCTCCCCACCTGCAGCCACAGACCTTGGCCACCACTGCCCTCTCACCCTCATTCAATCCTCTCTTTTCCTTTATCACTAAGACTTTTGGAAAGAGCTGTGCTGCATGAATAAAACTGGAGTTCTGCTAATGAAGAAGAGAGGAAGGGAATGATTAAGACCTACCATTGATAGCACAATAGGGTGACTGTAGTCAATAAAAACTGTACATTTTAAAATAAAGAGGCCGGGCATGGTGGCTCAAACCTGTAATCCCAACATTTTGGGAGGTCGAGGCAAGTGGATCACCTGAGGTCATGAGTTCGAGACCAGCCTGGCCAATGTGGTGAAACCCTGTCTCTACTAAAATTACAAAAATTAGCCAAGCCTGGTGGCGCATGCCTGTAATGCCAGCTACTCGGGAGGCTGAGGCAGAACCTGGGAGGTGGAGGTTGCAGTGAGCTGAGATTATGCCACTGCACTCCAGCCTGGGAGACAGAGCGAGACTTCGTCTCAAAACAAACAAACAAACAAGCAAAAAACCTTAAAGAGTGTAATTGTATTGTTTGTAGCTCAAAGATAAATGCTTGAGGTGATGGATTCCCCATTCTACAAACTGTGCTTATTTCATGTTGCATGCCTGTATCAAAACATCTCATGTACCCTATAAATGTATACACCTACCATGTACCCACAAAAACTAAAATTAAAAAGGAAGAGAGGAAGGGCAGCCGCTGCAGTGATGCAGAAGCTCCTCGCCTCCAAACCGCAAGCGGCTTCTCTGCTGCGCCTTGCTTGAGCTTTTCAGGGGCATCTGTCTGTGGGAGCTTCCCTCCTCCCTTGGCTTCTGCGGGGCACCTTCTCGTCCTCCTCTGTTCTCTCACCTGCCTTCTTCACACACAGTGGCTGCCAGGCTCCTGGAGGTGCTGGCCTGGTCCTCTGCTCTGTTTCTCGGTGGCTCTTCCAGAGTTCCCGTTGTTCATACCTTTGGCTTCAGGGGACACTGCCCTGCTGATGACTCTTTCTTTCCATCTTTCGTCTCTGCTGAGACCTCTATGTCCACGGCCTTCCAGACATCCCCACGTTCTGGCTTTCAGGCAACTTCAACTTCACATGGTCAATCGCAGCCCTTCTCTTTTATGCTGAACCTGCTCTTCTTCCTGCAATTCCTCTTCAGGTGAGTGGAGCCAGGATCTTCCCAGTTGCCAGGGCAGAATACAGAGTATCATTCCTTCACTGAGCCCACACCCAACTGGTCACTGTAGGAGACCCCTGTGCCGCCTTTAATGGCTACTGCACCCATCCCCCAGGGAGCTGCCTTCGGGGACCACGCCTAGGAGACTGCATTTTCCCTCACCCTGCAGTGGTCTGCAGCCATAACTGACCCATGTGGAAGGCACTGCAGCCCAGGCTGCTCGCCTCGCACAGCACAACCTCTGTGGTGCAGCAGACCTGCTCCAGGTCTTCCCTGAAGCGGATGGAGGCTAGACTTCTCCCAAACCACAGGGGTGCTGAGCTGCCTTGCATGCTCGCCTGCTCCTCTCACTCCCACAGGGAGTTCTGATGAGAACCTCCCTCTTCAGGCACTCACCTGAGCAACCCCATCCCAGGCTCTGCGTCTAGGGAGCCCCGACCTAAGGCCGTCATGGTCTCACAACGCTGCTTCACTGTTTTGCATCTGCCCCACTTGGCATCCCCTCCACCATTGTCTCATCCAGGCCGCACTCATTCACCGAGCCCAGAGGTGCAAATAGAAATAGAACGCAAGCCACATTCACCATTGAACATTTTCTAGCAGCCACCTTTAAAAAGTAAAAAGAGGCCAGGCGCGGTGGCTCATGCCTGTAATCCCAGCACTTTCGGATGCTGAGGTGGGAAGATCACTTGAGTTCAGGAGTTTCACACCAGCCTGGCAACATACTGAGACCTCATCTCTTTTTTTTTTAATTAAAAAAAAAATAAGAAGAGTCAGGTGAATTTAGGAATGTATTTTATTTATCCCAATATATCCAAAAATAGTATACTTTTAACATGTATTCAATATAAGAATTATTATTGAGATATGTCACATTCTTTTATTCATTCCAAGGCTTTAAAATCCAGTGTGTGTTTTACAGCACATACAATTTGAATGCTAAATTCTCAAAGAAAATGCTCGATCTTTATTTAGATTTCATAACATCTACAATTGTAAAAAATGAATTCACATACTCAAGTTGTTCCAACCATACATACGTTTTCCAATCACTGAATTGAGTATCAATGTTAAAATTTAAGTTAATTAAGGTGAAATAAAATTAAGAATTTAGCGTCTCAATTGCTGCATTTCAGGTGCTAAATGACCACATGCAGCTGCCAGCTACTCTGCTGGCAGTGCAGATGTACGCTATGAAAGCAGCTTAGAGTTGGTGTCCACTCTGGGTGCAACTCTCCCAGTCGGCCCGCCGCACTGCAGTCACTTTGCCATGCTAACATGCACATTACACAGGAAAAATCAGTAATGTTGATACTGTCTTCATTTCAAATTTTGATATTATGTTCATCATGAACTTTTTACATTAATTTTGATTTTTAAAAAATATTGGATTACAGTATTATTTATCTCGATTATGGAGGTTTTGGGCATTCTCTTACATTTTGTGCCTGGGGTGAGTTTCTCATTTGCCTGGCCCTAGTCCTGGCCCTGTGTACTGATTGCCTGTGTGCACAGTGGGTCAGATTGCAGGTTCCTAAGGATTGGTGGGCTCTCCCTCCCTAAAGTCACTCCTCACCATCTAGGAACAGGAGCCTCGCACTTCCCTGCCTTCAGTCATGCTGTTTACTTAGTCTGAGAGTCACCTTTCTATTTTCTTTAACTAGCTATTTCCTACTCAGTCTGCAAACCTCCTCTCTGGGGGCAGGTTCTGGTGTTGCCTGGTTTTGTGCAGTTTTTTGCGCAGCCTTCACCTTCGCTGGCCATGCAGGGCGGGCCACGGCTGGGCTAGATGCAGTACTCTCTGCTCTGTCCAGTTCAGATACCGGGAGGCGTCGCCTGGAGCCCCTTCCAGCTGGGTCCCCGCTGGAGGCCCCGGCAGGCGATGCGGAGGCAGCCGGAGAGAGGCTGGGTGCTGCCCGTGGCCACTCCCTGCGCTGGTGCAGCCTTGGTTCTGGTGGAGCGCTAGCGCCCCCGGGCCCGCAGGTGTCGGGACGGGAATGCTTCCCGCTGAGGCCGGTTTCTGCGGCCTCAGCGCGCTCCGCCTCCGCTCTGGATAGTCCCTGCCTCTTCAGTTGCGCCTTTTGAGCAGAACCCCGCCTTATGCTGAGATTTTGCCCAGTACGTTAGACGTGGGCTGGTTTCCCTCTCCGAATCCTGTAGTCATTCTTACTTCTCTTTTGCTACATTCTGGGTTATGTGATTTTCATTCTGGGCTTCTCTCTTTCTGCTTCGTTTCGCTGTAAACGGCCTGAGGACAAAGCAGGTCTCCCTGACGTTTGCGCCCCTCGGGAAACCCAGCCCCTAGCTGTGCACGGGAGCCCAGTGAGCGCTGAAATCGACACATTCATGGAGAAAGGCAGTTATAGAAAGTGTCTTAACTCATGGCTACCTGCGACTTCTTGTAGAACGTCTATGAAACAGGTATTCTGAAATTATTCCCAAGATGAGGAGGTTTTAATATTAGGAAACATTTTCTAAATATTACTCCATTCTTATTCACTCTGGAAATAGCCTCTCCTTAATCTCTATTTTCTGAAAATAGAAATTCATGTCAAGATGCTACATTATTGAACTGATGTAGCCATAGTCTTTTACTCCACAGAAGACTTACAAGTTCAACTGGAGAAGGGCATGCCATTTTAACTTCCATCCACCAGACAAGAACTATTTATATACATGGAGGTTGCTGCCCTTAACTTCTTCGAGATATGTGACATTCCATTTAAAAAGAGATTGTTCAGGCCAAGCGCAGTGGCTCAAGCCTGTAATCCCAACCTTTTGAGAGGCCAAGGTGGGCAGATCACCTGAGGTCAGGAGTTTGAGACCAGCCTGACCAACATGGTGAAACCCCGTCTCTACTAAAAATACAAAAAATTAGCCTGGTGTAGTGGTGCACACCTGTTATCCCAGCTACTTGGGAGGCTGAGGCAGGAGAATTGCTGGAAACCGGGAGGCGGAGGTTCCAGTGAGCCGAGATTGCGCCACTGCACTCCAGCCTGGGCAACAAAGAGTGAAACTCCGTCTCAATAAATAAATAAATAAATAAATAAATAAATAAATAAATAAAAAAAATAAATAAATAAAATAAAACAAAAATAGGTTGTTCAGAGTAGCAGAAACTGAAAAGAATTGAAGGAGAAAAGCTAGGTCCAAAGTTTAGATTCCCAGTGCATCTCATTTGAATTTTTCTTTATTAAAAATTGCTTGTTTTTTCACATGCCGCTTTGGAGCGGGTTTTGTAGAATCCTGGGACCACCACTTTCTAGCCATGTGACCTTGGGCATTACTGAATCCCACCAAACCTCAGCTTCTCCATCTAAAAATGGGGATAATCATACCTTCCTTTTATATATTAGAAGATACTTAGCTGGCATCTAGCAGGTACTCAATATATATTCTCACACTGTAGTGTACCTAAGAACAGATCATTAAAAGCTGACATTCCTAGGCCTCTTCCTTCTGAGGTTCTGGGCTAGCCTGTGGGTGCTCTGGCATATGTATTTGTCACAAGCCCCTTAGGTAACTCTTATGCAGGTGGTGTATAGACTGCACTTCAGGAGATGCTTCTGCAGAGCTCATCTTCTTGGGATGATAAATGCATCACGAGGAGTCCTGGACCTCCATGGCCTGCTCAGGATGTGTGTATGCAACATGGTCTTACAACACTCGAGCTCAAACTCTCCCAGCCACTTAGAGTCCAGCTGCCTTGATGTCCACTCCTCTCTTGGCTGTACACAGATGGTTGGAAACTGGATCCTAGGTCTCCTAGGCCTCCAAGTCCTTGTAGCCTTCAGTAGAGATTAAAAGCCCTGTAGAGAGAACCCATTGGCCATCCTGCATCGTGAGCTACTCTCCCCTGGAAGGAGAAGGAGCATCTGCTCCTTTATTTATTTATTGAGACGGAGTTTCACTCTTTGTTGCCCAGGCTGGAGTGCAGTGGCGCAATCTCGGCTCACTGGAACCTCCGCCTCCCGGTTTCCAGCAATTCTCCTGCCTCAGCCTCCCAAGTAGCTGGGATAACAGGTGTGCACCACTACGCCAGGCTAATTTTTTGTATTTTTAGTAGAGACGGGGTTTCACCATGTTGGTCAGGCTGGTCTCAAAATCCCCAGGTGGGGATTCCTCCTCTTCTCATTTACATCAGATTGTTCTTCAAAAACTGGATCGAGGTCCGCACTCTCCACTGTTAGAGTAAAACCCTGAGCAAGGAATCAGGTGGAGGGGTAGCACCAATGCAGGGCAAGGAATCAGGTGGAGGGGTAGAGCGCAGATGCAGTGATGCAGAGAAGGGTAGAACCCCATCCTCCAGGGAAGGAAAGGTTAGGAGGTCCACTCTCATCACATTGCTACCAGCTCACGCTCACTCTCCAGACCTCTACCCCTTCTCCCTTAGTTGTTGTCCCCTGCCCACTTTCTCCATCACATCCACATGTAGGTACATGTATATCATACATATTTTTAAACACAAGGTCTCACTATGTTGTCCCAGATGGAGTGCAGTGGCTATTCACAGGCATGATCATAGCTCACTGCAGGCTCCACCTTCTGGGCTTAAGCATTCTTCCCACCACAGCCTGCCAAATAGCTGGGACCACAGTGTGTACCACCATGCCCAGCTACCATGTCCATATTTCTAAGGATTGTTTATACATATATAATTTTTTTTTCATTTCCCTTCCTGCATCCCAAACCAGATTTCTCTGAGGTTAGAAGGGGTCAAAAAAGAAATGCCCAGGTGGTGTCTCCAGGGTTTAGATCCTAAAGAAGAGGAAAATTTAACTTCTTTCAGTTGGCAGCTGAAATAGGACCTATTTATGCCTAATTTTCTCAAACACTGGACTTTGGAGAAAGGACTCACAGGATGGCAGAAGCGACTATTAAGTATCTCATGAATTCATTTCTTTCTCTTTTTTGCTTTCTTTAATATTTTAATTTTTTTAATAGAGATGGTGTCTCGCTGTGTTGTCCAGGATGGTCTTGAACTCCTGGGCTCAAGCGATCCTCCCACTTTGGCCCCCAATGTGCTGACTGCGGGTGTGAACCACTGTGCCCAGCTCTAAGAATTCTTTTCTTGTGTTTGGCTGAGCAGGAGCGGTGAGGACTTGTGGCTGGGAAGGGCCTGGTTGCTGAGCTTTCATCTAACTGCTTGTCTCCTATCTGAGCACATGCATGGAAAGAGAGGAAAAATCAAGTTTGGAAAAATGTCTGGGCCCTTCTCTCGGAGGTGTTGGCAAGCAGGAAAGATATTCAAGCATTGATAGACTTGCAGCGAGACATTGTTTTTGTCGAGATTGCACAGAATGGGAAACTGAAAGGATTAGCATCCGGTTTCCAGTCCAGTGAGTACAAGCATGCACATTGTCACTCCCATTGTCACAAGAAAAAAGCTGAACAAACAAGATCAACAACTCTTCTTGGGTCCTTCAGAGAATTGAAGTTACAGGGCAAATGGCCACACTGCAAACTGGAGAGACTGGCAGATACCAAGAATCACAGCTAGCCTTGAGCAGAAGCTGCAGCTGGAGCCAGAAATGGGAAGAAATGTAACCATAACAGTCTTGTTCTCGGATGCATGGCCGGTCAATATGCCAGACACTGGGTTGCAGCAGAGGAATGGGTTTCATTGTAAGGAAACTGAATGAGGAGGTAGGAGGAACCCTCAAATCTAGCTCCCCAAGGAGTTTGAGGCTAGGGATTTTAAGGGGTTTGGAAGAGTAGTGGGCCAAGGTATAGGAATTATTGATTGGTCAAAGAGTATAGGGTGAAGTCATGGGATCGAGAGATGAAGATTTTAAATAACTGTGATTAACATGCTAAGGGCTTTACTGGAAAAAGTGGGGGACAGGAGGACAGCTGAGTAATTTAATTAGAGAGGTGGAAACTACAAAAACAATCAAAAGCTCCATCCATGTTGCTGCAAAGGTATGATTTCATTCTTTTTTATGGCTGCATAGTATTCCATGGTGTACATGTAACATATTCCCTTTATTCAATCCACTGTGGATAGGCACCTAGGTTGATTCCATGTATTTGTTATTGTGAATAGCATGGTGATGAACATTTGCATGTATGTGTCTTTTTGGTATAATGATCTATTTTTCTTTGGGTATATGCCTAGAAATGGGGTTGCTGGGTCAAATGGTAGCTCTGTTTTAAGTTCTTTGAGAAATCTCTAAACTGCTTAATCCTTAGCAAATTAATGCAGGAACAGAAAACCAAAAACTGCATGTTCTCACTTATAAGTGAGAGCTAAACATTGAGCACCCACAGACGTAAACATGGAACACTCGACACCGCAGACCACTAGAAGGGGAGGCAGCAAGAGGGCGTGGGTTGAAAACCACCTGGTGAGTACTATACTCACTATCTGAGTGCAATATACCCATGTAACAAACCTGCACATGTACACCCAGAATCTAAAATAAAAGTTAAAAAAAAGGGAAATGGCAGAAGTCAAAAAAACACTGTGACAGAAATGAAGAATGCCTTTGATGGGCTCGTGGTCAGACTGGACATGGCCAAGAAAAGAATCAGTGACTTGATATGTCAACAGACAGTTCCCACACTGCAAAGCAAAGAGAAAACATAGAATTAAAAAAAATTGAATGGAATATCCAAGAACTGTGAGACAATTATTAAAGGTGTAACATATGGACAACAGAAACACTGAAAGGAAAAGAAAAAGAGAAATGAGCAGAAGAAAAATTTGAAGTAATAATGGCTGAGAATTTTCCAAAATTAATGACAGGCACCAAAACACTGATCCATGAAGCTCAGAGAACACCAGGCAGGATCAATCACAAAAAAATCCACACCTCGGTTTTGTTGACAAAAAGAGTGAAACTCTAAAATATTTGAAGAGATTTATTCTGAGCCAAATATGAGTGACCATGGCCCGTGACACAGCCCTCAGGAGGTCCTGAGAACATGTGTCCAAGGTGGTTAGGGCGCAGCTTGGTTTTGTATATTTTAGGAAGGCGTAAGACATCAATCAAATACATTTAAGAAATACATTGGTTTGGTTCAGAGAGGTGGGACAACTCAAAGCAGGGACTTCCAGGCTATGGGTAAATTTAAACATTTTCTGGTTGACGATTGGTTGAATTTGTCTGAAGACCTGGGATCGATAGAAAGGAATGTTCAGGTGAAAGATGAAGGATTGTGGAGACCAAGTTTTATTGTGCTGAGGAAGCTCTTAGCCAGCAGACTTTAGAGAGAGCAGGTTGTAAATTGTTTCTTATCTGACTTAAAAGGGTGCCTGGCTCTTAGTTGATTATCTCCTGGATCTGGGAAGGAAGGAAAACAAAAGGGAAACAGGATTCTCTATAGAATGTGGATTTTCCCCACAAGAGACTTTGCAGGGCAATTTCAAGGTATGGCAAGGAAATATATTTTGAGGTAAAACATTTTGATTTTCTTCCTTGTTATGCCAGAGTCAGATTGGAAAGTAAGTCACGATATACAGGGTTAAATAAAACCCATCTGGTGAGAATTTATGGTTTGTAAGGCATGACTCCACAGACCCCTTAGAAAGGAATTTGGGTAAGACAAAAAAATTAGAGCTTAGTCATATACATATATATATAAAATTATATATATATATGTATAATTGTATTTTATTTATTTTTTTTTTTGAGGCAGAGTTTCACTCTTGTTGCCCAGGCTGGAGTGCAATGGCATAGTCTCAGCTCACTGCAACCTCCGCCTCCTGGGTTCAAGAAATTCTTCTTCAGCCTCCCAAGTAGCTGGGATTACAGACACACACCACCACACCTGGCTAATTTTTGTATTTAGTAAAGATGGGGTCTCACCATGTTGGCCAGGCTGGTCTCGAACTCCCCATCTCAGGTGATCCATCCACCTTGGCCTCCCAAAATGCTGGGATTACAGGCGTGAGCCACCGGGTGCCCGGCCCAATCCTCAGTATATTATATTCAAACTTGAGAAAATCATGAAGGAAGCCAGAGGGGAAAAACACTTACCTATAGAGGGGCAGGGATAAGAATTACATCAGAATTATCTTCAGAAACCATGAACGCTAGAAAATGGTGGAATGAAATATATGTCTTAATGTGTTGAGAGCCAAAACTCACTAACCTAAAATCCTATATCCAGTGATATTATCTGGACATGAATGTTTATAGCAGCATTTTTCATAGTTGGCAAAATCCAAAAGCAGCTAAGATATTTTTCAGTAGGTGAAAGGATAAAATTACTAGCATATCTATACAATGGAATATTAGTCAGTGATAAAAAGAAATGAGCTATCAAGACATGGAAAGACATGAAAGAAACTTCATGCTGTATGATTCCAACTCTCTGACATCCTGGAAGAGGCGAAACTATAGAGAACATAAAAAGGTCAGTGGTTGTTAGATCCCAAGTCAGTGTTGGTTGGATCAGTGAGATTTGGGATGGATGGATAAAGCAGAGCACAGAGCATTTTTAGGGCAGTGAAACCGTTCTGTGTGCTGCTGTGATGGTGCACATACATTTGTCACTGTACATTTGTCACTGTACACTGTCACTGTACATTTGTCAGAGCCCAGAGAGTGTGCAACAGAGTGAACCCTAATGTAAACTGTGGACTTCAGCCACACTAAATTACATATCAATATTGGTTCATTAATTCTAACAAATGTCTACACTAAATGTTCTGGCTATTATATCACTCCCTAAAAAAGCTTCATCACCTAAAAAAGCTCACTACAGGCCGGGTGCAGTGGCTCATGCCTGTAATCCCAGCACTTTGGTAGGCCAAGGTGAGCAGATCACTTGAGCCCAGGAGTTCAAGACCAGCCTGGCCAACATGGCAAAACACCATCTCTACTAAAAATACAAAAATTAGCTGGGCGTGGTTGTGGGCACCTGTAATCCCAGCTACTCGGGAAACTGAGGCAGGAGAATCACTTGAACCTGGGAGGCGGAGGTTGCAGTGAGCTGAGGTTGTGCCACTGCACTCCAGCCTGGGTGACAGAGTGAGACCCTGTCTGAAAACAAAACAAAACAAAAACGCTTACTGCAGTTCTCAACTATAGTAATGCTGCAAAATATTAATAATAGAGGAAACTATGTTGGGAGGAAAGGGGCCTATGGAAACTCTGGATTTGATGCACAATTTTTTTGTAAACCCAAACTGCTTAAAAAGTAGTCTCTTAAAAAATATAGGAGAGGACTCATAAGACTGCACAGAGTACACTCACATGTGGCTTGCTCTGAAGGCTCTGGAGCTGGCACAGCAGGGGAAAAAGGGTGATGAGAATTGGGCAGAGCCCTCCAGGTGAGCTCCCAGGGCCCTTTCTTATTCACGGAGAACGCATGCCTTCTCTGGACTGGGAAGCCCCACCAGTGGTGGGAGGAATGTTGGTTTCAGGAGAATTCCAAAAGTTTCCAGCAGAGTCTTTCACGCCCTTGTGAAAGGAAAATAAATCTCAGGACCCCAAAATCACTAAGCCAAAAGGAAAAGTCAAGCTGAGAACCGTGTCAGGCAAGCCTGCCGCCCATTTTATTCCTAAATAAGATAGATACAAAGATAAAGCTACATGCCTCTCTCACAATTGGCCCACGAGGAAATTCACTGTGGGCCTCACGATCTTTGCCCTAAAACAGTTCTATTGAATTTCACCCTGGCAATGTAAATTGGTAGCTTATCTTCACAGGTGCAGGACAAAGAACAGAACTCAAGGTCATCCCTCTGCTCACCTGAGACCTGGAAGCCCTTGCTTTGAGTTGCCCTAAACCAATGTACATCTTACACTTATTGATTCATGTCTCATGTCTCTCTAAAATGTAAAACCAAGCTGTGCCCCAACCACCTTGGGCACATGTCGTCAGGACCTCCTGAGGCTGTGTCATGAGCATGTCCTTAACCTTGGCAAAATAAACTTTCTAAATTGATTAAGACCTGTCTCAGATACTTTTGGGTTCACACCCTTTTGTCACATAGCCAAGCCAGTCTGGCTAACCGGTTATGCCATGTGCAAGCCATCTGGTTAGTAACCTGGCCCAGGTGCTGCCAGGCAAATCATGAACTTTAAACAGCATACAAATCACCAATTAGCTCACCTATCCTTATCTTGGTCAGGTATCAGTGCAGACTTCCAGGTCTCCCCAGAGAGAAGTGCAGAGCTTCCCCAGGGCAGCTGTAAAACACTTAAACACTCTTTATACTTAGACATCCTTTGATTGCTCTCGATGAAAAAAACTGAACTCTGTAAAGTATTTGAAGAGATTTATTCTGAGCCCTATGTGAGGACTGTGGCTTATGACACAGCCTCTGGAGATCCTGAGAACATGTG
The DNA here is from genome assembly GCF_000001405.40 of Homo sapiens. Taxonomy (NCBI): domain Eukaryota; kingdom Metazoa; phylum Chordata; class Mammalia; order Primates; family Hominidae; genus Homo; species Homo sapiens. Next base: position 13,809,476 of record NC_000018.10, read on the forward strand.
CCCAGGGTGATTGAGTTATAGTTTGGTTTCATATGTTTTATGGAGACATAAGACATCAGTTAATACATGTGGGGTATACATTGGTTTGGCCCAGATGGCAGGACAACTCGAAGTGGGGGCTTACAGGTCTTAGCTGGATTCAAACATTTTCTGATTGGCAGTTCGTTAGAAGAATTAAGTTACTATCTAAAGACCTGGAGTCAATAGAGAGGAGTGTCTGGGTTAAGATAAGGCGTTGTGAGACCAAGGTTCTTATTATGCAGATGAAGTCTCATGGGTGGCTGCCCCTACAGATAATAGATGGCAAATGTTTCCTTTCAGACCTTTAAAAGGTGCCAGGCTCTCTGGAAAAGACCTAGTAAGGGAAGGAGATTCTCTGAATAATGCAAATTTTCCCCACAAGTCACAACTGTGCAGGGCCATTGTAAAATACATCAAAGAAATAGATTTTTGGGAAAAATACTTTGATTCCCTTCAGGACCTGCTATCTGTCATGTGATGCTGCACTAGGGTCAGGTTGGATTTGGTATCTTATTGCTATGAGGAGTGTGTTCTGTCAGTCTTAAGACCTCTGTTTTAATGTTAATGCTGGTCAGTGGTGCCTGCACTCCACAGGCAGGAGGGTATAATGAGCATGTCCGGCCCCACCTTCCCATCGTGGCCTGAACCAGTTTTTCAGGTTTCTTTGGAAGTTCCTGGGCAGAGACAGGAGTCCATTCAGTTAGTTGGGGGGCTTAGAATTGTATTTTTGGTTTATATTACAAAGCTATTTTACAAAACATTTTAAAGTATCATATCCCTCCTCATCCTTTAGCACCTGAAAAAACTTGCTTTAGTTCTCAGCTATAGTAACGGAAGAGAAGCGAAGTCGCTCACATCAAATCACAGCAACCTTTTGCATACAGAACACCCTCCACACTTACTTAACGACATTCTGTTAAGCAGAAAAACCCTCTTTCATGAAGATACATGAATGGGTGTAGGTATATTAGGGGCCCAGTTCAGCAGTGGTAAGAGAGCCCCATAAGCTCTCATGGCTCTGGCGAGTCCCTTTCAAGGGGTGTTGACTATAGATAAGTAAATATGTGTCTGCTAGTTTTAGAGGATGTGCATCCACAGTGCGAAGACATCCTTGATGAGCAAGGCATTGACACACAGGCTGTCTGTAACCCAGGTCTGGGACCACCCGGGCCTTCGGACCTCAACTGCAGTAGCAGGAATCTATCTAGGTTCAACTCTGTAATATCCACTAATGATTAGTGATCAAGGACAGGTGGCATTGGTCCAGGGTCTAGAATTTGTTAATAATTGTCTCAGACATCTGGGCATTCCAAAAATGCCTGATGGATGATCAGTAAAAGTAGCTTCCATTTGTATTGACAAAGCTTGGTGACCATTCCAGCTGAGCTCTTCTAAAGGAAATGAACCATCTCCAGTCTCTTGGATAAAAATAACTCTATGAAACTGTGTTGGGTACCATGTTCCCCACCTACGAAAATTGCCACGTCTTCATCAGCTGTTATTTGGACGACAGGTTTCCCATCCATTTCAGCCAGCAGCCCCAAAGGGACCTAAGGTCAATTGTTTTGCTTTTCCTGGTTCCAGGCATTTGAATCCTTATGCTAAACATCCAGTAACTTGATATGACTTCAGGCAATTCCTTGTAAACAAAAGGTTTCTTAGAGAACGTCTATGGCATGTATTTTGCTGTGCCAGGGCCACAGTTGAGAGAGTAAACAGGAGCCAGTCTCGATGCTCTGCCTCCCAAGCTGTGTGCCTGGGCGGTTTGGGAGCGATGTTCTCCTGCAGGAAGAGGTGAGTCAGGGTCTCATCACCAAACCACATGCCAGCGGGGCTGTCTGCCCCGAGGGGACCCCTTTCCCTAACTCACACCAAAGTGCCGTGTAAACTGGCTCTGGTTGAGTGAGGTATTCAGGGATGGAAAATTTGATATGGCACCTTGTTCAACATTGTGTTTCAAAATTTTGATTCAGTGTATATTCAAAAAAAAAAAACAAAACAAAAAACAGCCTGCACTATCTTTTCAGCCTTTGCTTGAAAATATTGGGCTACAAAGGTGCTAGCTCAGAAAAGTTCCTTTCTTCAAGTTATTTAACAGGATGAAGGAAAAGGAAAGCTGTTGTTAGAAGCTGCAGCAACTAGCAATCTATGCTGAAAATGACCAGCACAGGTACTGTCCTAATGGGATTGGACCTGGGAGTGCCATGAGCCATGCTGAGCAGTGCACTCAGACAGCTCCTCCTCTAGAGTGGTCTTGTATTTCAGCCACTCCAGGAGATTCCAGATGTTGGAGCAGATTTCTGGGATTCTTAATGACCACTGCCTCAAGATATCTGCAATGGATACTGTTCTAACTTTGTGGGTGAGTGGGCACTTGAAAGCACTGGGCAGGATTGGCTTCCTCTATTTTATGCTGTGGGTGCTGACCTGCAGGGGTGTGGGTCTGCTCTTCCCATGGGCTTCCCCACAGCCCTGCTGTGATTCCAAGTGGTGCCTCTTTGTGGGGAACTTTGCTCATTCATAGCACATTTTGCACTGTCTCAACACTGAAATCACATTCGTTTTGAAGGACATGGGGGCATCAGCAGCTTGGGGAGAGGACTGTACTGCTTAGAATGAATCCCACAGCAGCACAAGGAACCAGACTGAGACAAGTGTAAGAATAAGAATTAATTCTCCCCTAAGCCACGAGGGGGCCAGTGGTAGAAAGGCCCTCAGAGCTGGTTGGTTCAGAGGTGAATCAAATTCCTAGGTTACTTCCAGCCCTCTGCTCGGCTACACGCCATGATGGCCCATCTTCATGCTGGAAGAGGATGGCTTTGTAGTCCCTGGAGTTCGTGCACACTTGGTGACTCCCGAAGGAAGAAGAGGACTGTCATCATATAGCTCTGGAAGGAACCATCCCCAGAAACCCCTCAGCAGGCTCCTTTTGTATTGATCAGAATCAGCAAAACCTTGTGGGTGGGCTGGTGGGGGTCGGAGGTGCGTTGGCTTTCTCGGAGGTGGGCGGTGGTAGGGGGAATGGATCCCTGAACACAACCTAGAAGCTGGAAGGAAAACACAGGGAACCCATAAAACCCCCCATAAGAGCAGACCGAGACTTTGCTGTGGAAGATTCCTATCCCAAAGCTAATAGCATCAGTGCACTTGATTTCCATCTCGTTCTCACAGCCTTTTATGAACATCACTGAAAAGGCTGGGCAAGACGAAACCTGTGAAGAAGGAAGATCTCCATGGCTGCCCTTAGCGTGGAATGTGTTCTTCACACCCTTACAAACAGCTTTCAAGTGTTCAGCCTGTGGAGTTGAAGCAGGTACTGTTAGATCTGAGCTGATCTGTTTTGGGGGCGTGTGTACTTATGTTGTTCTGCCGACCCTGAATGCAAGAACACCTGCTCTGATGTGTGCATCGTTTGTAGCAGGCATTGTCCTTTAATATCTGAGACATGTAGCAAAGCATCATCTCATATCAGGATGTGTCCCTGGGTCTTTGTGAATGTCTACACTTGGTTCAGCCAAGAGGTTTATTTGGAAAGTGTCAACATGAGCTTTGTTTTTGGCAATTTGTTGGTTGGCCTTTCAAAATTCTCACATTCCTGTGCAAAGGTAGACACTGCAGTATCTGATCCATCTGTGAAATTTAAGCCTAAGAACAATCATGAGCTGCTGAAAATTGCAACATCAGTAATCCCAAAAGTTCCAAATATACCAGTCTGAAGCTGTGATGAATAATAATTTTGTTATGGCTAATGAGACCCACACATTGACAGATATGCAGCAGGCTTTTGTTCTGTTATTTCTATCTTGGTTAAGATAGAATAAAAGTTTTCAGCATATGAATTCTACAGCTGCCCTCCTTAATTACCAGAGCCTAATGTTGTAATGTTTCTTCTGAATATTGGATGTTGGTACAATAGACTTTCATGGGGCAGCTGAGGTAGTGCCATCTATGATCAGGAGAGGGCAGCAAAGAGCCACATGAGTCACAACTCTCTGGGCTGGGTCTGCCCAGGAATCAATTAAGGCAATGTAGGAAGCCAGGGAGAAAATCCCTGCTTGAGTTGATACCAGCTAAAATTGAAGGTGGTAAGAGTTGAAGCAGAGGCAAATGCGTGTTGATTGCAACAAAGTTGGAGTTAAACGGCGCTAGATTCTAGAGGGATTGACTGTGTCAGCAGGGGCTCGAATTTCTGGAGGAGAACCCAGTGAGCAAAGCAAAAGCTAGCAGATTTGAGTAGGATAGGAGTCAGGCCCATTGGGGTGGGCCAAAGAGTTTTGCAAGGTTATCCATACTGACACATTGCTGAGAGATGCAGCTTTTTTCTTTTAAAAATAATGTTTATAGCTTACCATTACAAATATAAAATATATTTATTGTAGAAGATCGGAAACCAGAGAAAAGTATGCAGAAGAAAATAAAATTCATCAATAATTGTACCAACCAGAGGTAACAATTTTGGTTATCTGTGGTCTGTTTGCTTTGATTATAAAAGTCCTATCTGTTGTTTTCCATCAATCATCTATCTACATAAACAAAATTGGGATCATACATTTAGCCATAGGCCGCCAATATCATTCCCTGCTGATATGTAAAAATTTTAAAAACCATGTGTGCAATTTTCCATCAGATGGGTGCACCACTAAGCATTCTGTATGCCTTGTCCAATCTTAAAGGGACTAGGGTCACCTTGGAACTTTGCACTGTCTGATGTCAAACTTCATTATGCTCCAGGTCAGGCATCATAAAATTAATAAATTCAAAGTTTGGGAAAACAGGGAAAAACAATGCCCTAATCCATTTTCATTTTTATTTCCCACTGGCCTTTGTCCAAATGCATAAATATTCTAACATGATTACAATCATAATGTACATTTGCATCTTATTATATTGTAAACATTTTAAAGCTGATTAATGATTTTCTTTTTTTTTTTCCGAGATGGAGTCTTGCTCTGTCACCCAGGCTGGAGTGCAATGGTGCAATCTCGGCTCACTGCAACTTCTGCTTCCCGGGTTCAAGTGATTCTTGTGCCTCAGCCTGCCAAGTAGCTGGGATTACAGGTGCGCGCCACCATGCCAGGCTAATTTTTGTATTTTCAGTAGAGATGGGGTTTCACCACATTGCCCACACTGGTCTGAACTCCTGACCTCAGGTAATCCACCTGCCTCAGCCTCCCAAAGTGCTGGGATTACAGGCGTGAGCCACTGTGCCTGGCCTTGAGTTTCATAATTTTTAATGACTGGGTAATAGTCCTCTCAGTAGACATAATTATTTAATTTGTCATTATCCTATTGTTACTTTTTTTGAAATTATGAATAATTCTGCGATGACTGTCTTCATCATGATAGCTTTATCCTTCATTTGGACTACTTCCTTAGATAAAGTCTCAGCAGGGGGTAATAGGGTCTGCTTAAACTGTAGCAGTAATGTAAATATCAATTGCTTGCCTTAGTTTCTGGGAGTGGATTTACATTCAGTCTGTTATTGAGTACCTTTAAAAAAAACTTTTTTTTTTTTTTTTCAGAGGCAGGGTCTATCTGTGTCACTCAGGCTGGAATGCAGTGGTGTGCCCGTAGCTCACTGCTGCCTCAAACTCCTGGGCTCGTGCAATCCTCCCGCCTCAGCCTCCTGAGTAGCTGGGGCTACAGGTGCATGCCACCTCACCTGGCTAATTATTTTATTCTATTTTTGTAGAGATGGGGTCTTGCTTTGTTGCCCAGGCTGGTCTTGAACTCCTGGCTTCAAGGGATCCTCTGGTTTCAGCCTCCCAAAGTGCTGGAATTACAGGCATAAGGCACCATGCCCAGCCTGTTATTGAGTATTTTTTAAATTGAACTTCACTCTTATTAATAGAAAACATGTTGACTTTGATAGTAGCATAATTTGGACAAGAATTAAGCAGATTTTAAATGAGACACTGCTTGATTTGTGTAGAGGTATTTTTGAGTAAATGCTTCTTTTTTCCCTGTAATTCATCCACACGCAACTAGAAACTTGAGAGGATGAAGAAGCATTCATGGAAAACTAACAATGTTAGTTTTTAAGGCACGCAATTGATATTTACATTACTGCTAGAGTTTAGGCAGACCCTATTACCCCCTGCTAAGAGTTTATCTAAGGAAATAGTCCAAATGAAAGATAAAGCTATCATCCTAAAGATGTTCATTGCAAAAAAACAATTAACTATGATGATTAGCATCGTACCTGGCAGAGCCTCTTCACATTTGTGGATTTCAGTGGCTATGTGAGTTTTGAAAGACCAGTATCTTTTTTTTTTTTGGAGATGGAGTCGCACTCTGTCGCCCAGGCTGGAGTGCAGTGGCACTATCTTGGCTCATTGCAACCTCTGCCTCCCAGGTTCAAGTGATTCTCCTGCTTCAGCCTGCCAAGTAGCTGAGACTACAGGTGTGCACTGCCACACCCGGCTAATTTTTGTATTTTTAGTAGAGACGGGTGTTCACCATGTTGGCCAGGCTGGTCTCAAAATACTGACCTCAGGTGATCCACCCACCTTGGCCTCCCAAATTGCTGGGATTACAGGCATGAGCCACCACGCCTGGCCAAGACCAGTATCTGTTTTATGTGTGTCTTTGATATGTGTGGAAATGAGGAAATTCAAGAAGTAAATGGCAGGACCATGAAAATTCTTCCTTAGTTTCTACTTAAACAAATTTAGATTCAGCACAGTATTTAGTAAACGGTGCATGATGGCAGGAGTCTAAAAGCTAACCTACATTAGCTCAGAAGGTGTGGTCCACAGAATGGACCTGGAATGCCTTGGGCTACTGCCCTCAGTTGCATTCTGTCCTACGAAAGAGCTCATGGCTCAAGCTTTCCAAATTAATAAATACAGAGTTTCTAAAAATATAAAATAAATAAGAGCAAATTGCAACAGTAAAACCTTAATATCAACAATCTGCTGTGGAGACTGAAGAAATATATTCTCCATCACTGACATATACCTCATTTCTATTAGCAGACAGTGAGTGAACGCTCATTGTGATTGTCATTACATTGCAGACTTTTACTACCCACTGTGGATACTTTTGAAAAATATATCTTGATTGACTGATATTTCTTTCTCTCATTTACCTCCTCTCCATACCTAAAGAAGCTATCCAGGGAAGAAAGAAAACTGGATGTGTAATTCTATTTAATTTGTTTTATATTTATTCCTCAAATCACTCGTTTCTTTGAAATAAAACACATTTTTAAACATGATTTTTTTAATTGTTCTCTTAATTGTCTTCTTGAAATAAATGGGTTATACCAGAGTCATATCTACTCTTGTCACATGCACTGGGACTTCAGTGTGTGGCTTTCAAAGGTCAGAACTCTTCTCTCTTGTCCAGATGCCAGTGATGAAAACTGAGGAAGGAACCTTCTGGTGGTGGCCTCATGCCTGCCCCCTTTCTGGGTGCTGCATGCTCCTCTATCCTGGAGGAAGAAGGAAGAAGTGGGTCCCTGGACTGAGTGTGGAACTACGTGAACACCCGACCTGGCCAAGGTGATTGGCCTATGCCTGATCGGTGACTCACGAGCTGGGCCAGTCAGATGAGCTATTGAGCATTTGGACACAGAGACTAGCTGTGATGGTCTGGATTACTGCTTGGGAAGTGTTTACTCCATGTTTCCCTCCCCACTCTGGGTGGAGTGCTTCACCGCCCATGGAGGTTGGGCTTGGCCATGCAACCTGCTTTAGTAGATGAAATGGTCCCAATCATAGGCCTCAAGTATGGTGCCTAGCTCTCATGGTCTGGCAGGAGAATATGCCCCAGGCCGCCACTGTCCCCTCATCTTTGAGCCCCAGTGAGGTAGGGACTGCACCTCCTAGCCACTGGGCCAGAGCCTAAGCAGACTTCAAACCGCCTTCAGTCTGGGTCTTAGAGCTTAAGGTCTGGCATAGCCTTGCTGAGTTGCAGTTGAATTGAGCATGAGAGTAGGTCATTTTCATTTTAAGCCCCTATACTTTAGGGTAGTTTATTATTCAGCATTGCTGAGGCCACAGCTGACCCCTACACTAGCAATGGTTTGGTTGTGGTTCTTGCAGACAGCAGGTCATGCCGGCTGGGGTTGGGGTGGCTGCTTTGGGGCCCTAGAAGCTAGGGAATAAGTAGAGGAGACTGCAGACACCTCTTGCTCATTTCCCTGCTGCAGTGTCTTCCTTGTTTCTTGAGGACTGATTTCTAAGTGGTCTGGAAAGAGAGAATGGTGCTCAGTCATACATATCACAAGTATTTTTCCCAGTGTCTTCTTACGTTATTTTTTGCAGTCTGGAATTTTGTAACAAGGAAGACTGATATCCTGAATAGAATGTGTTGATCAATCTAGGGAAGGACTGTGTAATGACAGAAAGAAAAGTGGATCTGAATGTTCTTAACCAACTCAAATGGGCATTCTTAATACACAGTCACACTGTACAATGAGAAGGAGGCGAGAGCTGTTCAACTTGAAAGATGAACACTGTACTGTTAAGATGGCGACAACTGTGTGTAAGAATTTGATGCTCTGCTAGGCTGTGATACAATAGAATACTCCAGAGAAAAGTAAGTGTGCAGTGGGATTTGAGGACTAGGATTTTCTTGGTGGCAAGAATAAGAAAACCAAATCCAACTTGTTTAAATGATAAAGGGAATGTATTAACTCAGGGAACTGAAGAGTCCAGAAAAACTCAGGCTTGTGAAGGGCTGGACCGGTGGGGTCAGCAGCACCAGGTCCTGCTTCTGCTCCCACCTCGAGGCTGGTCCTGCATGACGCTGGCACAACCCAAGGCTTGGCTGTCCCGGGGTGGAAAGCAGGTGGTCAGCAACAACCAGGGCTCTGTTAGGCTTTAAATCACTCATAGTCGGGGAGACAGTGCACCTCTGTGGTAGCTGCCACTGAAGAAGGAGAACATTCCTTCTCAGAAGTTCCTAGAAGTCTGCTTTAATCTCGTTTAATCTCGTTTGCCTGGATTGGGTCATGGGCTGACCCTCAAATGAATCCTTGTAGCTAAAGGACTGTGCAGGCCACACTGGGTCCACATGGCTGGGAGGGGTCAGCCCAATGCTGGTTGGTCACTGGGGCCACCACTGGGAGTCCTCTGCCCAGCAGAATTCACAGTGCCCCGAGGCAGGAGTTGAGACAGGCAGATAATTACCCTGCAATGAGATCGGAGCTGGGGTGGGGAAGTGAAGGGGGCTGCCACTCAGGCAGGTGTAGGGGTGTCCACAGAAGAGTCCCAGCAGGAGCTACGGGCCTGGGCCTAAAGGATGAACGGGAGGTTAGAGGGCAAAGGAGAGGAGAGATGGAAATAATTTTGGGTAGAAGGAGCATCAAGAAGTTTTTCAGAAGCCTGAAGTAACAATTAGTATTGAAGAGTCTTCTTAACAAAAATTGGCTAAGTAACTACAAGAACTGCAAGATTGAAATACCGGAAAAGAGACTTCCTCTCCAGATCTTGTGGCTAACTTCCCAGTGATTACCTGGGTGCTGGACTAAGGCATCTCTGAGTATCTCCCCAGTGAACGATTCCACACCCTTCAGCAGGAGCACAGTGAGTTCCGTTGCTTATCAGGAGCTATGTGCTTCTGGAAGGAAAGGACTGTCTATTCGGTCTTCAGTCTAACATCCTTAGCTTTTTCTCTTTTTTTTTTTTTTTTTTTTTTTTGAGACGGAGTCTCGCTCTGTCGCCCAGGCTGGAGTGCAGTGGCATGATCTCGGCTCACTGCAAGCTCCGCCTCCCGGGTTCACGCCATTATCCTGCCTCAGCCTCCCGCGTAGCTGGGACTACAGGCGCCCGCCACCATGCCCGGCTAATTTTTGTATTTTTAGTAGAGACGGGGTTTCACCATGTTAGCCAGGATGGTCTCGATCTCCTGACCTCGTGATCTGCCCGTCTCGGCCTCCCAAAGTGCTGGGATTACAGGCGTGAGCCACCGTGCCCGGCCCCTAACATCCTTAGCTTTAAACTAAATGCAAAGGATGCTTACTGGGTCCTGTTCAAAGATGAGAGGTGTGTACAGTTTCAAACATAACCTTCCCCAGGGACTTTCAGAATCTTGACCTACATGGCATTGCAGAGATTACGTCTTTCTAGCAGTCAAAATAAAACAAACATTAAATAGAAATGAAAAACCAAAATAGAAATTTGAAAATTCCCCCAAATCCCACACCAAACCCCAAGTCCTCGTTTTCTGGCTTGAGAGGGAATATTGAGGGTTGGTGTGGAAGGGTCCCACTGTGCCAACACTGTGTGTAGCCTGCTTGTTCAGGGCCGGTTTTTGTTTTCGGCCTTGACACCTCAGAGTCAGGATTACTTGGTAATTTTGCTGCAGCTGCCAAGAGCTGGGCCTGAGCATGAATTGGCAGCATCCCCAGGCAGGGGGTGGAGAAAGGGATTCAGCCCAGGGGCCTGTTCATCTCGTGAGGTTCTGCCACTGATGCACAACCTTCTTCCCACCTGAACTCCTCCAGTGCCATCTCCTCGCCGTGGCTGGGCTGCTGTAACGCTACAAATCTAAAAGTGTTGTGCTGCTGCTTAAGCCCTGGCAAGGCTTCCCCTTGCCTTAGCCTCAGTACCTTCGTAGAACCTGCAAAGCCTTGGGTGCCCTCACAAGCTCTTTCTCCAGTCACTGGCACTCTCTCTCTCCCTCAAAGAAACCCACCCCTCCCGCCTTAGCGCCCTAGCTGGATGTTCCCCAGCCTCCTCCCACCTGGTGACCGCATTTCACCCTTCAGCCCTCAGCTTCCATCTCCTGCTTTGGCCCATTCTGTACCCATCACGGGCCTCTCTGCATGTCCAACTCTCTTCCCTTCGCTTCATGCTCTCTCCCTGTTCCTCTCTGCCTGCCTTTGGGATCCCAGGGCACCTGAGTTTCCTCCTCTGTGGCAATGGGACTGAGGCACAGGACTTGAGTCCTTAGACTGTGATTAAGCACAGATACCACCTGGAAGTCTGGATTCAGATCCTGATCCTGCTTTCATCACCAACTGAGAAGTCACATGACTACTCAGAGCTTCAGCTTCCCCATCTGTAAGATGCTGGGAAGAATGTCGACTTTATAGGGCTGCTGGGAGAATTCACTGAGAATACGGACATGCAGACCACAGTATTGGACACTGCAGGCTCCCAGCAAATGTTCCTTTCCTTTTCTCTAAGTAAGGTGGGAAACTCGTGCATATCTAGGATCGCATTGCCCAATGTTCATGTGTGACATGGGCAAGTGCATCTACATAAATGTGGGCTTGGGATTGAGAAGATTTGGATCAACAGCTGGTGGCACCACTGACCAGCCAAATAGTGTCAGAAACTCCATGAGCCTCAGAGTCTGTGTCTATGAATATGGTAATAATGTTAATACCTTCCAGGGTTGCTTTAAGGACTACGTAAGTTAATATATGAAAGTATTTTGTAATCCTTGGAGTTTAAAAATTGTCATAACCCAGCACTTGTGATTATCTTGCTTTCTCAGCACTCACTTGGGTGAGCTTTGCCTTGCAGCAGGTCTTTTAGTGCCTTCGTCCAGCCCCTTGGTGGTGTTGAGCACAGAGATGACATTTGATAAGAGTTTTCTGGCGCCATGAGAGCGACAGACACAGAGCTGTGCCAGACACCTCAGGGGAGGACCTGCTGCCCAACTGTAGGGGTGGTCTGCTGCCTCCCCCAGCTGTCAGCCCCTCCGGTTTGGCCTCACACCTTCCCGGAAGCAGCTTGCTTCTGGTGACTGAGCTGGGTGGGGCGTGAGGGCTGAGGTTGTTGGAGCTGCCTGGCAGCTCTCTTCTCTCCCTCCCCTCCCATCCCTCCCTCCGCAGGCCTGCCCCCAGGAGGCTTCCCCACAGCATCCTGCATGGTGAACTCTTCAGAGCCTGTGACTCAGAGAACCCAGGCCGAGACATCCAGTGTCCAGCTAGATTTGACCCTTGCAAGCCTTCACAGATATGACTCCACGGGTTGTCTCTGTGCACTCGAATTGAGAATCCTCTCTGTTGTCATTGTTCAAGAAATAAAACACCTGGGTTGTTGCATGTTATGCTGGTCTTTGACAGGGAAAGGAACATTCCTTCCTGGGTGGCTCATGTCATCGTGTGTGTTCAGCATTGTCATTAGGCTGCTGTTTGGGAGAAAGTTTCCAATGACAGGAACAGTTGAAGAGCTTAGTCTCTATTCTCTTAACTCTATTAACCTTAATTCAATTATTTTCCTGCAAGAAACCGAGAATTCCTACATCACCTAAGGTGTTTCAGAATATAAAAATAATCAAAATATTTCCCCAGTTTATTAAACAAAGTTAGGGTAACTTATATACCAAAATCTGATAAAGACAGTATGAAGACAGGAACACTGCACATCAAATCCAGCAGCATTTTAAAAGAATAATGCCCGGTGGCACCAGGGCTCTCAGGGAGGCTGCGTCCTGCCGGGGAAAGTGCTTGGGCTCTGAGTCAGTCGGGGCTCAGCTCTCTAGCGCTGGAAGCTGGAGCTTGCTAAGTCACCTCTCCCAGCACCGGCTCCTTCCATTGCGAGAGGAGAAACCCACTTCTAGGGTTTCGTAAAGGTTGAGGAAGGTAATTCCTGTGCAGCACTCAGGGTCACCCCTGCACATAGGGCCCCTGGGCCAGCCGCCCTCACCACTGTGGGAGGCCGCCTGCTGTGGTCCAGCTGCTCATCTTGCACAGAGCCCTCCATTTTGAGCACTTTCCTGGGACACCAGGACCTTTTGCAGAGCCCTCTCTGATCTGATCTTGGATGTGAGGACTATATGTGGGAGTGCTTGACCCTGCTGATGTTTTCAACACACGGAAATGGGTTCCCTCCCTCACACCACATTCCCAATATGTATTCTCAACATTCAGAACCTCCTTCTAGAATTCCACCCTGTGGCTCCCAGCACGGCTTGGGACTCCAGTGGCGTGAGGCCAGCCAGACTGTGGTCCCCACACTTGAAATACTGGAAGGTTGTGATCATCTGCAAAGCCCAAGGAAAGCTCTGGTAGTGATATGGCCCCGTGCATCCTGCCCTGGCTTGCAGGGCAGTGGCACTTCTGCTTATTGTGAGTATAATGATTCTTTTGGGGGTTGAAGGTCAGTTTTAGGTGTCAGAGAAGGAGTGGGGTCCAGAAACTATTGCGAAAGGCCAGGATATTTGGTGAGAGGACATCCTTTGTTCTTTTTTGCTGGAGTAAGGAAAGCCTGTGTGGTTGATAAAGCCTGGCATGGCATGTGTAGTCCTGGAGGAGGGGTGAGAGCCTTGGGCAAAGAGGGGCGTGGTAGGGCCACAGATGAGGGCTCCCAGGCACTGGGCCTCCTTCCCAAAGAACAATCATCAGGACATCCCAGAGACCACTGTCCAGGAGAAACGGGGTGACAAGCCCTCTTTGAGCTCGGGAGCATTTTAATCAGTGCTCAAGAGGAAGAGAAAAGAAACAAAAAGTGCAACCAGCCAGAAAAACAACCAAGCAGCTACCCACCCAACCACCCATCCACCCACCCACTGACCCAACCAACCACTCCCCCACCCAACCACCTATCCATCCACCCACCGACCCAACCAACCAACCAACCAACCACCCACACAACCACCCATCCACCCAACCCACTGACCCAACCAACCAAACCAAGCAACCACCCACCCAACCACCCATCCACCCACCCACTGACCCAACCAACCTAGCAACCACTCACCCAACCACCCATCCATCCACCCACTGACCCAGCCAACCAACCAACCAACCAACCACCCTCCCAACCACCCATCCACCCACCCACTGACCCAACCAACCAACCAAGCAACCACCCACCCAACGACCCACCCACCCACCCACTGACCCAACCAACCAACCAAGCAACCACCCACCACCCACCCACCCACTGACCCAACCAACCAACCAAGCAACCACCCACCTACCCAACCAACCCCCACTTACCCAATCAACCAACCAAGCAACCATCCACTCACCCAACCAACCACCCACCCACCCAAGCAACCAATCAACGAACCAAGCAACCACCCACCTACCCAACCAACTACCCCCCACCCACCCAAGCAAGCGAGCAAGCGAGCAAGCAACCAAGTAACCATCTACTCACTCAACCAAGCAACCACCCACCTACCCAACCAACCAATCAACCAACCAAGCAACCACCCACCTACCCAACCAACCAATCAACCAACCAAGGAACCACCCACCTACCCAATCAACGAACCCCCCACCCAACCAGCCAAGCAACCAAGTAACCATCCACTCACCTAACCAATCAACCAATCAACCAATCAGGCAACCACCCACCTACCCAACTAACTAACCCGTAACCACCCAACCAACCAAGCAAGCAACCACCTGCTCACCCAACCAACCAATCACCAAACAAGCAACCACCCACCCACCCACTCAACCAACCAACTACCCAACCAAGCAACCACTCACCCAACCAACCATTCAACCGACCGACCGACCGACCGACCGACCCACCGACCCGACCGACCAACCAACCAACCAAGCAACCATCCAACCATTCAAGAGTGTGTTCGGGGGGATTTTCGCTCGGGGCTGACGCGGTTCTCTGGCCGCTGTGCCGTGCTGGGCCACTAGGTGGCAGCGGAGGCCGCCCGGAGCGACAGCCGGCGGTGCGGAGGCGGGCCCGGCGCGGGCAGGCAGGAGGCTTAAAGCCCCGCAGAGCCGCAGCCGCCTAGCTGGGGGAGAGGCCCGTCCGGGGCTGGCTCTGAGCGCCGCACGGCCGTCGGATCCCGGGGACGCCGGGGGCCCGGGCTGAGCGCCGCGGCCCGCGAGGAGGAGCACCGGTAAATAGCCACAACTTTCTATCTCCTTGAGATCCTGAGAATAAATGCAAAATCGCGCTTCCGCTGCATGTGGAAGTGAGCGGGGCGGCAGCTAGCTTGCCCCGTGAGTTTTTAACACAGCTCGATATGATGTTTAGTATAATTGCATAATTTACCGATATATCTGAGCTGGAACTCAGCTGTAACAAATGATTGTAGTTCAATAAATGCTTAGATTACCAATTTTTTCCTTTTTTATTTTTATAGATTTAGGGGGTACAGGTGCTGTTTTGTTATATGGATGTATTGCATAGTGGTGGAGACTGGGCTTTTAGTGTAGCCATCACCCCTATAGTGTACATTGTACCTATTAAGTAATTTGTTGTCCCTCACCCCCTCCCTCCCTCCCAAAGTGATTACAAATATTAATGATGACAGTGATGACAGAAATTCTCTCCAGATGTGATCTGAGTTTGGAGGGCAAAGGGATTTTTGAAAATGAATCATAAGAGAGAAATTTTGCAACAAAGGAGTGTGGTACATTTAAATTGCTGTTTTTTTTTTTAAATACTGTGCTCACGCGGACCTAATAAACTATCAAGCAGACCTCATGGAATTCCACATAATGCAGAAGCGAGGGAAAAATAGGTATTGAGGGAAAAGCAGCACTGTTTTCCTCAATTTTAACACGTATGTGCAGCCTACACTTACAAACTTAAGACAGTAGCTTTTAACATGTGACTTTGCTCAGGGTAACAGACCATTCTGGTTATAGCCTTACTTACAGCTGTGGAGGCTGAATCCTGATGGGTCTAAGAAGTGTCAGGACAAGTGTTAGGGATGCACCTGTCTGTCTGTCTTAAGGGAATACGGGTCTGGGCAGTCTTAAATCGGAGCTCCCTTGAGGAGAATGTCGTGCAGTAGCCTTAGGAATGTGAACATTGGGAGACTGGCTGGGATTTTGTAGGTTATGAGTTGGGGACACTTATGATAGTGAACTTGAGCCCAGGAGAGAAGCCATAAAAAGTGAAACTGTCCTGGGCACTTGGAGGTGAGTGTCTCTCTAGTAAGATGCATGTGAAAGGCTGGGAGCTGAAAGCAAGGAGAGCAGAAGAGGCTGGTGAAGATTCTAATCTGCGTGTCCAGGGGCACTCTTCCAGGTCTCAGGAACGCAGGTCAGAATGTGCAAGCCAGCTGCCGGGCACGTGGCTCACCCCTGTAGTACCAGCACTTTGGGAGGCTGAGAGAGAAGATCGCTTGTGGCCAGGAGTTTGAGACCAGACTGGGCAACATAGGGAGACCCTGTCTCTTAAAAAAAAAAAAAAAAAAGGACTGAGTGAGCCGAGCCCAGTCCTCTGATGCACTGTGTCATTCATCCCCTTTCTTAGGCTGTGTTGGTTCTAGGCTAGCTGCTGTCTTTCTTTGGTAGGCTGCTAACCTCTTTGGATTGTGAATTTAAAACATGTTTTACAGTAAATTTGCTGCCAAGACAAGAGGTGTATTTCTCCAGCAATGAATTCCTCATTTCACCTGCATTTCTTGGATCTCAACCTGAATGCCACAGAGGGCAACCTTTCAGGACCCAATGTCAAAAACAAGTCTTCACCATGTGAAGACATGGGCATTGCTGTGGAGGTGTTTCTCACTCTGGGTGTCATCAGCCTCTTGGAGAACATCTTGGTCATAGGGGCCATAGTGAAGAACAAAAACCTGCACTCCCCCATGTACTTCTTCGTGTGCAGCCTGGCAGTGGCGGACATGCTGGTGAGCATGTCCAGTGCCTGGGAGACCATCACCATCTACCTACTCAACAACAAGCACCTAGTGATAGCAGACGCCTTTGTGCGCCACATTGACAATGTGTTTGACTCCATGATCTGCATTTCCGTGGTGGCATCCATGTGCAGCTTACTGGCCATTGCAGTGGATAGGTACGTCACCATCTTCTACGCCCTGCGCTACCACCACATCATGACGGCGAGGCGCTCAGGGGCCATCATCGCCGGCATCTGGGCTTTCTGCACGGGCTGCGGCATTGTCTTCATCCTGTACTCAGAATCCACCTACGTCATCCTGTGCCTCATCTCCATGTTCTTCGCTATGCTGTTCCTCCTGGTGTCTCTGTACATACACATGTTCCTCCTGGCGCGGACTCACGTCAAGCGGATCGCGGCTCTGCCCGGGGCCAGCTCTGCGCGGCAGAGGACCAGCATGCAGGGCGCGGTCACCGTCACCATGCTGCTGGGCGTGTTTACCGTGTGCTGGGCCCCGTTCTTCCTTCATCTCACTTTAATGCTTTCTTGCCCTCAGAACCTCTACTGCTCTCGCTTCATGTCTCACTTCAATATGTACCTCATACTCATCATGTGTAATTCCGTGATGGACCCTCTCATATATGCCTTCCGCAGCCAAGAGATGCGGAAGACCTTTAAGGAGATTATTTGCTGCCGTGGTTTCAGGATCGCCTGCAGCTTTCCCAGAAGGGATTAAGCACAAAGTGCTCCTCTCTGTGGCTCTGTTCTCCTTTGTTTGCTCACCTATGACAAAGCGACAGCCAAGGGGTAGGCGGGAGTGCTAGCATCCCATTTTTCTCTTTACCAGCTCAGACATGGGCCTAAGAGGCTCTCTCTGTTCAGTTCCTGGTGATTATGTCCAACATGCAAGGGTTGCTTATCCACTCTGGGGACAGTCATGACAATTTCTTACTGTCCTTTTGTGTCCTATGGTTTCTACTGCTCCCACCCATTTCTGGGGGCCCCATCCACCCTCCACCTAGCAGGCATGTGCTCGGGGAATGCACAGCACCCTCAGTGCAAGCCAGACATGATGAAACACGTATTGTGACGCGAAGAAAACCGTGATATCGACGCCAGGTGGGATTGCTTCTTCTCCCCAGAAGCAGGTCCACACTCTGCTGGCTGCACTCTGAGCTATGCATGCTTTTCAGGGAAGAAAAGAGTGGCCAGATTCTTTCCATCAGAAGCAATCTGTTCATTTGTTCTGAAATGTCTTCTTTGCTCCCCTTGCCTGAACTTTTGATTCATGGCTTTTGTTCATAATTGTCTGAATAATTGTACTTCTGTCAATCATGGTGTTGCGCTTACCCAGACATAAAACCTTATGCTAGAAACCCTGCCTCATGTGCTGTGGAAGACTCTGTGACTCTTTCTTACTGTCTTATTTGGGCTCAATCTGGGGTTTCCAAAAGGATGACTGGGGGCATTACAGGGGCTCAAGGAGTTCAAGGTGCCCAGTGCTGCAAGTAGCACACGTCCACAGCCAGGCTTGCTTTGAGTGGCTCACACCGGATCTGTGTTGGAGTCTGAACTCTGGCCTGTGTACTTGGAGGCATGTCAATCTCATTTCAGCAGCCAACAAAGGTCAGGGCCCAACCTATAGCCCAGGGAGCCCCATCTTCTCCCAACCTAGACTGGAGCAGAGAAACCCGAGTTCAGGTGCTAATTCTGCCTTTCACTGCTGTGTGGCGTGAATCATCTTATTTCAGGTTCCACATCTGTGCTGACTGTACACGATGGCCATGAGAACTGCAAAATTGTGTGAGCTTCTTGTAAATTTGTAAAGCACTATAGGGTTTGCTTTTTATTTTAAAGAAATGCTCGGATTAGAGGTGTGAGCCAGAGGTTGCAGTGAGCCAAGATTGCACCATTGCACTCCAGCCTGGGCAACCATTCAAGACTCTGTCTCAAAAAAAAAAAGAAAGAAAAAGAAAAAGAAAAAGAAATGACTAGATGGGGTAAATACTAAGGAAGGACACGGGGGCCAATGGTCAGAGCAGTGGCCTGGACACCAGGAGGCTTGTGTGGTCCTTCTCTGAAGCAAAGGGCTGGAGTCCTTGCAGCTCTCACAGTCCACTCTTGTAATAACTTTTGGTATGATTCCTATTTTCTGCTTTGTATTGGACATTCACATCTAGACTGCACCCAATGAAAAAAATGTATATAAAGCAGAGGACCATTGGGTCACACAACAGTGAGCTGCTAGTGCAGAAGAGGGACCCTTCCTGTTGAGGCCTGCCAGGACAGAGGGGCTTCCTGGGTGTAGCCATATCAATAACTTATGCACTTGACCCCTGCCCCTGGAAATGCAGAGTCCAGGAAAGAAACGGTGCTGGCATGAACAGGAGTGTGCATAAGACATCCAAATCATTTGAAAACTGGCAAATTAGCAGGCTGTTGGCAACTGAGTTTTGAAGGGGCAGCTATCTTTTCAAATGTTTCCTGTTCCTTTTTGCTGAAAATTCATGTGTGTATCCACGAATGGGCAGTAAGTGGTCCCGTGTAACCACCATGGGGAACCACAGTGCATTGTTCCCGTGGGATGTGTCTCAGGAGCCTGGCTTCTGTGAAAGCTGGCCTCTCTTCTGCCCCACGCATCTCGGTGGCCCCATGTCCTACAGCAGCTTCAGGCATGGAGCAGGTGCACCAGGAATGCTTGTTATTGTTGCAAAACAAATGTGTATTGACTCTTCTGCCTGCTAGACCTGAGTACTAAATGAGTTCCAATCCTATGGGCAGAAACTTCAACCCTGTGGTTGACACTGGCCCCGTCTAGGAACCCAATTCTCTTTAGGCTAATTTTCTGCTCTGGTGCTTCATGAGTTGCTACAAGATCTGACCTTTCATAAAAAGGTCTTTATGGAAATGCTCAAATGCCTTTTAATCTTTATAAATAGTGCAGAAATAACCCTAGTATTTAGATGTGTCTTCATTTGGAAGGAATACATGTGTGTAGTGACTTGGTAAATATCTGTACATAAATGAGCCAACCCTTAGCACCCAACACAAAGTGTCTCCCCCAAAAAGAATATATATAACTGTCAAATATTGTATGATATGGTATGTTAAATATCTGCTTCTGTAGGAAATTTGTTTGATGTAAAAACGTGTGTTCAAGGAAATGGTTAATAAAATGGAAGGAGCAGACCACCTGTTTGAACTGGTCATTCTGATATCCAGAATGGTTTTGGTCTTTCTGCCAATTCGTTAGCAGCTACTGCAAAATGAGAAGGCACATTCGTTGGTGACTTGTGGTGAAGTCTCCTTGACAATATTTATTGCCTGTAGGATGGCCATGTCTCAGACCAAAATGATATAACACCTACAAATAAAATAAAATTGCACACTTGACCTTATATACTGTGCAAAAGTCTGTGTCTTAGTGAGCAAGCATTTTAGGGATATCACCTAGCATGTGCTCACAGTGGGGCTAGAAGCAGTGGCCATTAGAGAATCTCTGCCATCAGTGAGTTTATAGGACATTAGTTATTTCAAGACATGACAGATTTCCAGATCCTACACATCAATAAAATTAGATGACTCTGAGCATGTCTTGTGTTTTTCTGCTTCCAGATTGTGTTGAAGCTGCACAATCTTCAGGGCACACCGTCTATACCCATATGAATCTTAACGTTCATCCCAGATGCCTTTCTTCTAGGAGGCCCTTTTGACCTCCATAATTATACCTCACAATGGCACACATTCTGCTGGGTACTCCGGAGAGTAGATTGTTTTTATGTCCTTTGCCAGAACACAAGCATCTTTGTGAGAAGGGATTTGTGTCAGGGCAGTGCTGTCCAACAGAACCTTCCACGATGATGGGAATGTTTTGTCTCTGCTTTGTCCACTATAGTAGCCACTAGCTACATGTGGCAGTTGAGCTTTTAAAATGTGGCCAGTGTGACTGAGGACCTGAATTTTTTTTTTTTTCTTTTTGAGACAAAGTCTCACTCTGTCGCCCAGGCTGGAGTGCAGTGGTGCTATCTTGGCTCACTGCAAGCTCCACCTCCTGGGTTCACGCCATTCTCCTGCCTCAGCCTCCCAAGTAGCCGGGACTACAGGTGCCCGCCACCATGCCTGGCTAATTTTTTTTTTCTATTTTTAATAGAGATGGGGTTTCACTGTGTTAGCCAGGATGGTCTCGATCTCCTGACCTCGTGATCTGCCCACCATGGCCTCCCAAAGTGCTGGGATTACAGGCATGAGCCACCGCACCCAGTCCTTGAATTTTAATTTAATTTAATTTTAGTTAATTTATATTTAAATAACTGCATGTGGCTAATGACTACCATATTGGACAGCACAGAGTTAGAAGCTGGTTTGTTACACGTAACAGAAAACCTGCAGAAATCCAGTGACGTGGCCAAGATGAAAGTTTATTTCTCTTTTACAGAGAAGAAGTTGGGAGGTAAGGATTTCAAGGCTAGAATGGAGCTCAAAGGCACAATAAAGAATCCAGACTTCTATCTTTTTTTAAAAAAAGAGATGAGGTCTTGCTGTGTTGCCCAGGCTAGTCTTGAACTCAAGTGGTCCTCTTGCCTCAGCCTCCTGAGTAGCTGGGACTATGTGTACCACCATGCCTGGCTTCTATCATTGTTTAAGGTCAATTCATGGCCCAAAAGGGCTGCTGGAGCTCCAGCCATAATAGCTGAATTACAGGTTAGAACAGGAGAGGCAGTCAGGAATGGCAGCTTTTCATCACAGGTGTTCTTCATCATCCTGGGAAATCATCTCCTCTTATTTCTTTGATTAATTTTTTTTCTTTTTCCATTTCTCTTTTTCTCTTTTCATGACTCGTATTAGTCAAACATGGGTCCATCGGCATCCATCTTCCATGTCCCTGAATCTTTCTCGTACTACCTGCTTCCTCTCTTGTCTTTTTTTTATGTGTTCTGAAAGACTTCTTCAACTTTGTCTTTTCCCCCACCTCTTCTATTGAATTTTAATTTGGTAACTATATTTTTAATTTCTGTGACTTTCTATTTATCCTTTCCTTGCCTTCTTTTTATAGCAAGCTGTTCCTGCATTCATAGACCCATATCTTGTCTATTTTTTCTGAAGACTGTCATTAGATTTTTTAAAACTCTGTCATCTGACTTGAATCATTTGTTTCCTCCAAAGTCAATTGTCCTGTTTATCATGCTCCTTCTCATGGGTAAGGCTCATTTCCCTCAGCTGCTGGGTGAACCTGGATTGTCCACGAAGGAGTGGGCTTGATTGATTTAGTACTTGCATGGGTCCGTGCAGCTCTGCTGGATGAAAACAGCTGGTTGTGCAGCTCTGTGGTGGTGTGTGGAGCCCATCTGGTGGCAGAGGTTACGTGAAGGGTGTCTAGCTGCACCCTGTCTGCTAATAGAATAGCCTGTTCTATTAGCCTGTCTGAGCTAAAATGAGAGAGAATTTACTATGGGGATCGGTTCTTCATGCTGGGAATGCAGCTCCCCCTAGGCATCCTCCTGGGTGCTTTGGGGGTATGATTTTGCATTCACTCTGAGGGCACCCTGGGGAGATCGGTGTGGAACGGCCATGCCACAGTTCTGCATGTGCTCCTTCTGTGGGTCCCCTCAATTGTTTCATATCCTTCCATCCTGGCTCTCAACTGCTGACCCTGACGGCTCCCTCCCTGGTTCTCTCTTGTGTGCCTTGGGCTGGGGCTTCCTTTAGTCTGTTTTTCTGTCAATCCACCCCACCCGCACTCCAGCTTCTAAAATTCTTCCCAAGTTTAGTCCTCTGTTGTCTCCTCTTCTGTTCTCAGAACTTTTATAAATTAGTTTTCCTTTATATAAACTTTTTACTGTCATTTCTGTGGATTTTCAGAAAGGAGTGGAGGTAGAGGTATAATCTGCAATGAGGAGTGAGGAATCCTTTCAGTACATTTTTAGAAGATGGTTGGGGCTAGCAAGATCCATCCTGTAGGCAAAGCAGAAAAGCAGGAGACCACCCAGGACCCAGGCCTAGCTCTAAGCTGGCTCTATTTAGAAGCACAGTCATGCCCGGGACGGGAGCCTTTGCCAATGTCAACAAGGGGAAGGAGTCGTGCCTCACCCTGGCTCCTTGATCAGTCTTTCTTCTTGTCCTGGACCATACATAACTAGAGAGAGCAAAGCAATCGGTGACTTCAAATGGAGATCATAACCCAGAACAGAGAACACAGGTAGGCAGCGCCACATCTCAGAGTCCCTGTCAGGAGACGTCCACTCATCTGTTCGGCGCAGACTGGTCCCTTTAAAGTTAATGGTCAAACTCTTTTTTGCCAGCAGGTGGTGGTAAACTTACCTCAAAATTTTTGTGTCTTCCACTAACCCTCTGACCAGCCAGTTAATGAGTTAAAACAACCCCAGGTGAGAATTCTTTCCAAGGCCTCAGTGCTTAAAAACTGCTTAAGTCCGGGCATGGTGGCTCACTCCTGTAAACTTGGCACTCTGGGAGGCAGAGGCGGGCAGATCGCTTGAGGCCAGGAGTTCGAGACCAGCTTGGGCAACACAGTGGGACCCTCACCTCTACAAAAAATAAAATAATTACTGGGCATGGAGGCGTGTGCCTGTAATCTCAGGTACTTGGGAGGCTGAAGTGGGAGGATCACCTGAGCCTGAGAAGTCGAGGCTGCTCCAGCTTTGGTGATGGAACAAGACCCTGTCCCGGGAAAAAAAAAAAAAAGCTATTCAAAAAATTTTTTGAGTGCAAATTGCAAGGTTTTGAAAGCATTATCTCATTTAATCCTCTAACCATATTAAAAATAGATAAATATGGCCAGGTGCAGTGGCTCATGCCTGTAATCCCAGCACTTTGGGAGGCTGAGGCGGGTGGATCACCTGTGGTCAGGAGTTTGAGACCAGTCTGGCCAACATTGTGAAACACCGTCTCTACTAAAAATACAAAAAATTAGCCAGGCGTGGTGGTGGGCGCCTATAGTCCTAGCTACCTGGGAGGCTGAGGCAGGAGAAATGCTTGAACACGGGAGATGGAGGTTGCAGTGAGCTGAGATCATGCCATTGTACTCCAGCCTGGGCAACAAGAGCGAGACTGTCTCAAAACAAAAACAAACAAAAAACCAAAACAAAAATTGATAAATATTACTATGCCTAATGCCTCCCTAAGGAGACTGATGCTTATAGAGATTAAAGAACTTGTCTAAGCTTCTACTCCTAATTTGTAGTTGTCTTTTAATTCAAATTTAGGGGTTTCAGAAGTTGCCCCATTTCTTTGTTGAGTCCATGGATTTCTATGCTCTCTTTGGGTTCCTGCTGCTGTCTGCATGGGCCCAGTTTGATTCCTTCATCAGGACTCTGACTGCATAGCCTTCCATCCCCTGCCGTGTGTGTGTGTGTGTGCGTGTGCATGTTTGTGTGCACACGTGTGTGTTGGAGGGGCAGGGTAGAGACGGGATGAGAGGTGACAGGCAGCTGAGGTTCCAGATAAAAGTGACTGGTAAGAGCAGATGCCAGGGGTGGCTGTAAAAATTCTGGTCTAGATCCAGCTTCCTCCAGAAGCTGATAGTGTGGCTCCCTCATGGCTAGCTGTTCAGGATTGCTACATTAGATGGCATGGCCTCTAAATAGTGGTTCCTCCTCAGCATGTGGGGGAGGCTGGTGCTGTGCTTACTCCAACCCCTTCTTCTGGGATTGTCTCCCCAGCTCCTCCCCACCAGACATGAGTGATAGGAGGAGGGTCCTTCATAAAACCCACTATGCAGGGGCTGCAGCTGGAGGCACTGTGGCTGAGGCATCTTTCCAAGTCTTTCCTTGATGGCCCTGGGTGCAATACTCCTTACAGATGGCTAGAACATCGTCAAAATATCCTCTCAGTAGTTTTTTGAAGTTTCTGCATTAATGCCAGTTTTTTGGGATGACACTGTCTTCCAGGGCCCACAATCGTTTATTTATTCAGCAAGTAATTATTGAGTACTGATATTAGGAGCATAGCAGGAAGTAAGATGCAGCTTCTTCCCTGAAAGGGTCCATGCCTGCGTTAAACTGGAGCAAAGAAGTGGAACTGGAAGAGTTATTTGTTATTTAAATAAATGATTTGAAGAAACAGTCCATAGGCATTTGATGCAAATAATTCTCAAGCATATGAAAAGATTTACGACATTTGTTTTTGTTTTTTTGTTTCAAGTTTCTGGTGAGTTTAATTTTATACCAAGCACGGATCCACGACATTTCTTATAGAAAGATGCAAGTCCAGATTACTTTGTGATACCATTTTCAGCTATCAGAAGTCAACAATCCAAAGGTTTGTTAACACACTGCTGATGAGGCTGTAGGGAGCTTGGCCCACTTCTCTGTTGCTGGGAGAAGTGTAAGTTGGTACAATTACTAAAATGCAAAATATGGCAACATCTGTAGCCATAAAATTGATCAATGCACATGCCGTTGGACCCAGCATTTCACTTATGGGAATTCATCCTACAAATGTAGTAGCACAGAGGTGAAACTACATATGTAAATGGTTGCTCATACAGCACAGACTGTAACAGCAAAAGACTGGAAGCAATCCAAATATTAATCCTGCGTTTTCTGACCCCTGTCTGAATGTCAGTTTAATTAAGCCTTATGAATGTTGAGTAAGGTTTGGGAACACAGGCTCCTTCTACTTCATTTAGCCTTGGGTTAACAAATGGCAAATGAGCGGATGTCTCACTGATTTCTCACGCTGCTATACTTCCGAGAAAACACAGATTCCGAGATTAGGACTGAAGTCACAGTCAGAGATTTGTAACTGTATGTTTTGGCATTTGGTACTAGCAAATCTAACACCTGCCTGAAAACCACGAATAGAGCTCTAATTACTGAGCCCATATTGGCTTGTTTCCTCTAAGTACTGGCTTTTTACTGCCTGTCGGCTTAATAAACATCCAAATTCCTCTGTGAGTAGGAGTCACCCAGGTGAGGGTGAGGAAAGACCCCGGGCAGGAGAAAGAGTGGGTGCAGAGGTCTAGAGCAGCAGTCCCCAGTCTTTTGGGAACCGGGAACCTGTTTTGTGAAAGACAATTTTTCCATGGACAGGACTGGGGTTGGGAGGTGGGATGGTTTTGGGATGATTCAAGTGCATTACGTTCATTGTGCACTTTATTTCTATTATTATTACATTGTAATATGTAATGAAATAATTATACAACTCACCATAATGTAGAATCAGTGGGAGCCCTGAGCTTGTTTTCCTGCAACTAGATGGTCCTATCTGGGGGTGATGGGAGATGGTGATGGATCATCAGGCATTTGATTCTCATAAGGAACACATAACCTAGATCCCTCACATGTGCAGTTCACAGTAGGGTTCACGCTCCTATGAGAATCTAATGTTGAGGAGGCTGATCTGACAGGAGGCAGGGCTCACGCAGTAATGCTTGCTTGCCTCTGCTCACCTCCTGCTGTGCGGCTTGGTTCCTAATTGGTCTGGTCTGTGGCTGGGGGGATGGGGACTCCTGGTCTGGAGGGACTGCACGTGGCCACAGCAGAAGTCCCCACAAAGTGAGCACCCGGCCCACGGCTGTGCAAGATGAATCCCTGGAGTTACAGAAGGAAATATTATCTAAATAGCTATGCTTTACTGATTTAAAAATAAAATCAGCAATAAGATGTGTATATAATTGGTAAATACGTACTCAAAATATATGACTGGTAAAAATACACAGAAAATTATCTACTGATAAAGATTCATGATGGAAGAGTTTGGACACCAGAAGAAAGAATGCGGAGACGAAAGGAGAGTCCATGGGGCTGAAACCGAGACAGATGGGTAGTAGATGCACAGTCCCCATTTTAAAGAGGTTCTATTTCCTCCTAAGGGTAATAGGAGCTTATCAAGGGGTTTTCCACCAGGAAGTGAATAACACGACAAGAGTTTATATAAATCATGCTGCTATAAAGACACATGCACACGTATGTTTATTGCGGCACTATTCACAATAGCAAAGACTTGGAACCAACCCAAATGTCCAACAATGATAGACTGGATTAAGAAAATGTGGCACATAATACACCATGGAATACTATGCAGCCATAAAAAATGATGAGTTCATGTCCTTTGTAGGGACATGGATGAAATTGGAAACCATCATTCTCAGTAAACTATGGCAAGAACAAAAAACCAAACACCGCATATTCTCACTCATAGGTGGGAATTGAACAATGAGATCACATGGACACAGGAAGGGGAATATCACACTCTGGGGACTGTGGTGGGGTCGGGGGAGGGGGGAGGGATAGCATTGGGAGATATACCTAATGCTAGATGACACGTTAGTGGGTGCAGCGCACCAGCATGGCACATGTATACATATGTAACTAACCTGCATGTTGTGCACATGTACCCTAAAACTTAGAGTATAATTAAAAAAAAAAAAAAAAGAAACATCTCTGGCTCTGGGGTGGCTGTGAGAGTTCAGCCGGTGTCAGGAGGCATCCAGATAGTGTTTCGGTTCCTTGGGCAAGAGGGATGCTGGCCTGGGTGGCTGTGAAGGGGGCAGAGACTGGAGGTGTCCAGTCTGGGGGTAGAATGTGGAAAGTAAGGGGTAGAAAGAAATCAAGACAGCCTGATTTCTGACTAGAGCCGCAGGCAGGGCGTCTCCGGAGATGGGGAAATTCTGTGTAGATATCAGACAGGCAGTTGCGCAAGAGAAGGGCACAGCACGGGCAGTGCCCGCAGTCACAGGATAAGGCTGCACGAGGAGCGACTGCAGGGCGAGGAGCGACAGCTAGATCTGTGGACAAGCTTCCAGAGCCGCGTGCCTGGGGCTGCTACGGAAGCGGGCAGACTCCCCGCCCTGGGCTCTGTCCTGCCCTTCTTGTGCCTGGCCTCTTTCTAGGGAGCCATGGAAACAGTGCTCCTAGGATCCGCCCTCCAGTCCTGCTCTCAGTGAGAACTCAGCGCAGGGCTCCGGACACGGGCAGACGCCGCGCTTTGTCTTCCCGTCTTCCCCTCACCTCAGTGTCCTCTTTCTCTCACGTTCTTTTTTTTTTTTTTTGAGAGGGAGTCTCGCTCTGTCACCCAGGCTGGAGAGCAGTGGCACGATCTCGGCTCACTGGCAAGCTCCGCCTCCCGGATTCACACCATTCTCCTGCCTCAGCCTCCCGAGTAGCTGGGACTGTTGGCGCCCGCCACCACACCCGGCTAATTTTTTGTTGTTGTATTTTTAGTAAAGACGGGGTTTCACCGTGTTAGCCAGGATGGTCTCGATCTCCTGACCTCGTGATCCGCCCGCCTCGGCCTCCCAAAGTGCTGGTATTACAGGCGTGAGCCACCGCGCCCGGCCCTCTCACATTCTTAAGAAGGCACAGTTCCTCCTACTCCTTCAACCCCAAAGAGAAGCCCTCGGGAATATCAGTAATGAAAACAGCACGTTCCCAGGAACTCCCTGGCCCCGCTCCTCCCAGGAACCGTCTCTGCGGTGCTGCAGGCCATGAGCTCCGCTCTGGGTGGGAAATCCAGCCCCTGCCGCGAGGGACCTGGGCCGCTAGGCCAGGAGGCCGTGTCATCCCATTCACAACAGCAACAACGCACCCTTTCCACCGAGGCCTGTCCATGTTTGGGGCTGTTCTCTGCCTCATACAGCAAAGTGTGGGGAGGTGGAGATTGTTTTCTAGGAAGACAAGGTTCTTCCTGGGAGAAAAAAACCTCTTACGCAGTTGGCTTTGGCATTTTCCAGGAAAAGGAGGGCGGGGCTTGAGTCTGGGTTTTCTGTGAAGGCCGAGAAAGAAGGCAAGGATTATAACCGGAAAGTTCAGAGTGGGATGTAGCTACCCCTAGAACTCGTGCTAGTAACTCAGTCTGGGCTTCATAATTGTTGTCAAAGTGAATTCCTTCATAATAAAGAATATATAGTTGCCCTCACAAATTAGATAAATAAGCCTTTCCTCATTTTGTAGGAAGAACTGTGGGGCAGTAGAACACATACTGAGCCCTGGAGCAGGAGACCTGGGTTCTTGCAATTTTTTTTTTTTTTTTTTTTTGAGACAGAGTCTCACTTTGTCGCCCAGCCTGGAGTGCAGTGGCACGATCTTGGCTCACTGCAACCTCCGCCTCCCGGGTTCAAGCAATTCTCCTGCCTCAGCCTCCCAAGTAGCTGGGATTATAGGCATGTGACACCATGCTTGGCTAATTCTTGTATTTTTAGTAGAAATGGGGTTTTGCCATGTTGGCCAGGCTGGTCTTGAACTCCTGACCTCAGGTGATCTGCTCACCTCAGCCTCCCAAAGTGCTGGGTTTACAGGTGTGAGTCACTGCGCCCGGCCGCAATTCTTGTGATATGAAGTAACTGCATATGTTTTGGAAATTCCCTCATTTCAGCTGCACTTGCTGTAAAGGGGAGAGTTTGACTAGGCCTGGTGGTTTTCAAACTTCAGGTGGAGTCCTAGGAGCTCCAGGGGCCAGGGATGTGCCAAGAACCTGGGCAGGAGGAGCCTGGACTCATCAACTCTCTCTGCGGAATGGTCAGTTTCACGGAGAGCAGCTAGGAGCCAGCTGGTCTGTAGATTGTTGAGGTTCCTCCAGTCCTGAAGGCCATGATAGATCTTTTCCTAATATTCTTAGGTACAATTACCATGATACTTAATATGAGACACTGAGAAAGAGAGAGATCCAATACAAATCGATGGCGACATGAGAAGCCAGCTATGTCTTCTGATTCAGGCTACAGGATCACAGACCTCTTATATTTGGCTCCATTGTAGAGTCTGTGTACATAGAAAGGCAACAGGCTCTTCAAAATGATAAGAAAAAGGGCAAGAAAGGCTCTTCCTGAGGGTGCTCTAGCCTCCAGACTCAGGTTTACAAGGCAAGAATGACACAGCCTCTCCCACACCATGTGCATGGACGGAACAGTGCCCGAGGTGGCAGAACAAAAGGTGCAGTGGCACCCATGGCATAGCTGGCGGGGCACCAGCCTTCCCCCACAGTGAGAGGAATGGCCAAGGCTTCGGTACATGCCAAGGATGTGAAGGACGCTGCCGGGGAAAAGCAGTTTACAGGAGGCACCGCTCCTGTGGGTGTCCAGGTTTGTCTGCCTTACACGCCGCCCTTCACAGTAGAAAGGATGGATGCACTCCCACCAACCAAAGGAATGCTGGGGACACGTCGCCTGGATTTTTAGGGCAGCACCCCAAAACCAAGCAAAAGTCTTCTCTCATGGAGAAAATACCTCACTTTTGTGTCCCTGGCACCAGGCTCAAGCCAACTAGACTGAGAACCACAGACCACCCAGGGGTCTGGTGGGTGAGCTAGGTGACTAATTGAGAATGTGTTCAGTTCTGGCCTTTAAAAAAAAAAAAAGAACAGCTGGAAGGCACAATTTTAGAAGCAGGTAATTTTTATTTTATTCCTTTTGATTAAAATGGTCTGAACTGAACCTCAAAGGGGTTCCA
This sequence comes from Homo sapiens, assembly GCF_000001405.40. Lineage (NCBI taxonomy): Eukaryota > Metazoa > Chordata > Mammalia > Primates > Hominidae > Homo > Homo sapiens. The sequence goes on from NC_000018.10 coordinate 13,839,411, forward strand.
CTAATATAGTCTAATTAAATTCATTTGACAAAAGCCTCACTTATTCCTCTCTTCACAGAATACTCTGGATGTGGTGAAGCTAAATTTGAGGGCTCTGGAAGGACCTATGTATTAATTCAGTAACTTAGTGTTTGTATGCATATCGATCTAAGCAAACATACCTAAAAGAAGAATGAGTGTGTAAAAATTGTGGAATATTCCAGATAAAATGGACCTGTTCAAGCATTGTGTAAAAATACACCCATCTTATCCATTCTAATGAATCCAGCATGTTCAGACACTTGTGCCTTCTTCATTTATTCCTTCAATACTTTTAATATTTAGTATTAATATAACAGAAATGACACATTACAGATAATATTCAGATACATGTCTCATAAGATTTTGTGGCTACTCATCAGCCCCTCTGCGTCAGCATGTTGGTGAGAATCTTGGCCAGGAGGGTCTGGGATTCCATAGCTCTGGTCCCACCTCACCTTCTTCCTGTGCCATGGTTCTCATCCAGCCAGACTTCTCATCATGGGACCCATCAAATGGGCACTCCTCTGCATCACAGCTGACACATTATGCACAGAGATTGTGTCTTCTTTCTGTTTGCAACTGTTCAAAGGATAGTCTTTAAAATTCAGAGGCCTCTACCTCAACTGCACAGATTTCTAATTCTACTCCTCATGTTATTTCCTATCTTTTTGCTAAATAACAATTTTGTCGCTAAGATGCTAATGATACATTCCCTTTTGAAGCAAATAAACTCTGCCCAGTGTTCCTACCAAGCGCCCTCCTTCTTTGAATCTCTGAAACCTATGACCAAATAGTATTTTGTGGTTTAGTGGTTTCTTACCAAGTACCTCAAAGGGAAAGTATGGTGGCATGGATAATTCGAAAGAGTAAATGTCTCTATTTGACTTTGGAATATTGTTTTATTCCAACAATATCCTAGTTGCTGCCTAATTAGTTTTGGGCCATGGTTAATAGTGAACTAGCTTTCATCCCTTGAGCAAATAAACCATTTCATCTTCTCTCCCCTATGTATTCAGATTCAGTTAGCTTCCCTCTCTGGGTGTGGATAAATTGAAATTCTGCAAATGATATTTTCTTTAGGCAGAAATGAAAAAAAAAAAGGTAGAATTGAATCTTTCTGACCATGGAAAGATTTAATTCTACCTTTTTGTGCATTGAGATCAGCCTGGGCAACATAGCAAAACCCCATTTCTACGAAAAGTACAAAAATTAGCTGGACATGGTGTCGCGTCTGTAGTCCCAGCTACTTGGGAGGCTGAGATGGGACCATCTCGTGTTGGCTTCTTTTTTAAAAAATCCTTGTATTAATTAAACATTTCAACTCTACACAGTTTGGAGTCAACAAAACTCATATAAATACCACACAGCTTTATCAAATTGTAACATTTGTCTATATCTACTTATTTTTTATTTTTTGTTTTTGAGACAGTTTTGCTTTGTCACCCAGGCTGGAGTACAGTGAGGCGATTATGGCTCACTGCAACCTCCACCTCCCAGGCTCAAGCAATCTCCCCGCTCAGCCTCTCAAACAGCTGGGACTACAGGCTTGACGCCATGTCTGGCTAATTTTTGTACTTTTTGTAGAAATGGGTTTTTGCCATGCTGCCCAGGCTGGTCTCAAACTCCTGGGCTCAAGAAATCAGCCTGACTTGGCCTCCCAAAGTGCTGGGATTACAGGTGAGAACCACCACGAGTGGCCTCCTGATGGCATATAAATAAATTATAAATGAATATTAAATTTTATTTAATGCTTTTCCAGCATCTATCAGCTGATCATTTTTCTCCTTTAATTTGTTAATGTGATATATTACATTAATAGATATTTAAATATTAAGCTGTCTTTGCGAACTACAAATAAAGGTTGATATGTATTATTTATGGCCAGAGTTATAAAGCTATGTTTTTTGACCAAATACTTATTCTGAATTATACTTTCATATATTTAAAATTATTAATACTGATATAATCTAATATATATTTTATAAATGACCTTTAATGAATTTCAAGAGAAATGGGAACAGCAGCCAAAAAGTTAAAACTTAAGATATATGGTTTCCCTAAATATACCTTTTGAAATAGAGGAAAAAGAAGTCTTCATGTACTACTTACATGGGTACTGCTTTACCTGTATTTAGTGAGAGGGGTTTCATATACTTTGTGCAGATCCGTATTTGCTACACATGCCACAGTTTGCGGCTAGAGCCTCTTATGCTCAAGAGTGCTGATCTCCTTTTGACATTATCATCATTAAAGAAGTAGCAAACAACCACAGCTGTTATATACTTTGCCAGCATGTGCTGAGTATGTAAGATCTAAATATTATTTATGCAGAATTGCAGAGAGAATGATCTAGTTGTTTCTGTCTGCAAACCCATATAGATACTCCTTTACTGATGCATATAGTCTGTAGTATAATTGAAAAATTTGATAGTTTGTTAGCAAGTCTTGAAGAGCCTCTAGGTATGCATATACCCTCGTACAATGAAAGTTCATCTTTCTTCACATTCCCTAGTATCTCAACGTCAGACTTTGACCATGTTCCGCAGAATTCTGCCAAGATAGGGAGATCAGGGAGCAGGAAGATCAACCACAAAAGATTAAGAACTGGCCGGGTGCGGTGGCTCACGCCTGCAATCCCAGCACTTTGGGAGGCTGAGGCGGGTGAATCACGACGTCAGGAGATCGAGATCATCCTGGCTAACACGGTGAAACCCCGTTTCTACTAAAAATACAAAAAATAAAAAATTAGCTGGGCGTGGTGGCACGTGCCTGTAGTCCCAGCTACTGGGGAGGCTGAGGCAGGAGAATTGCTTGAATCTGGGAGGTGAAGATTGTAGTGAGTCGAGATTGCGCCACTGCACTCCAGCCTGGGTGACTGAGCGAGACTCTGTCTCAAACAAAAAAAAAACAAAAAAAAACTAAGAACTGCCTCTAGAAAAGCAGGGGACTTTTTGTTTGCATTATGAATACATTTACCTAATTTAACTCATTAAGAAAGTGTTATATTGGTAGAAATTATACTACACTTTGAGGTAACAAAGTCTAAGAGCTTACAAGCTATTAACATGCTTCATTTTATGTACCCCTGTCAATTTTCTAGAGGTTTCAGCAGTGTGGGAATTTTTGAACAAGGATGTGATGTTATATAGACTTTAGTGGTGGCCCCTCCCAGCCCCTGCTGAAGAGTGCTACAACTCTTTGTTTCCTTGTAGCAGTCTACCTCTTTGATGATATTCAATCAGAGAGAGTTGGGACACATGAAAAATTGTCCTCATACCAATAAATCTAAAATGTTAACCAAATAACTTGATGGAATATGTCTAGGAGGAAGCAAGAACTTCCTTTTAGAGATAGGGACAGAACCCAGAAAAGTACTGTTATGAGAGGTGATGATGCAGTGACTCAGAATTGAAGTCACGGGGTTCAAATCCAGCTCCATGCCTACTATTTTTATGGCCTTGGACAAAATACTTAACTTTGATAAGATCCCATAATCCCACCAGTTACTCAGGAATACTTACTGTATTTATTTATTTTTTGAGACGGAGTCTCGCTCTGTCGCCCAAGCTAGAGTGCAGTGGCGTGATCTCGGCTCATTTCAAGCTCCGCCTCCCGGGTTCACGCCACTCTCCTGCTTCAGCCTCCCGAGTAGCTGGGACTACAGGCGCCCGCCACCATGCCTGGCTAATGTTTTGTATTTTTAGTAGAGACGGGGTTCACCATGTTAGCCAGGATGGTCTTGATCTCCTGACCTCGTGATTTGCCCACCTCGGTCTCCCAAAGTGTTGGGATTACAGGCATGAACCACTGCACCCAGCCAGGGTTACTTATATTACCTCCCTCATAGTGCTGTTGTGAGAGATAAATGAGATAACTCTCAGCACCAAGCTGGGAACATGGAGAATGCTTAATAAATGTCAGTATCAATTATTATTATTATTATTAGTCTTTGTTTGGGTTGCTGTAACAAAATGCCATTGATTGGGTGGCTTACAAACAACAGAAATTTATTTCTCACAGTTCTGGGGGCGGGGAAGTCCAGGATCAGGTGCTTCCAGGTTTGGTGTCTGGTGGGGACTGCTTCCTGGTTCATAGACGGTGACTTCTTGCTGTGTCCTCACAGTGTGGAAAGGGAGAGGTGTCCCTCTTGAGCCTCTTTTATTAAGAGCACTAATCCCATTCATGAGGGCTCCACCCTCATGACCTAATCAGCTGTCAAAGGCCCCACCTCTTAATACCATCAGCTTAGGACTTATGATTTCAGTATATGAATCTGGGAGGACCACAGCTTATTCCAGTGGCAGATGACAAGTGAGCAGAGCCACTGGACCACAGTGGGTTAGTGATTCCACCAATGTACAGGTTAGCTATGCCTCAGTAAGTGACATAGTGAGGATTTGATAAGGTAATGCATTTAAAGCACTTGGCATAAAATCCAACACATCTGTTGACTAGTAAATAATCAACAGATGACAGGATAGTTACATATTGTTATTATTTATAACATTTCAGACAATTAAACAGGGATCTGAGAGGTTAAGCCAACAATTCCTAATCTCAAGTTGTGACCAAATTTATTACAAAAGATCTTCTGAAAGGGTCATAAAAATATTTGAAACAAACCCTCGAGTTATATTTCTAGTCTGCTTCTAAAAGACCAGCCCTCCGCCAGATAATTATAAACTCTGGACACAATTTTTAAAATACCCAGATCTCTGAGAAGGGAACAAAAGCAGGCAGAGTTTGGAGAGGAATTGTGTCTTGGAGGAAGGGGCTGGCACAGTGAGTCTCTGTTTCTGTGGCTTTGGTATGAGAGCGAGAAGCCATCTCTGAGACAGTGCAATGCAGGGAGATTAAAATTCTCATCTAAAGGCCACCGTCTTTCTTGCTTGAGCAACCAGGGTGACCACATCTGTCAAAAAATGAGGTAAGTGTCACAGAGGGAATGAAACAGAAAAGAGGAGACCCAGATTTTCTAAGCAAACTCTGCCCAAGTCTCTGGCTGAATGCTGAACCAAGCCTGTAGAAGGCAGATTCAATGTAGCTTGCATACAAGGTTTACAAAACTAACTGGAGATTTGCACTGATAGCACGACAGGTGGCAAAGAGCTTACAGTTTGAATCTAGGAATGTTAGCTGCATGCTAAACAAAATTATCACAATTTTTTAGAGACATATAACAGAATTCAGAGTGTCTACAATATAATGTTCATTCTGTCCAGGACCAAATCTTTAGTTAATCAAGATACGAAGAAGGAGAAAAATTTATCCCCTGAGGCAGGTGGATCACCTGAGGTCAGGAGTTCAAGACCAGCCTGGCCAACATGGTGAAACCCCATTTTTACTAAAAATACAAAATTAGCTGGGTGTGGTGGCATGTGCATGTAATCCTAGCTATTTGGGATGCTGAGGCAGGAGAATCTCTTGAGCCTGAGAAGTGGAGGTTGCAGTGAGCTGAGATTGTGCCATTGCACTCCAGCTTGGGCGACAGAGCAAGACTCTGTTTACTCAAAAAAGAAAAAAATTATCCTCATTCAAGGGAAAATTCAATCAACAGAGGTCAACCCTGAGATGACTCAGATGTTATAACCATCAAGAAAGGCATTATAATAACTATTAGCTCCATGACACGAGGGAAAATATGTGCATAATGAATGAAAAGATAGAAAATATCACTAGAGAAATCAAAACTATAAAAATGAAAAATGCAAATTTCAGAAATGAAAAATTCAATATCCAAAATAAAAAATCCACTAGATGGACTCAATAGGGAATGGAGATGACAGAGGAAAAGTCAGTAAACTTGAAGCTAATCATTAGAAATCTGGGACGACAAAGAAAAAAATGCTTAGAAAAAAGTGAATAAAACTTCAGAAATCGGTTAAAGGACACCCCAAGGTCTAACACAGTAATCCAAGTCCCAGAAGAAGAGGAAAGATAGAGTAAAGAAGACCAAAAGAAATGAATACTGGACAAAAACTTTGCAAATTTGGAAAAAGCTATCAATTTACAGATTCAAGAAGCTAAGTGCACTCCAACAAGAAACATGAAGAGGCTAGGTGCCTCACAGTCAGACTGCTGGAAAGCAAATATCAAGAGAAAAATCTTGAAAGGAAACAGAATAAAAGAATGCATTACACAAAGGGCAACGCTGATTCAAATGACTGTACACTTGCCATCAGGAACAATGGAAAAACTGCAAAGTCTACCAGCATAGACTGACTGGAGAGCCAGAAATTTCCACCCTGCCTGGTGATAAAGAGCCCCCCTCCTCACACCCCAAGTTGTGTCAGTGAAGACAACAAAGGCAACCTGGACCACCACTCCTACCCAGCACCAGCAAGAGGTCACTCTCCTTTCCCCTTGAGGGATGTCAGAGGATGCCTAGACTCCAGCCAGGACGTTCACCACAGTGCAGGGGTAACGAGGCGACCTCAGTTGTATGGTGAGGACAGTAGGGACCACGTGAGGAGCAACAAGACACCCCCACCCATGCTGGCCAGTGGACAGCAGAGGTCAAGGGAGGAGTCAAAATTCTCTATTGTTGACAGTTCAACAACATCTTGAAATTTCTGAAAGAAAAATCTGTCAAGGCAGAGTTCCAGAGCCAGTGAAAATATCTGTTAAAGAAGAAGGAAAAACAAATTCATTACCGAATAAAAGAAAATAAAGAGAATTTCTCCACAGGAGAACTGCACCTATAAGAACTACTAGAAGATGTTCCTCAAGTTGAAGGGAAATTATATCAGAGGAAAATTCAGATCTTCAGGAATGAAGGAAGAGTGTTTGAATTCGTAAATGTAAAAAACAGTACTCCCTTAATTTATTTAAAATACACAACTGCTGGCAGGGCGCAGTGGCTCACGCCTGTAATCCCAGCACTTTGGGAGGCCGAGGCGGGTGGATCACGAGGTCAGGAGATCAAGACCATCCTGGCTGACATGGTGAAACCCCATCTCTACTAAAAATATAAAAAATTAGCCAAGCGTGGTGGCGGACGCCTGTGGTCCCAGCTATTGGGGAGGCTGAGGCAGGAGAATGGTGTGAACCCAGGAGGTGGAGCTTGCAGTGAGCCAAGATCACGCCATCACACTCCAGCCTGGGCGACAGAGCAAGACTCTGTCTGAAAAATAAATAAATAAATAAATAAATAAATAAATAAAAATAAAATAAAATACACAACTGTTTAGAGAAAAATCCATATAACATTTTCTTGTGAGACTAATAATATTTTTGGATATAATACATAGGATAACCTTAGCATGAAAGAGTGGGGTGGTAGATGGACCCCTGCAGTTGCAAGACTGCTGCATTTTATGTAAAATGTTGCTACACTAATTCTAAGTAGATTATGAGAAGCTAAGGATGTATATTGAACTCCTAAGTCAAACACTGAAAAAATAATGCAAAGAGAGCTAAAAATGGAAAATTATAAGTAAAAGAGCATCTTAAAAAAATAATAATCCACAAGAAAGTGCAAAAGGGTGACCCATGGAAGAAAGAAGAGGAATTATAAAATAGAAAAATAATAAAATGGTAATATTGAATATAAGCATATCAATAATTATATTAAATATTAATGGTCTAACCACACCAATTAAAAGGCAGAAGTGATCAGAATGGATAAAAAAGTAAAACACAACTATGCGTAGTTGAGAAGAGAATCTCAATTTATAGACACATGGAGGTTAAAAGAAAATGAATGGGTGGGACGCAGTGGCTCACGCCTGTAATCCCAGCACTTTGGGAGGCTGAGGCAGGGGGATCATGAGGTCAAGAGATTGAGACCAGCCTGGCCAACATGGTGAAACCCCGTCTCTACTAAAAATACAAAAATTAGCTGGGCGTGGTGGCGTGCGCCTGTAATCCCAGCTACTTAGGAGGCTGAGGTAGGAGAATCACTTGAACCTGGGAGGCAGAGGTTGTAGCGAGCTGAGATTGCGCCATTGCACTCTAGCCTGGGTGACAAGCATGAAGCTCCATCCCTAAAAAAAAAAAAAAAAAGAAAATTAATGGAAAAATATGTAGCGTGTAAACAGCGAGCCTAAGAAAGATGGAGTAGTTGAACTGCTATTAGAAAAAATAAGCTCTAAGAAAAAGTGTATGACAAGATAAAAGTGTGATGTCATGTAAATTAATAGGTCATATACTTCCCATCCTGGGAAGATAGAATAGTGTTCTTTTTCTTTCTTTATTGTTTTTTGTTTTTTGTTTTTGTTTTGTTTTTTTTTTTTTGAGACAGAGTCTTGCTCTGTCGCCCAGGCTGGAGTGCAATGGCACGATCTTAGCTCACTGCAGCCTCCGTTTCCCAGGTTCCAGCGATTCTTCTGCCTCAGCCTCCCGGGTAGCTGGAATTACAGGCCCAGGCCACCACGTCTGGCTGATTTTTGTATTTTTTTTAGTAGAGACGAGGTTTCACCATGCTGGCCAGGCTGGTCTTGCACTCCTGACCTCAGGTGATCCGCCCACCTTGGCCTCCCAAAGTGCTGGGATTACAGGCGCGAGCCACCGTGACGTGTTCTTGTTCTTATTCCTCCTGCTAAGTACAACCACAACCCCTAGAGATTACATATGACTCAAGCAGGTGAAGACTGCGCAAGATGGAAAGAAAGAAAGCCAACTAGAGACCTCAGGACCCAAGGCAGGCCACAGAGAGGAGCTCCCTGCCTTAAAATTCCCAGACTTGAGCTAAAGAAGCCAGTAACTAGAAAATTCCAATGGTCACACAGCCACCCTCCCATCCAAAAGCCTGTTCTTCCTAACCAAAGGACCAGGAAAGGGGACAGCCTAGCAAGAAGGAAAATTTTAGATGTTAGCCTGTTTATTTCAGCAAAAACACAACAGAAAAAAAACATGATTCCACCCACACCACCACCAGCAGACTCACTAGGGAGCCAGAAATTTCCACCCCACCTGGTGATAAAGAGCCTCCCTCCTCACTCCCTCAATTGTGTCAGTGGAGACAACAAAGGCAACCTGGACCACCACTCCCACCCAGCACCAGCAAGGGGTCACTCCTCTTTCCCCTTGAGTGATGTCAGAGGATGCCTAGACTCCAGCCAGGACGTTCACCACAGTGCAGAGGTAATGAGGCACCCCCGCCTTATATGGTGAGGACAGTGGGGACTATGTGAGGAGCAACAAGACACCCCCACCCATGCTGGCCAGGGCACCATCAGCAGACGCCAAGGGAGGAGCCAAAATTCTTACCTGCACTAAGAAGTAATGAAAAGACCCTTCCCAGTGCAAGGGTCGGTAAAGGCAGGTGGGGACCAAGGACTTCTTCCGTTACCCAACAGTGCTGAGGCAGCATCTCTCCACTTCTCCCAAAGTGAAGTATTAGAGAACGCAAGGTAAACCAGGTTTAAATAAGATCAAAGTCACATAAACCAATACCCAGACATTCAGGTTGCAATCCAAATTATTCATCACCCCAAGAACTAGGAACACCTCAGCTGGTTGCATTTCATTTCCTGAAAGTCAGGTAGGGACTGTGCAGGGCCGTGAAAGACAGGGGCGATCTGCAGCTTTCCCTTCGGCCCTCTCCACGCCCTCTGTGGCTAGGGTCTTTGCCTAGTCTTCCTTGCCATTTCTGTCTTTTCTAGGGTCTTTCTTGCCATTTCTTTTTTTTCTAGGGTCTTTCTTGCCATTTCTGTCTTTTCTACACCTCCTGCTTGCTGATTACCTTTCCTAAACCATCACTTTCCCCAAGAAAAAGACTCGCCCCATCTCACAGACTTTCTCAGGGCCTTGCCAGGTGATCTGCCCATGAATTTGTCCATCAAACCCATTCCAAACAATAACGGAGGAAGGGCTGAGTGGGTGATCCCTCTTAGGTAATATAGATTACACATTTGTAAAGCAACTTGAAATGCCAAAATCCAAAGAAGAACAAATAGGGACATTTGCTAGGATACTCAACCAATTTCAGAAATCTTGGGACTATGCAGTAGTTTCAGTAACTACTCAGACTGAAGGCCAGTCAAGAGCTAATTCTCAAAAAGTAATCACTGTTAGCCTCTTAATGTGATACACTCATGGGTCTTCAAAAACCTTCTCCTGGCTGGGCACAGTGGCTCAGGCCTGTAATCCCAGCACTTTGGGAGGCCAAGGTAGGCAGATCACTTCAGGTCACGAGTTCAAGACCAGCCAGGCAAACATAGTGAAACCCCATCCCTACTAAAAATACAAAAATTAGCTGGGCGTGGTGCCATGCACCTGTAATGCCGGCTACTCTGGAGGCTGAGGCAGGAGAACTGCTTGAACGTGAGAGGCAGAGATTGCAGTGAGCCGAGATTGCACCACTACATTCCAGCCTGGGTGACAGAGCAAGACTCCGTCTCAAACAAAACAAACAAAACAAAACACCTTCTTCTTGGGTCTATTGTATCTTTATTTCCCTGTGTGTTAATTACATCTCCAAATCAGGGTGATTATCAACGGGAAATCATGAAGGAGGTTCATATTCAAGAAGTGCATGAAAAGTGTGTGTGTGTGTGTGTGTGTGCATATATTGGGGGAAGGGTAGATAGGTATCTTCAGATTCTGAAATTTGATCGGTGACTCATAAAAGGCTGAGCAATCCTGCGTTTGCTCCCCTTCCCTTCTGGGGCACAGCAGGACAAGACTTCTAGGAAGCCCAGTGCTCCTGCTCCCATGCCTGGGCTGGAGCAGCATCCAGTGCTCCTCATTGTGCAGAAGGAGAAAACGCAACAAAGAAGAGGCTGAAAGCTGTTGGCTTAAGCCTTTATTAAAATACTACAACCTGACAACAGCTGCCAGGACCAAGGAGCCTGAAGATTTTATGGGCTAGATTGAAGGTAGTCCGAGTTCAGTTTTGTTCTGAGAATTGTTTACTGTTTATGTTCTTATAAAGTTTGGGGAAACTGAGGTTGTTTTAGTCCAGAGACCATAGGTGGGAACAACAAGACAAGGGCAGTGGATGAGCGGCCATTGGTTGGCCAATTTGGATTTAGCAAGAGGGGCGGGGAAAAGTAGTTAGGGCGTAGGTCTTGCTCAGGTCAATTGAAAATTTCAGTTCTCAACATCCCTCACACTAGCATGATATAAATGAGTTTAACTTTTTTCTTAAAAGCCTATTTTGCAAAATAAATTATTCTATCAAAAAGACATATGCGCTCGAATGTTCATTGCATGACCGTTCATAAGAGCAAAGACATGGAATGGACCTAGATGCCCATCAATGGTAGACTGGACAAAGGAGACATGGTAATATACACCATGGAATACCATGCAGCCATGAAAAGAACAAAATCATGTCGTTTGCGGTAACATGGATGCAGCTGGAGGCCATTATCCTAAGTGAAACACAGGAACAGAAAACCAAATACTTCATGTTCTTACTGAGAAGTGGGAGCTAAACAAAGATGGTAACAATAAACACTGGGGTTACTAGAGGTGGGAGGGGAGAGAGAGAGAGAGTGTGGGCTGAAAAACTAACCAGTGGGTACAAGGCTCAGGTGATGGGATTATTCATACTCCAAACCTCAGCATCACACAATTTACCTGTGCAACAAACCTGTGCATGTATCCTCTAAATCTAAAGATTGAAATTATTTTAAAAATACCTACAAACCAAAAATAAAAAGACAAACAATCCAATTAAAAACTGAAGAGCTCAGTTTTAACTTTAGATATAGAAAACCAAAAGAGAATATCACTCTAATATCAAGAGAAAAAAAGATAACATAGACAATTATACATTTTTGTTTGAGTCTATCAGAAAACCGAAGTCACAAGTCAAACAAGTGAACTGACTCACACAGAATGGTAAGAAGTCTCTTTCTTTTGGCAGAGCACAGGAAAGGAAGAGGTGGCTTCCATATGAGTGGTAAGAAGCAAACACATTAAACAAACAACAACAAAAATCACAGGCCCAGCGCGATGGCTCACGCCTGTAATCCCAGCATTTTGGGAGGCTGAGATGGGCAGATCCCTTGAGCCCATTAGCGACCAGCCTGAGAAACATGGTGAAACCCTGTCTGTGCAAAAGAATACAAAAATTAGCCAGGCATGGTGGGGTGTGTTTGTGGTCCCAACTACTAGGGAGGCTCAGGTGGGAGGTCGAGGCTACAGTGAACCGAGATTGTGCCACTGCACTCCAGCTTGGGTGACACAGTGAGACCTGGTCTCAACAACAACAACAACAACAAACCCCACAAAGGGGCACAAAGAAACACTTGGAGGTGATAAATATGTTTATTACCTTGAGTGTGGTGATGATTTCATGGGTGTATGCGTATGTCCAAACTCATCAAATTATATACATTAAATATGTGCAGTTTTTGTATAAAGCTGTTAATAAAAAATACAAAGAAGCAGCTAGGTAGAAGTTCAACAAAATCTTAAAGGCGAAGTATGGGTCAGTATAACTATTTAGAATAACTCACTCCCAAGCTTTGTCCTGGATTCTACCAGGATCTCATGAGAAACACTGGTGGCAGATGGAAGGCTGGAGCAAACCCCCTTGGGGTGAGGCGAGAGGCACAGCCCACTTCCCTGGACTCTTCTCTTAGGAGAAGCAAAATTCTTAAGCCACTGGGGTAAAGACCGGAAGGATACTCCCCAACCAACAGTCCCCAGGCAAAGGCCCACTAATTCTCATGGGGATAGAAACAAAAGTCACCTGCCTCAGTCGGGGAGGCGGCAGGAAATCCTCTTCAGACCAGGGTCCTGCAGGAGTACAAATCAGAGGCCAGCTGCTCCTGAAGGAGGGGAAGGAGACTCACTCTCACACCACAGCTGTCACAAATGCAAGGCAGAGTTTGGTTGCCACAGGCAGGAGAGGGAAGAGAAAGCCCACCTCTAAGGCTCAAACTCACAGGCTGAGCCTTGGCCAGGAGAACCACTCCCTGCAGCCCCCACCTCAAGCCTGGCACTGAGTGCTGGTCTTCTGCTGTAGAGGAGGTAAGACAGTGAAGAGACACACCTTCCATGGCATAGGCATGCAGGATGGCAGAAACTTGGGAATTGAACAGGAAGACTGAGCAAAGCCCTCCAGCACTCCAGGGCCAATGTTCAGCGCAAACTAATAGGAACGAAATGCTGCAGGATGCTGACGTCTGTGGTTCTTCAGTCCTTCAGTGTGGTGTCACACCGAAGGTGATAATAGTAAGAACAAACCTAAATCTAGCCCAATTACTCAATAGGTTGAATCAATTTTCCACAATAAAGGCCCCATGAAAGTAGATGCACACCCATTTCTGTATATAGGTACTATTTACATCAGTCTTCACTGTTCTACACCTGCTATCCATTACTCAATCAAAACTCATAAAATACACCACAAGGTAAACAGATCAAGCAACCCATGTCAAGAGGTAAAGCAAACAACAAAACCAGACACAAAGATGACCAAGAAGTTGGAACAATAGAACTGGAAGTTTAAAATAACATGATAAACATGTCAAAACATGTTAAACAGAGACAACATGGATAAACACTTGAGAAAATTTAGCATAGAGAAAACCCTGAGTCAAATGGAAATGTTAGAAATAAAATACATACAATCAGAAGTGAAGAATCCCTTCAGCAAGTTTACCAGCAGACTGGAAACAATTGAAGAAAAATTCACTGAATTTGAATATAAATCAAATAGAAATTGTCCAAACTAAAAACCTAAGAGAAAAATGTGCAGAAAAAATAGAACAGAGCATCCAACAGCTGTGAAACAGAAACAAAAAGTCCAACATAAGTGTAATAAGAGTTCCAGAAGGAAAAGAAGGCATAAGAAATATGTTGAGGAGTGGCCAAGAATTATCCAAAATTGCTAAAAGGCACCAAAAAAAAAAAAAAAATGAAGAAAACACTTAGATACATCAAAGTAACACATCAAAGAAAACCAGAGACAAAAATAATATATTTGAAGCAGCCAAAGGAAAAAAAATAAACACTACATAGCTATGAACAAATAAATGGATTATACAAGATTTTTTCTTTTCTTTTTTTTTTGGTCAGAAAATACACCACAAGACAATTGAGTGTCAGCTTTAAATTACTAAAACCAAAACACTGTCAGCCAAGAGCTCCATACCAAGTGAAAAATACCACCCTAAACTGAAGGTAAAATAAAAACATTTTCAGCAAACAAAACTTGCAAGAATCCATTGACACCTAACATGCTAACTGAAATGGTAAAAAAAAAAATGTTCAGGAAGGAGTAAGATGCAAGATGGAAAGCTGTGTGTATGAAAAGAAAATGAAGACTGGAAATAGTGAAACTGAGGACAAATATAAAATATATGTTTTCTTGACTTCAGTTGCCTTAATATATATTTGCCAGTTAGAAAATGGGCAGTTGATTGAACAATTTCACTAAAGAGATGAGTGGAAAATAGAGACATGAACGATGTTAACAATGTTAGCCATTGGTGAAATGCAAGTTAGAGCTATAATGAGATACCAGGACACACCTATTAGAATAACTAAAATCATAAAAACTGAAAATGCCAACTGAGAACAAGGTTGGAGAGCAGCCGAATCTCTTCTGCCTTTCTGGTGGGTGTGTAAAATGCCAGAAATAGTTTTCCAATTCCTTATAAAATTAAGTATATACTTACCATATAACAAAAAGTAAGTTCACACAAAATCCAGGACATGAATGTTCATAGCAACTTTATTTGTTACTACAAATGTTGGAAACAACACAAGGGTCCTTCGATGGGTAGGTAGACTTAAAAAAGTGACACATGTACACACTGGAATACAAGGCAGCAATGAAAAGAGTAAATGATTGATTCATGCAACGATTTGAATGAATCTGAAGAGCACTGTGCAGAGTGAGAAAAGGAAATCCCAAAGGATTACACACCATATAACTCACTGATACAGTATATTCCTAAAATGACACAATCACTGTGGCACAGAACAGATTAGCGGTTGCCAGATTTTAGGGTTTGGGAGAGCGTATTAAGGGGTGAAACAAGGAGTTCGTTTGTAGTGAGGGAATGGCTTTGGATTCTGATTGTGTTTATGATTATACAAATCTATACTTGTGATAAAATTTAATGATAAAATTTTACAAGTACATAAAAACTAGTGAAATCTGAAGAAGGTCATGCCTGAGTTAACAGTATCATGCTGATGTCAATTTCCTGGTTTTGCACATAGACTATGGTTATATAAGGTATTATCACTGGAGTACTGGAGTAAGCTGGGTGAAGGTGCATGGACACCCCCTGCACTTCTTTTTTTACATTTTTTTTTACATTTTTTTTTTTTTTTTTTTGAGACAGAGTCTTGCTCTGTCACCCAGGCTGGAGTGCTGTGGCACGATCTCAGCTCACTGCAACCTCCATCTCCTGGATTCAAGTGATTCTTGTGCCTCAGCCTTCTTAGTAGCTGGGACTACAGGTGCACACCACCATCACGCCCAACTAATTTTTTGTATTTTTAGTAGAGACAGGGTTTTGCCATGTTGCCCAGGCTGGTCTCAAACTCCTAAACTGAGGCAATCCGCCCACCTCGGTCTCTCAAAGTGCTAGGATTATAGGTGTGAGCCACCGCGCCCGGCCCCTCTGCACTTTTTTTCATTGTCTTGTGTGTTGTTATCTTTCAAGATAAAAAATTATAATGAAAAGTCAAACAAAAAGGTAACTACATAAAATTAAAATATTAATAAAATGACCAATGACTAATAATTGATGATCATAACAGTGTGGGGCTTATTACATGTGCAAGTGAATATATGACAGAAACAGCCCAAAGCCTGGGAAGGAACCCACACTCTGTATGAAGTGGTAAAGTATTTGAAGAGATATTGTGAAAGCTAAGATGCATACTACAAACCTTAGGATAAACACAGGAAAGAATTTAAAAGGTATAATTAATGGCAATATTTACAAAAAATGAAATAAAGATACTTATTTGAAACGAAGCAGAAAGGGAAGGGGAAAAGAACAGATGGAACAAATAGAAAATAACTAGCAACATAGTAGATTCTAATTCAAACATATTAATATTTACTTGTTACGTAAATATTTAAATGTGAATAATCTAAATAATCCAATGTCAAATTAGAGAAGCAAGCCTCAAATATATGATTAAATATCAAGACATAGATAAGTTAAAACTAAAATGATAAAAAAGAAACTCTATGAAACACTAATCAGTAATTGGAGTGGCTATATTAATGTTAAAAAGTAGACATCAAAACAAGGAATATTACCAAGGATAGAGAGGAACATTACACAATGATGAAAGGGTCAAGTCGTCAGGAAGACACAAAGGATAGAGAGGAACATTACACAATGATGAAAGGGTCAAGTCATCAGGAAGACACAGTAATTCTAAGTGTGTACACACCTAACAACAGACTTTCAAAATCCAGAAGCAAAATCTGACAGAACTGGACGGATAAATAGAAAAATGCAAAATTAATTGTTGGTGGGTATGTAAATTAGGACGGGCACTATGGAAAGCAATATGGAGGTTCCTCAAAAAACTAAAAATAGTGCTACCATATGATCCAGCAATCCCACTGCTGGGTATAGATCCAAAAGAAGGGAGATCAGTATATCCAAGAGATATCTGCGGTCTAATGTTTACTGCAGGACTATTCACAATAGCCAAGATATGGAATCAACCTAAGCGTCCATCCATCAGTAGGTGAATGGATGAATAAAATGTGGTACATATGCACAATGGAATATTATCCAGCCATGAAAAAGAATGAAATCCTGTAATTTGCAGCAACATGGATAGAACTGGCACAGAAAGACAAACATTGCATGTTCTCACTCATTTGTGGCAGCTTAAAAAAATTGAACTCATGGAGATAGAGAGTAGGATGATGGTTATCAGAGGCTGAGAAGGGTACTGGAGGGCATAAAGTAGAGATGGTTAATAGGTACAAAAATACAGTTAGAAAGAACAAGATCTAGTATTCAGTAGCACAGTAGGGAAACTATAGTTAATAATTTCTTGTATATTTAAAAATAACTAAAAGAGTGGAAATGGAATGCTCCTAACACAAAGAAATGATCAATGCTTGAGGTGATGGATGTCCTAATTACCCTGATTTGATCATTACACAATGATCAAAACATGACATGCACCCTATAGATATATACAACTATTATGTACCCATAATCATTAAAAATAAGAAAAACTTTAAGAAAGAAAACAAACATGCAGAATTATACTTGGAGACATCAACATTCCTCTTGAGTAATTGATAGGATTAAAGCTGAGGACTTCTGTAAAATCTCACTTTGGTGGAAAAAAAAAAAATCTGCATTTCCCTCGGGAAATGAAGCCAGTAATTGAATTGGGTGGAACACTCATTCAGTGGTACTTCTGAAAGTCATCTAATCTCTGTAGTGTTTACAGTTTTCAGTAGAGGTGAAACCAGTAAGACGCCCTTGGCTACAACTCCTGAGCATTGCGGATCAGGCTTCTTTTTGCCATTATAGTGTTGATTTTTCTCAGTATTATTGTTGTAGTATTAGCTAACTTCAAAGCAAAATCAAGAAAAATATGGCCTTCACTATCATGCTAGTATAATGAAAAATTTGACACAAAGAGCTTTTAAAAAATCGAATCCGATTCAAAGAATACAATAATAGATTGTTAAAGACGAAAGAGATATGAGAGAATCTGATTATATGATTATATGTGGTTGCCTTTGTCACATTTCATATTTTAAAAAGGTATAAGGATGAAGAAAAAATTAAAATAAACATTCCTGAGGTTTTCTCTGGATAGGCAGAAAATACATTTTCTGTTTTCCCTTCTACCTACAGAGATCCCAGTCCTAGCAGCTGAGCCCTCCCAAGGAGCTCTACCTGGACAGGTTAAAGTAAAACTGTTTTTAAAGCTTCTGCTGGTTCCTGTTTTTATTTTTTATTATTATACTTTAAGTTCTGGGGCACATGTGCAGAACCTGCAGTTTTGTTACATAGTTATACTTGTGCCATGGTGGTTTGTGGCACCCATCAACCCATCACCTACATTAGGTGTTTCTCCTAATGTTATCCCTCCCCTAGCCCCCCACCCCCCAACAGGCCCTGATGTGTGATGTTCCCCTCCCTATGTCCATGTGTTCTCATCGTTCAGCTCCCACTTATGAGTGAGAATATGTGGTGTTTGGTTTTCTGTTATTGTGATAGTTTGCTGAGGATGATGGTTTCCAGCTTCATCCATGTTTCTGCAAAGGACAGGAACTCATCCTTTTTTATGGCTGCATAGTATTCCATGGTGTATATGTGCCACATTTTCTTTATCCAGTCTATCATTGGTGGACATTTGGGTTGGTTCCAAGTCTTTGCTATTGTGAATAGTGCTGCAGTAAACATACATGTGCATGTGTCTTTATAGTAGAATGATTTATAATCTTTTGGGTATATATCCAGTAATGGAATTGCTGGGTCAAATGGTATTTCTAGTTCTAGATCCTTGAGGAATCACCACACTGTCTTCCACAATGGTTGAACTAACTAACTTACACTCCCACCAACAGTGTAGAAGCAACCCTATTTCTCCACATCCTCTCCAGCATGTGTTGTTTCCTGAGATTTTAATGATTGCCATTCTAACTGGCATGAGATGGTATCTCACTGTGGTTTTGATTTGCGTTTCTCTAATGACCAGTGATGATAAGCATTTTTTTCATATGTCTGTTGGCTGCATAAATTTATTTAAGAGAAATGTCTGTTCATATACTTTGCCCACTTTTTGATGGGTTTGTCTGTTTTTTTCTTGTAAATTTGTTTAAGTTCTTTGTCGATTCTGGATATTAGCCTTTTGTCAAGTGGATAGATTGCAAAACTTTTCTCCCATTCTGTAGGTTGCCTGTTCACTCTGATGGTAGTTTCTTTTGCTGTGCAGACGCTCTTTAGTTTAATTAGATCCGATTTGTCAATTTTGGCTTTTGTTGCCATTGCTTTTGGTGTTTTAGACATTAAGTCTTTGCCCATGCCTGTGTCCTGAATGGTATTGGCCAGGTTTTCTTCCAGGATTTTTATGGTCCTGGGTCTTATGTTTAAGTCTTTGATCCATCTTGAGTTGATTTTTCTATCAGGTGTAAGGAAGGGGTCCAGTTTCGGTTTTCTGCTTATGGATAGCCAGTTTTCCCAACATCATTTATTAAATAGGGAATCTTTTCCCCGTTGCTTGTTTGTGTCAGGTTTGTAAAAGATCAGATGGTTGTAGATGTGTGGTGCTATTTCTGAGGTCTCTATTCTGTTCCATTGGTCTATATATCTGTTTTGGTACCAGTACCATGCTGCTTTGGTTACTGTAGCTTTGTAGTATAGTTTGAAGTCAGGTAGTGTGATGCCTCCAGCTTTGTTCTTCTTGCCCAGGATTGTCTTGGCTATATGGCTTCTTTTTTGGTTCCACATGAACTTTAAAGTAGTTTTTTCCAATTCTGTGAAGAAAGTCAGTGGTAGCTTGATGGGTATAGCATTGAATCTCTAAATTACTTTGGGCAGTATGGCCATTTTCACGATACTGATTCTTTCTATCCATGAGCATGGAATATTTTTCCATTTGTTTGTGTCCTCTCTTATTTTTTTGAGCAGCGGTTTGCAGTTCTTTTTGAAGAGTTCCTTCACATCCCTTGTAAGTTGTATTCCTGGTTATTTTATGCTAATTGTGAATGGGAGTTCACTCATGATTTGGCTCTCTGTTTGTTGTTATTGGTGTATAGGAATGCCTGTGACTTTTGCACATTGATTTTGTATCCTGAGACTTTGCTGAAGTTGCTTATCAGCTTAAGGAGATTTGGGGTTGAGATGAAGGGGTTTTCTAAATATACAATCACGTCATCTGCAAACAGAGACAATTTGACGTCCTCTCTTCCTATTTGAATACCCTTTATTTCTTTCTCTTGCCTGATTGCCCTGGCCAAAACTTCCAATACTATGTTGAATAGGAGTGGTGAGAGAGGGCATCCTTGTTTTCTGCTGGTTTTCAAAGGGAATGCTTCCAGTTTTTGCCCATTCAGTATGATATTGGCTGTGGGTTTGTCATAAATAGCTCTTAATAGTTTGAGATACATTCCCTCGATACCTAGTTTATTGAGAGTTTTTAGCATGAAGGGCTGTTGAATTTTGCCAAACGCCTTTTCTGCATCTGTTGAGATAACCAAGTGGTTTTTGTCATTTGTTATGTTTATGGATGGATTAAGTTTATTGATTTGCATATGTTGAACCAACTTTGCATCCCAGGGATAAAGCCAACTTGATCGTGGTGGATAAGCTTTTTGATGTGCTGCTGGATTCGGTTTGCCAGTATTTTATTGAGAATTTTTGCATCAATGTTCATCAGGGATTTTGGCCTGAAAATTTCTTTTTTTGTTGTGTCTCTGCCAGGTTTTGGTATGAAGATGATGCTGCCCTCATAAAATGAGTTAGGGAGGATTCCCTCTTTTTCTATTGTTTGAAATAGTTTCAGAAGGAATGGTACCAGCTCCTCTTTGTACCTCTGGTAGAATTCGGTTGTGAATCCGTCTGGCCCTGGACTTTTTTGGTTGGTAGACTATTAATTACTGGCTCAATTTCAGAGCTTGTTATTGGTCTATTCAGAGATTCAACTTCTTCCTGGTTTAGACTTGGGAGGGTGTATGTGTCCAGGAATTTATCCATTTCGTCTAGATTTTCTAGTTTATTTGCGTAGATGTGTTTATAGTATTCGCTGATGGTAGTTTGTATTTCTGTGGCATTAGTGGTGATATCCCCTACATCATTTTTTATTGCATCTATTTGATTCTTCTCTCTTTTCTTCTTTATTAGTCTGGCTTGTGGTCTATTTTGTTTTCTTTTCAAAAAATCATCTCCTAGATTCATTGATTTTTTTGAAGGTTTTTTGTGTCTCTATTTCCTTCACTTCTGCTCTGATCTTAGTTATTTCTTGTCTTCTGCTAGCTTTTGAATTTGTTTGCTGTTGCTTCTCTAGTTCTTTCTATTTTGATGTTAGGGTGTCAATTTTAGATCTTTCCTGCTTTCTCTTGTGGGCATTTAGTGCTATAAATTTCCCTCTACGCACTGCTTTAAATGTGTCCCAGAGATTCTGGTACATAGTGTCTTCATTTTCATTGGTTTCAAAGAACATCTTTATTTCTGCCTTAATTTTGTTATTTACCCAGTAGTCTTTCCGGAGCAGGTTGTTCAGTTTCCATGTAGTTGTGCAGTTTTGAGTGAGTTTCTTAGTCCTGAGTTCTAATTTGATTGCACTGTGGTCTGAGAGACTGTTTGTTATCATTTCCGTTCTTTTGCATTTGTTGAGGAGTGTTTTACTTCCAATTACGTGGTCAATTTTAGAATAAGTGCAATGAGGTGCTGAGAAGAATGTATATTCTGTTGATTTGGGGTGGAGAGTTCTGTAGATGTCTATTACGTCCGCTTGGTCCAGAGCTGCGTTCAAGTCCTGAATATCTTTGTTAATTTTCTGTCTTGTTGATCTGTCTAATATTCACAATGGGGTGTTAAAGTCTTCCATTATTATTGTGTGGGAGTCTAAGTCTCTTTGAAGGTCTCTAAGAATTTGCTTTATGAATCTGAGTGCTCCTGTATTGGGTGCTTATATATTTAGAATAGTTAGCTCTTCTTGTTTCATTGATCCCTTTACCATTATGTCCTTCTCTGTCTCTTTTGATCTTTGTTGGTTTAAAGTCTGTTTTATCAGAGATTAGGATTGCAACACCTGCTTTTTTTTTTTTCTTTCCATTTGCTTCGTAAATATTCCTCCATCCCTTTATTTTGAGCCTATGTGTGTCTTTGCTTGTGAGATGGGTCTCCTGAATACAGTACACTGATGGGTGTTGACTCTTTATCCAATTTGCCAGTCTGTGTCTTTTAATTGGGGCATTTAGCCCACTTACATTTAAGGTTAATATTGTTACATGTGCATTTGATCCTGTCATTTCGATGCTAACTCATTGTTTTGTCCATTAGTTGATGCAATTTCTTCATAGTGCCAATGTTCTTTACAATTCAGTATGTTTTTGCAGTGGCTGGTAATGGTTGTTCCTTTCCATGTTTAGTGCTTCCTTCAGGAGCTCTTGTAAGGCTGGCCTGGTGGTAACAAAATCTCTCAGCATTTGCTTGTCTGTACAGAATTTTATTTCTCCTTCACTTATGAAGCTTAGTCTGGCTGGATATGAAATTCTGGGTTGAAAATTCTTTTTTTTAAGAATGTTGAATATTGGCCCCCACTCTCTTCTGGATTGTAGTGTTTCTGCAGAGAGATCCACTGTTAGTCTGATGGGTTTCCCTTTGTGGGTAACCCGACCTTTCTCTCAGGCTGCCCTTAACATTTTTTCCTTCATTTCAACCTTGGTGAATCTGATGATTATATGTCTTCGCATTGCTCTTCTCAAGGAGTATCTTTGTGATGTTCTCTGTATTTCCTGAATTTGAATGTTGGCCTGTCTTACTAAGTTGGGGATGTTCTCCTGGATAATATCTTGAAGAGTGTTTTCCAAGTTGATTCCATTCTCCCCTTCACTTTCAGGTACACCAATCAGATGTAAATTTGGTCTTTTCACATAGTCCCATATTTCTTGGAGGTTTGTTTGTTCCTTTTTATTCTTTTTTCTCTAATCTTGTCTTCTCTTTATTTCATTAAGTTAATCTTCAATCACTTGATCAATTGATCAATTCCATTATTGATACTTGTGTATGCTTCACGAAGTTCTTGTGCTGTTTTTTTCAGCTCCATCAGGTCATTTATGTTCTTCTCTACGTGGTTTCTAGTTAGCAATTAGTCTAACCTTTTTTCAAGGTTCTTAGCTTCCTTGCATTGGGTTAGAATATGCTCTTTTAGCTTGGAGGAGTTTGTTATTACCCACCTTCTGAAGTCTAGTTCTGTCAATTCGTCAAACTCATTCTCCGTCCAGTTTTGTTCCCTTGCTGGCGAGGAGTTGTGATCCTTTGTAGGAGAAGAGGCGTTCTGGTTTTTGGAAATTTTAGTCTTTTTGCGTTGGTTTCTCCCCATCTTTGTGGATTTATCTACCTTTGGTCTTTGATGTTGGTGACCTTCAGATGGGATCTTTGAGCGGATGTGCTATTCCTTTCTGCTCGTTAGTTTTCCTTCTGATAGGCCCCTGTCTGCTGGTCTTCTGGAGTTTGCTGGAGGTCCACTCCCGACTCTGTTTGCCTGGGTATCACCAGCAGAGGCTGCAGAACAGCAAAGACTGCTGCCTGATCTTTCCTCTGGAAGCTTTGTCCCAGAGGGTCACCTGCCAGATGCCAGCCAGAGCTCTCCTGTATGAGGTGTCTGTCGGCCCCTACTGGGAGGTGTCTCCAAGTCAGGATACACGGGGGTCAGGGACCCACTTGAGGAGGCAGTCTCACCCTTAGCAGAGCTCGAATGCTGTGTTGGGAAATCTGCTGCTCTCTTCAGAGCTGTCAGGCAGGGACTCTTATGTCTCCTGAAGCTGCACCCACAGCCACCCCTTTCCCCAGGTGCTCTTTCCCAGGGAGATGGTGGTTTTATCTATAAGTTCCTGACTGGGGCTGCTGCCTTTTTTTCAGAGATGCCCTGCCCATAGAAGAGAAATCTGGCAGTCTGTCCACAGCAGCCTTGCTGAGCTGCAGTGAGCTCCACCCAGTTCAAACTTCCCAGTGGCTTTGTTTACACTGTGAGCGTAAAATCGCCTACTCAAGCCTCAGCAATGGCAGAGACCCCTCCCTCCAACAAGCTCAAACATCCGGGGTCAATCTCAGACTGCTGCTGTGCTGGCAGTGAGAATTTCAAGCCCGTGGATCTTAGTTTGCTGGGCTCTGTGGGGGTGGGACCCACTGAGCTACCACTTGGCTCCCTGGCTTCAGCACCCCTTTCCAGGGGAGTGAATGGTTCTGTCTCGCTGGGGTTCCAGGCGCCACTGGCGTATGGAAAAAAAGAACTGCAGCTAGTTCAGTGTCTTTCCAAATGGCCACCCAGTTTTGTGCTTGCAACCCAGGGCCTTGATGGGGTAGGCACCAGAGGGAATCTCCTGGTTTGCAGGTTGTGAAGACCGTGGGACAAGCACAGTATCTGAGCCAGAGTTCCTCAGGCTCAGTGCCTCAAGGCTTCCCTTGAGTAGGGGAGAAAATTCTCTGACCCCTTGTGAGGTGATGCCCGTCTGTTGGCTCGCCGTTGGTGTGCTGCACCCATTGTCCAACTTGTCCCAGTGAGCTGAACCAGGTACCTCAGTTGGAAATGCAGAAATCACCCACCCACCTTCTGCATCAATCTCACTGGGAGCTGCAGACCAGCGCTGTTTGGCCATCTTGCCAGCAATCCTCAAATACTCTCTGCTGGTTCTTTGTGTGGGAAATAGTTTTTCCATACAGGATAGAAAGCAAGTTTATTTAGAAGATCATTACATTGTCCATATTATTCTTTTTGTTTTTGATTTCGTTTAAAATAAAACAGAACTCGAGCTAGTCAAAAAAAGAGGTTGAGCAAAAGATTGCTGATATGATCTGCGCAATAAAATTCACAACTGTTTTGACGCTTCAAGTGGCAACCTGGGGCATGGGGTGGGTGGAGCGGTGTGGGGGTTAGACCAGGGCAAAGGCAGTTAAGGGAAAGCTTCAGACTTGGGAGGGTGAGAGTGGAATTTAGGAAATTGTAGCAAACTATATTCATAGAAGAAAGTGGATCAATGAGAAATATCCTTTTATGACAAAGATAGACAAGGAAAATAGAGATCCCAAATACTCAATTTTAAATAGTTTCTTGTTCTATACTGTGGTGTCAAACTTCTCATTTGGCCCAAGTAATCTGGAACAGACTTGCACTCACAGCTTTGGTGAATGGAGTAAGAGGCAGTGACCACAGGTACAAAAGCAAGTCCAGGAAGGGTACTGGGGAGGAAGGTGGAGCATCCAGGAAAGCCAGGGTTCAGGGCGGCAGTGGCCACAAGAATGGGAATTCTCCAAAAACCCTTAGAAAGTTTGTAATGTGTTGGATTTCCCACAGGATGTGGGGTGGGAGATTAGTGCTGTCTTATTAAATACCCAAAGAAAGATGATGCCCCAAAGCTGGAGAAATTAAGACTGGAATTTATAAGAACATAAATCTTATTGGAAAATAATTTTCTAAAGAGTTCGTTGAAACTTAATGTAATATTGTAATGGCAAAACCAAAATGTTTATTTAGTTTCTTGGCTTTAAAAATATAAATACCATTTTTAAGCATAGACTCCTCCCAATTTTCCATTTCAAGTAACCTGTGTGAAAAGATACTGTGAAAGCAAAAGTTTACTTCTACTGAATTTTTATAATCAAAGTAACACTTACTTTCTCAACCCTGACCGCTAGAATCTGAACGGCTATTGCTCAGAATTTCCCAGTGGTTCTCAAACCAGTCACCAATCCCAACTTCTAACCTAGCCATATCCCTACTGATCATATTTACATCTTAGCAAGACTTAGGAAAGAATTAAATCTCTTGGAAACATTTAACCATAGTTGCTAACTTTTTAAAAAGGCTAAATTCCTCATGGTAAAATAAAAGTAAGAATATATAAGGAAAGCATTCTCACTTAAGAATTTTCTGAAGAAATGTTCATGCTGTATGGTTTGAATGATGCATCTGAGATCAAGCTGGGAACACAGTCACCTATTTCCTAGGGAGGTCAACACTTCTAAGAGGGCCTGGGACTCTTATGTAGATTTGCCAACTTTATACAAATACAGCATTTTTTTCCCAAGATCTCTCATGAGAATGATGGTGCTCATCTGCAAAAACACACTGAAGATTTTACTGTGTGGGCACTGGGTGCCAAGAACACACACTTTCTCTACAGATGGCACAGTTGTTCCTAAATGCAGGCAACCTCATCGTGCCTGACCTTCTGCTTCTTGGCGTTACCACTAAAGCCTTGTCAGTCTATGTGCCCTCTTTTCTGCCTTTCCATTCTTCTTTCTGACTTCAAGCTTTCATGCTGTTCACACGCCTGCCTCCAGGCTACTGAGCCCCGCGGAGATGATCAAGTATGGAGGGCCATCAGGATGAATCTCCATCCCAGCACTTTTGGCAGTCATGGCAGTATTTGGTTCTTGGAGAAGGCTGGGGACTTGCTCTTGCTCAACTTTGGTATACATTTTATTTATTTTCATCACCAGAGTCACTTTCAACCAGCAAAGAAACAGGACTTAAAGGCTCAGAGATTTGGTAATTTCCCTTAAGTGGAGCTCCAGCCACTCATCATCAACAAATCTGAATAATTTCTTTTTTTTTTTTTTTTTTTTGAGATGGAGTCTCGCTCTGTCGCCCAGGCTGGAGTGCAGAGGCACTATCTCGGCTCACTACAAGCTCCGCCCCCCGGGTCACGCCATTCTCCTGCTTCAGCCTCCCGCGTAGCTGGGACTACAGGCGCCCGCCACCTCGCCTGGCTAATTTTTTGTATTTTTAGTAGAGACGGGGTTTCACCGTGTCAGCCAGGATGGTCTCGATCTCCTGACCGCGTGATCCGCCCGCCTCGGCCTCCCAAAGTGCTGGGATTACAGGCGTGAGCCACCGTGCCTGGCCAACAAATCTGAATAATTTTAAAAAATGCCTTTTGATTGGGAGGCCAAGGAGGGTGGATCACGAGGTCAGGAGATCAGGACCATCCTGGCTGACAAGGTGAAACTCCGTCTCTACTAAAAATACCAAAAAAAAATTAGATAGGTGTGGTGGTGGGCGCCTGTAGTCCCAGCTACTCAGGAGGCTGAGGCAGGAGAAAGGCGTGAACCCGGGAGGTGGAGCTTGCAGTGAGCTGAGATCGTGCCACTGCACTCCAGCCTGGGCGACAGAGCGAGACTCCGTCTCAAAAAAGAAAAAAAAATGCCTTTTGAGAACTCATTTCCTGTGGGGGAGTGGTAAAAGGAAAATCAATTTTCTAACAAGTATCTAGTGACTCAAGAGCAGAAATAAACTAATCTTGAAAATTGACCATAAATATAGGAATATTTTCTGAAGTTGCCTTATAGAAAAGTTGTAAGTTGCAGAATTTATAATCATAACTGTGTTCAACTTAGACATGTTTGTGTACATATTCAGGGAAACACTAGCTGACTGGTGGATTCATATTTTATATTTTTAAGGGTACTCAAAATCATATACCATTAAATAATTGTGCATAGAGAAATTAGCAAAATTCTCTTTAATTTGGAGAAAGAAATTAAAACTTTGCACCTAATGTTTTTACTGAAGAATGGTTCCTCCCTTTGCATCTTGGCTTGTATCTATTCCAACCTGTAGAATATGGCAGAAGCAATGCTGTGTCCCTTCTGAGGCTAAGTTCTCAGACTGTCTTTTCACTCTATATAGTCCCCTTGCATGATCTCATCAAGTCTTTGATTTAATTTCTACCTATATCTGAAGACATCAAACTACTTATCTCCAACCCAAGCTTTTCCACTGGATTCATTCTTGAATATACGGGTGTGGAATGGGCATTCTCCCTGAAGTCCCACAAATATAGTCGGCTTCAATGAATCCATAGACTTCCCAGGCTTGCTCTTCCTCCTCTGTTCCTCTGTCTGTGAAACAATCCCTGCCCCACCATCTTTCTAATTATCCAGGACTCTTCTCTCTTCCTCACCACTCCCCCCCACCCCCACATAACCCACCAGGCACCAATTGCTACTGACTCTGCCCTTTCTTTTGAATATGTCCACTTCTCTGTGCGCCACCACCACCATCTGGTCCAAGACATCACTAACTCTCAACCAGAACACACCAAGAGCCCTCTACTTGGCATCCCCTGCTTCACTTGAGTTTCTTCCTCCCTGAATTAGCGAGAGACATCCTCAGGAAAAGCCAGGCCTCAGGATAGAGGCAAGGAAGTTATCTGCCTTTAAGTTACACATTATGGAATCTTTGGTGGTTTACGTAACAGACTTGCTTATTTAGAAATTAAGAATTTTTCGTTAATAATCTCTAAGGTCCCTAATATCCCTGTGATTCTATAAACCTAAGTGTTTTAGTTGAAAACCTAGAGTGTCATGGTCACTGAAGGTCAAAAGGACCAAATTTAAGCTGGGCACAGTGGCTCAAGCCTGTAATACCAGAGCTTTGGGAGGCCGATGTGGGAGGATTGATTGAGCCCTGGAGTCTGAGGCTGCAGGGAACTATGATTGCACCACTGTACTCCAGCCTGGGTGACAGAGTGAGACTCTGTCTTTAAAAAAAAAAAAAAAATAAAAAAATAAAAAAAAGGAGAGACAGAGACCAATTTTGAGCAGATATTTGGTAAAGAAAACCAGAATTTTCAGTCATGAAAAACTGAGGACATTGTCTCACTTTCGTATGTTAAGTCTGATAGTTCCTCATGCATGTTTTAAGAAACATTCAGAAATAGGCTGAAGAATCAGACATCCAATGAGAGTGAGGAGGGGGCCAATGAAGAGCCCTTCAAACTTCGTATTCAGAGATCCCATGACTATGATTCATTTCAGCTTAATTTAGAAAATGCGTTCTTCTTACAAAGAGAAGCAATTATATCTTCTATATTGTATTCTGGCATTTCCACCTTCTCCACTACCTGTTTTTTTGTTTACTTTTTGCTGCAACAGATGGACCAGAAATAACATGACTGTTTAGGTAAGAGAGGAAGGAGCAGTCCTTTGAGATTATGTTAACAGTGGGATTTAATTACTGAATGTCAAGCAGCATGATCAGTAGAGACAGAAATTAATTTCCTGTCAGTTTATTTTCACTACCAGTCTTAAGTGTGGCTGTGAACTAAATCAATTTTATGCACCCAGCAAAAAACTTCATTTTAAAAATGTACTTTCAAGTAAGTTTGTGCTGGATTACCTCTTGTAGCAGCGAAATAGTAAATTATAATTTTCGAAGCTATGAGAATCTTGGTAGAGCAAATAGATTATTGGTTCATGTAAATAATGGGGTGTTTAGGTCAAAATGCAAAGGTGATTGTAAACCAAGACCGTAAGTACAAAGCAATGCAATATTTTCTCGGGCAACATTTTTATTCTATTTGATAATTACTACCTCCCGCTGGGGAGTGACAGGTGCCATAGCAGAGACGCAGACAGCGATGAAGGACTGAGCTGGCCACGTTCCTCCTGCCTGCCTTCCTAACAGGAAAGGAGACTCTTCATTTCCATCAAACCACAGTGAATCAATGGGCCCTCTCAGAGGCCCGGGCAACCGCACAAGCAAGAATGCAGCACGGAGCGGAGTCCAGGATGCTCAGCGTGGGCCTCGGAGTCTGTGTGCGATCAGCTGGAGTCCAGGATGCTCAGCGTGGACCTCGGAGACCGTGTGGGCTCTGCGCTCTGCAGCTGAGACACAGTCACCCGCCCGATGGGCGGAGAAAGGGGCAGCTTTGAAAACAAGCGCAAGGAGATGCATCCAAAAGACAACCGAACCCATCAGGGTAAGGAGCGCAGCGGTGGAGTGTGAGGGGGAACCAGAAGGGCGGCCAGGGCCGGCGGCATGCCATGCCAGGCAGCCCCGCGCCACCCCGGAACACTGGGACACTCTCATATTCCCAAAGGGACTTCTCCATGCGGCGCTCTGACCAGGCATCGCCGCAGGACGCATAACAGAGAGAGCGAGCGCAGGGCACCCGGCCCATCAGCTCTTCCTTCACCTGAACTGCCCCGGCCTCGCTGAGACGCGGATTTTAAAACCGCCCTGCACCTATGTGCTGGCAGCCAGGCCCTGGGAACTTCCTCCAAACACTCCCATGAGTTCGGGATGACTAGCATCAGTTTTCAGCTGGAGAGCAGACGGCAACTGAACGCTGCGAAGTCCCACGATGGGGATGAGAGGACCAGAGCCCCGAGGCCAGTCGCCCCCCTCCCGCCCATCCGCCCGCCCGCCCGCCACGCAGGGCTGCTCTAGCGCCTGCCTCTTCCTCTTCCATAGAAACAGGGTTGGGGAGAGAAATGTTATGTTGCTGGCCCAGGATTGGCATTGAGCGTTGTTCAATTAAGAAGCCAAAACCTGTAAGACCATGGAGCTCCACACAGGACTGAGGCGGCGGCGATTTTGTTCAATGACACGGAGCTCGCTGGAATCCACGCCCCTGAGTTTGATCGTGGTCACTGCTCAACCAAGCACCCCTGTCACCCGCCGCCTTTTTCTTCTTTGCGGTGCAGTCTCCCGAGGGCGGAGAGTTAATGTAGAAATCCTCTTCCAAGTTATCTCACCCGATTACTCTGTTTTGGACTTTTCTAGGCAGTTCACTGTGTTGAGCCCAATAATTTGCAGGCTGCTACACGGATCTAATATTTCAGTTACAGGCTTTCATGCTACTCAGATGTATAGAATTGTAATTTTTTGAAAACTACAACTTAATTTCGGATTGCATGCTTGTTATGTCCGAGGTAAAATTTTAATCTGGTTCTTTGCAGAAAGATTTTGTCAATTTGTCGATGTCTCTGTCATGTCAGCTATAAACTTGGTCCAGTGGCTGAGCCCTGCCCCTCACCACCACTTCTTCCCAGGTGGCACCTAGATGCCAGGGGATATCAAGGGATCAGGGAAGAGGAGTGTCTGCCTACACCTGTCAATTGGCACCAACGGGTGTCCTGGTCATGGTCGTAGTCGCTGCCTCTGTCTCTGCCACTCCTTGTCCCTGTGACTTTGATGGTCAGGGCCACAGAGGAGGCTGGTGTCTGAGTCTGTCCCCTACTCAGTTACTGGCAGTGCTCATTCTCCTGTCACTGGGAATCAGCTGTGGTCTCCTGGCATGGCCCTACAGAGTGACTGCAGAGGGACATGTGCTTCCCTTGAGGTTTCCCTGCACTCAGTGGGCACAAGGCTGCTGGACATGCAGGCTAAGCCTCCCCTCGCCTGCTGGAAAGTGGCAGCCCCCTTCCTGTCAGCCTCTGTCTGGGTCTCAAGGCCTCCCTTTCAAACCTATAAGTGTTGCTACCAGACAAGGGCAAGCCACATCTGGTGATGCAATCTCTTGGCATTCCTTCCAAAAGTTGTTATTACCACCATCGCTGATTTGAAACAAGTTTCTGGTTGACATTTTCAGCAGAGGTTATCAGGGAGGCATGCTGTTTTCAGTACTTTTTTGTTTAGAAGGCTTTGCCACTCCGGTGACTCTCCTGGACAGATGTTGCATTTATGCCTAGACTCTGTGTGAGGCCCACAGCAGATGTCTCCAGAACATGCCCCTCCATTCCCTGCCCTGGGCTGCTCTGCTTCCCAAGGGAGATGGCTCATCCCACCTACTCCGCACACCAGATTGATGGGGACACATATCCTCGAGATGGAATCCCAGGGGTTTACCTACAGCCTTTCACTGGAACACAGGCTTTTTATCTGTTAATGCCAGCAGCATCCTAAATACAAAGGCTGAAATGACTGGATTTGAACAAATGGTTTGCTGATGAATAGTTGTATCTGAAATCCTTGTCAAAATTTCTATTAGTTGAGAATTTTCTATGTGTTGGGTTCTTTCATATTTTATTTTATTTTATTTAACCCCTACAATCATAGATGAGCAACTGTTTTACAGCATAAGAAAACGGCATTTATTTTACAGGTGACAAACTGAAGCTCGAGGTGTTTTGCTGCAAGTGTGAGGTCTCTGGCCCAGCAGGCAGTGAATGGGGTTTTGAACTCAGGACTTTCCTTCTAGCCATGCTCTCTTCATTGCAGCCTTTGGGCCCCAAGGAGACCAGGTTTCCCCTGATCACGTTTTTGTTATTGTTTTATTTTTCCTCCTGTATACTCAAGGGAGCATGTTCAATCGCCAACCTTCTATGTTATGTTTTAAAACTGTGTCCAGTCAGCCCTGGGAATGTGAGGGAAGGGGGCTCCCAGAGCCAGGGCAGCCCCGGGAGCCAGGACCTGTGCCATTTCAGCCAGAAGTCTCCTCCTTTATCTGACTTATTTATTGAATTTCCACATATAAGAAACATTTCTACCACTTAAAAAATGTCAGGGATAGTATGAATGAAAGAAAGGCACAGGTGATTTGAAACCTTCATTTTAATCAGTGTTTTCTATTTCTTTTATTTTCAAAGCCTAGGATTGAGCCAGTAACAAATTGCCTAACATAAATCAGCATTATGGAACTTCTGTCTCTCTATTCTCAACTCTTTTTGCCTTATATTATAAGAAAACGTAAAAGGAGTCAGAAGAAAAGCAGAGAGCTTGCAGAAATAGCTTGCCACTAGCAACTTAATTCAGCCCCCAAAATAGGAAATTCACAGCTGGTTAAACATCTGTGGGCCACTGGCGGCTGAGAATGTTCAAACACTTAAACTGTGTTTTCCAGATCAAGCCAATCCAGAAGTCTTTAAATCACCATAATAACCAGAGAATAGAACTTCCCTGGCTGGCTGTGGGCTCTTTGGGTACAGTTAGCTCGTACCCTCAGCTGCTCAGAGTGGCCCCAGGGCCTGCTGGACTCTCAGGGCCTGGTGCTGGCATCTGTGTTTCCCTCAGGCTCCTCTGCAGGACATGCCCGCGCTGCTGGGAGTGGTTCTGCTGCCGGTCCCCACCGAAGTCTGGGCACCACGCCGGCTGATGACCATCTGGGCACAGCCTGCAGTCACCTCCTCTCCCCAGAGCGGAATCCTGAGGGAGGCGCCACCTGGGTCCCGCTGCTTTCCTCTAAAGGAATCGGTCGGTGTTCCATGGAGAGGAAAAGGGAGAGGAAAAGGAAGAGGAGGGAGTGAGAGGGAAGAAAGGTTTTTGTTTGCCCTTTTGTTTCACTCCTCGCCTTGTGGCCAGGGCACAGCTATGGAGAGGGTGTGTCAGGGACTACCTAAGCGACAGACACCTGTCTATAGTCACAGCATCTTCACTTCTCCCTTCTCCTTCCTTCCACTATCCTTCAAGCCCAAGGAGCATCTTGGGGTGACTTTTCTTTCCAGGAGAATCCTCAGGACTTCGTCTCAGAGCTCCATGGAGCACTCTCCTCCAGACAGCGAGAGGTGTGGGTGTGCCGGATCCTCAGGGAACACGGGACGGGAACCTACCTCCCGTGGGGAGTCACAACCGAAAGAATATCTGCCAATTTGCAAAACTCATCTTTCACTAAGGAAGCAAGCTGTGTACTTTAGAACCCATGTGCAATCCAACCAAGAAAAAAGGGCCACGGTGACAGAGGGAAGGCGCGCAGCACGGATCTGCACCCCGGATGCATCTGGTGCAGCTTGTGCCGGGCCTGCTGCATGTGGGCTCGGTGATGCCCAGACCGAAGCTGCCCCCCTGCACCGCCACTGCACAGCGCAGCATGGCCTGTGGAGCGGGGATTTCCTGCTCAGCCCGCCTCAGGTCCCATTCCCTCCCCGCTCATCATTTCAGTAAAGGGTTAGTCTCTGGCAGACAACTGGGGAGAACACAGATGTAAGAATGAGACACTGAGTTTCCTCTGAATTTTAAGACGAAATTTTAAGAACAAACACAATCAAATGAAGAAAGTAAGTTTTGATTAGAAAGTAAAACCGTTTTAATAACATTAACAGGTGCTTTTATTACAAAAATGAACACTAATTTATTGTGGTAAATTTAGAAAGAAACATTAAAATACAAAATAAAATAAAAGCTTTCATAATCCCACAATGCAGATATATGCTACTAGCATTTTGTTGTGTTCCTATTCTAGGCCTATTAGTTAAGACAGCCCAATTAATTAACAAACAGCCCCTAGGTCCTGGGGACGTCACATAACAAAGCGTGATTTCTGTCCCCTGCTGCAGTCCAGTGTGGAGGGCTGGAAAGGGGAGGAGGGGCCTCTCCTCCATGCAGCCATTCAGGACCCAGCCTCCTGCCTTCGGGTGGCTCCATCGCACCCCGGGTGTGGAATTTCACTCTGGTTCCTCAGCATTGGCAGCTGAGAAGGGAATAGAGGTTTAGAGAGCTAAGTATATAGGTATTCTGACCACCTTTTCCTGGCCATACTGGACACATGGCTGCATCCAACCACAAGGGAGCCTGGAAAATACAGTGTGCCCAGGAAGGAAAGGGAGCTGGTTAGGCAAGCACCTAGCTGGTTTCTGTGATATAAACAGATATAGACATAGGTCTGGAGATGAGCAAGGGGAGAGGCATGGGAATGAAAGTGGGTGCCAGTGTGGGCATGGATGCTTACAGGTTTGAGTACAGGAAGATATTTTTCATACAAATGTATTTATATTATTGATTCTTTTGTCACTTAAGATATTATGAATATTTTTCTGTCATTAAACGTTTAAGAAAGCAGACATTGTAATAAGTGACTGTGTGCAGAGCATCTCTCTTATGTAGGAAAGACCTTGCTCATGCTGCCTTCCAGGCTTGCACTTGCCTTGTCTGCCAATCTAGATATCGTGATGGTGTTAAAAGATACACTTAGGCATATTGGATTTTATAGTTTATCTGAGCAGACATCGATTCACGAATCACACAGTACTGGGTGGTAAGTGGGTATCACTCCACTGCAGGGTGGAGAGAGAGACGGTGAGAGGTGTTTGTGGAAGAAATACAAGGAACACAGCTTTGACTAGGTAGTGACAGCCCCTAGTTAGAGGTCAGTTGGTGGTTTCCAGTTGCCAAAGTCTCTAGTTTCATTTTACTCCTTATGTTGGGCTTCGGTTTGCTTACAGAGGAACCTAAAACCCTGGGTCTGCCTCAGTCTAATGGTCTTCCAATTAATTTTTTTTTGCAAGTGTGACTGCAAATGTTTTTTGGGTCCACCTGGACCGGAGAATTAATGGATTTTCTGATTCAGGATTATGTAAAATCAAGAAGATTAGGTTAAAAGAAAACAATCCATCAAAATAAGATGGACTCTATTGAGTCTGTTAATAGTTTTGACATATAGAGGTGAGATATATACATAGTAATTAAGAACATGGACTCTGGTCTGGCACAGTAGCTTCCACCCATAATCCCAGCACTTTGGGAGACCAAAGTGGGAGGATCCCTTGAGGCCAGGAATTCAAGACCAGCCTTGGCAACATAGTGAGACCCTGTCTCTACAAAAAATTTTTAAAATACAAATTAAAAAAAGAACATAGACTTGCAGCTAGACTGCCTAGCTCCAAATCCTAGGTCTGCCACTTGGCAGTTAAATGACTTAGACAAGTTACTTAACTTCTCTCTGCCTTCATATCCTCATCTCTAAATGGAGACAGTACCATGTCTAGGGTTGTTAGAATGATCAAATGAATTTCTATATGACAGGGCTTAGACTAGTGCCAGCCATGTAGGAAGTACCCTATTAGGTCTGGCAGTCTTCCTTTACAGAATACGGCAAGAGGCAGGAGTAATTAATTATAAATGCAGAATAAATATTTGCACATATATAGATTAGAAATAATGTATAGATATAACTATGGTGGAATTCTGGTGTTACCGACCCAGTTCACCTCTCTGAGGTTAAATAACTTATGGCACATCTCCACGAGAGGGTAGTATGCTGCTGTACAAAAGAATGAGAAAGTTCTCTATATACTAATGCAGAAAGGTCTCCAAGATATGTTGAGAAGTGAAAAAAACAAGGTGAAAAAATGTTATTTGTGTAAAAAAGGGTACGACAAGAATATATATATATAATCTACATTTTCTTATATATGCATACAGAATCTGGAAGGACACACAAGCAACAAATAAATATCATTACCCGTGGGAGGTGGGAAGGTTGGCAAGTTGGTGATGGGAACAGCAGTGAGAAAGACTCCACAGTGCTTTTTAAAATATCATGTGATATGTTACTATTAAAAAATAAAATTAAAACAAACAAACTGCACATGACATTTGTCTTGAAAGTAGTCTGAATGCTGAGAGTCACACTCTTAAACTCGACGGCAAAAGCAAGATAGCCAGGACCCCTGGCTGTATTCCTCCTTGTGGAGGAGGTTCTGCAGATGGTGAGTGGGTAGTGACACTTGGGTCTCGGAGATGGAGGTGAAGCTTTGAGATTGTTTGCCAACAGGATGAAAAATGTTTTCACCCATACAGTGTGTTCAATTTGGGCCCTTATTTGAGGATGTCAACACTTACTGAGTGTGCGATGTTTGCCAAGGGCTCTAAAAGGATTAATCCTCAAAGTAAACAAAAGAGGAAGGTTCTATGGTTATCTCCATTTCATGTGTGAGGAAACCGAGGTGCTGAGCCTTCGCCCAAGGGTCTCAGGCGGCTGGCAGCCAAACCCTGACAGCCTACTCTGTACTTCTTTCTTCTCCTAAGAAGCAGTGCAGTACAAGACGTGCTGGGCCTGTCTCCAAACAAGAGGAGCTGCATTTCTCATGCCCAACTCCCTCTCCCCTTCTTAGAAGGTCAGGTGGCCACCAGGACGGAGTCCAGGAGGAAAGAGACTCCATGCTGACTGGCCAGGGGGCCCACAGCCCCAACGGGAGAGACCTTCTCAGCCCACACGTGGTCCAGCAAGACCCCAGGGGTGGGGCTGCGGAAGCTGATGCCAGGGCCCTGCACTAATCAACTGTCAACACTTGGACACTTGTCCACACTGTGCTCTTGAGCTGCCTTTTTAACCTGCACTGAGAGAGTAACTGTTCAACAATTTGAAAAGAAAGGCCCAGGCAACATCCATGTCTTCTCCTAAGAGAGATGGTTAACTTGAACCTTGAAGAAAGAATATTTGTTCCCAGAGTTTCCTCTGTGATGGGAGACAGATCTAGCCATTTCTTCCCTGCTCGTGGTAACCCTGTGGGGAACCTTGTTGCTTTAGCCCAGGAGCCGACAGACAACAGCGCTGAGCTCAGAATACGCCCCCGATCACAAGGATGCCTCTGTGCAAGGGAACTTCCGTTGCTACAGAGATTTTTCTGCCTGCAATCCTGTAACTATGTAGAGCATGGTGAGGACCAGCCCTTCTCCCAGCAGAATGCTGGCCACGTGTGGGCAGACCATCTTTGTCAGGCCTGAGCTGTTGGGCAATGAGGGTTTGAGAGCTGTTGCAGGTTCTGCCACTTCTCTACTTGGAAGATCCCCCCAGCAACCCCCATATTGCATCTTCATCCTGTGACCCTAATGGAACTTGCTCAGGACTCTTCCATGATAATTGTAAAAAGTGCACTTCATTTATTAAAGTTTTCTTGCTACTTCTGTATCCCAGAGACAGAATGATTCAGTGGCATTTTTCCATGTTTTAGTATTTGGAAGGCAAGATGCTCTGCAGAGAACTCATGCTTAGTGGAGCCGATACCATTGGAAATTGGGCCTCACAGAAAAACCTATGCGAGCTTTGTTTGGGAGAAGAGTCTTAACATAGGAGCAAATTAACTTTCTTCCACCACTAGGGATCACACACACATACTGTATGCTGGCCTGTTTAAAGAAAAGAATCACAAACTGAACATAAGTAGTCTCTTTGTAAGGTCTTTAAAAAACAGCTTTATTTTTTCACACACCATACAATTCACCCATTTAAGGTGTACATTCAATGGTTTTTAGTATATTTACAGATATGTGCATCCATTACCACAGTGAATTTTAGAACATTTTTACCCCCTGAAAAAGATATCCTCTGTCCTTTAGCTATCATTGCCTATTTCTCCATTCCCCAAACCCTACCCCTATGCAACTACTAATCTACTTTCTGTCTCTATAGATTTGCCGATTCTGGATATTTCAAGTAAATGGAATTGCATAATACACGGTCTTTTGTGCCTGGATTCTTTGACTTAGCAAAATGTTTTCAAAAGTTCACCCACGTTGCAGAGTGTGTCAGCACTTCTTTCCACAGCCGAATATTATTTCATTGTATGGATATACTACATTGTGCTTTTCCATTTGTGAGGTGATGGGCATTTGTGAGGCAGGAGAACAGGGTCTGGAGATAGGGAACCTAAGGCCAATTCACGCTGACTTCCTGGAACTGGCTCAAAAGGAAATCCCACCTCTTCATACCCAAGAGACAAGGGACCATAGGCCATTCCTCCTACAGACCCTTCCCCTCCACTGCCACAATTGGGAAGTACCTCTGATTGGCTGTGGGCTAATCCTTCATTTGCATAAGATGCCAACTCACTTCAGCCTCTTTGCTTCAGCTTCTAACTGGCCTCGGGCAAATCCTTCATTTACATAGGGTGTAACCAACTGGAGACCTCTGTTACCAAACTCTTTTAGCTTAATAAAAACCCTAAAGAGCATCGCAATTGGGGCTCTTGTGCCACTTGCTCCAGCCGCTCCCACCCTGTGGAGAACACTTTCACTTCAATAGTCTGGGCTTTTGTTGTTTCATTCTTTCATTGCTTTGTGCATTTTGTTCAATTCTTTGTTCAACACGACAAGAACCTGGACAACTCACCCTCAAGACTATCTATCTGGTAACATTTGGATTGTTTCCACCTTTTGGCCATTATAAATAATGTTGCTGTAAACATTTATGTACACATTTTTATGTAGACGTATGTTTCAATTCTGGAGAGGCATTGTTGGGTCACACAGTGGCTCTGTAACCATCTCAGGAACCACCAGTCAGTTTTCCAAAGAGACTTCAACATTTTCCATTTCCACCAGCCGTGTATGAGGGTTCTGATTTTCCCACCTTCTCCCCAGCATTTGCTATTGTCTGATGTTCTGGTTCTGGCCAACCTCGTCAGGGCAAAGTGGACTCTCATTGTGGTTTTGGTTCCATTTCCCTGAGTCTGATGATGCTGAGCATCTTTTCAAGTGCTCATTTGTGTATCTTTTTTGGAGCATGACATTTCAGATGCTCGGTCCATTTTTTAATGTGGTTATTTGTCTTTTTCATGCCACCGTTTCTGTGGTACTGCTCCTGCATTCTCTTTTAATTGTCCAGTGACTGTACTTTAATTTCTGGAAATTACACTTGGTACTTTTCTATGATTTCTATCTCTTTATTGATACTCTCTATTTGATGGGATATTGTTTTTATACTTGACTTCTTTACATTACAATAGCTGTTTTAACATCTTTGTCTGTTAAATCTGACATCTGGTTGCTCTCACAGGCAGTCTGTGTTGCAGCTCCCTGACCCCCATGCTGTGGGTCATTCCTGTTTTTTTAGCATGTCTTATAATGTTTTGCTGGGAACTAGGTGCTTTAGATAATACATGCTTTTGAACTAGATATTTTAGATAATAAATTGTAGCAACTCTGAGTACTGGCCCTATGCCTCTCCCTTTCGGGAGCTTGTTATTGCTATTTGTTTATTTGTTTAGTGTCTGTCTGAAATTTTTTTTTTTTTTTTTTGAGACAGGGTCTTACTCTGTCACCCAGGCTGGAGTGTAGTGGCTTGACCACAGTTCATCGTAGCCTTAAATTCATAGGCCCAAGTGATCCTCCTGCCTCAGCCTCCTGAGTAGCTAGGACTACAGGCACGTGCCACCACACCCAGCTAATTTAGTTTTTTTGTAAAGATGGGGGGCGGGTCTCACTATGCTGCCTATATTGGTCTCGAACTGCTGGCCTCAAGGGATTCTCCCATCTCTGCCTCCTAAAGTGCTGGGATTACAGATGTAAACCACTGCACTGTGTCTGGATTATTTTAGAGCAGTCTCTTCCTCCATCCCACCCAGGAGTGTTCTGTCTCTAATGTTCTCAGGGGGTACAGACTTGGGTTTGCCCACTGTCACTCTGGGATGACAGTGGTTTTGACAGGGCTGTCTGAATGTCTCGGTCCCTGAGTACACTCAGCTCTTAAGCACCAGTAATTGCTGACTGATTTCTCTATTGTTCTCAACAATGCCCTGGGGCATAAATTGCTCCAGAGGGGAATCTACTCACATTCTCCTCCTTTGAAGGATTTTTCCCAAGGTCAATGACTGAGAGTAATTCCAAACTTCAGGAAGGCTGGCCCTGCCTCTACCCTGGGCTCTCTCAGCCTACAGGGCTGCGGGAAGTTGTCATTCTCCCAGTTACCTTTTGCTACAACTTCCATTGTTCTTCTTCTTAATATATTTATTATTTTAAAACATTTTTCAGTGACTTCGAAACTTCGCTGTTCTTGAGAGTACTTGGATTTCTCTGCACTCTGTTGAAGATGCAATCAGTTTCTTTGGGACAAAAATTAGGAGATATTTGTTTAATGGGTTTCTTCTCCCTCCAGGCAAAATCTCCCAGCCAGGGCTCTGGTTGTTGAGTAGGGACAATGGTGAATTATCTCTAGATTACCATCCAATCTTAGAGCTGAGTGTGCAGGGAGGGAGAAGCAGTGACGGAGAAGGGACAATGGCTTCAGGTGTTCTTGGGCTGCCTGCCCAGGCCTGGAACAAAGCTGAGCAAATGGGCGCTACCCCAGACATGGCCCTTTGTTTGCATGTGGAGCTTCCCAGCATCCCAGGGCATCAGCATCCCAGGGCATGAGCTCTGGGCCAGACAGTGACTTGGAGCGGACTACGGACTCGGGCGCTCACTAACCTGAGTTGGGTAAGTTTATTAGTCTCCTTGTTGCATAACACAGTTCCAAAGCTTAGCTGCTTAAAACAACACACATTTATTATCTCAGTTTAGTGGGTCATAAAACTGGACATGGCTTCGCTGGATCCTCTGCTGGATCTCAGGATTAAAATCGAGGTGTGGACTGGACTCCATTCTCATTTGAGGCCCAGGATCTGCAGGATTGAGAACTTCGCATTCTTGCACAGGAAATAGAGATCCCCTTGCAGCTCCCAGAGGTCCCCCTCAGCTTTTAGGGGCCCTGCACATGTCCTAGAGGCCCCTGCAGTTCATAGAGACCCCTACAGTCCCTAGAGGCCCCTCTGCAATTCCTAGAACCCCTCTGCAGTCCCCAGAGGCCTCCTACAGTCCCTAGAGGCCCCTCTGCAGTTCCTAGAGGTCTCTGCAGTCCCTAGGGGCCCCTCTGCAGTTCCTGGAGGACCCAGCAGTTCCTAGAGGCCCCTCTGCAGTCCCTAGAGGCCCCCCGACTGCCCTGCAGTTCCAAGAGGTCCCCCTGCAGTTCCTAGAGGCACTTCTGATAGAGGCAGGAGGCAGAGAAATTCTAGGCAGACAGGGGTGGGTCTCTGGCAAAATCCCACCTTTGAGCCAAAAAGCCTGAAACCCAGGACCCAAAGTGAGAACTTGTATCCCCATTTGGCTGCTCTTTCCCAATTGGTTCTTTCTGAATAATGTCTTTTTACCAATTGAATGTTGCCTTTTCCAAAACTACCTGCCTTGCCCCTCACCCTTTGCCACTGCAGACTCAGTAGGTAGAGAGAGAGAAGCTTGACTGGAGAGAGGTGACTTGACTTCAGAGGGACTGCTGGACTTCAGGGGAAGATAACCTGCCTGTCCCATCCCTTCTCCAGCTTCCCTGTCCACTGAGAGCCATTTCCATCGCTTAATAAAACTCTCTGTCTTCACCATCCTTCAAGTGTCTGGGCAACCCCATTCTTCTTGGATGCCAGCCAAGAGATCGGGACCCCCCAAGTGTGGGTACCCAAAGAAAGGCTGTCACACTGGTCCTTTGCCCTCACTGGCAGAGGGCAGCCACCCCACACAGTGAGGCAAGGGGCCCACTGAACTGATAACACACTGCTGTCCACGGAGAGTGGAGCTAAGAGAGCATTATAACATGCCCTCAGGGACTTTGGGGATCACAGGCACCCCCACCTGGGCACTACCGCAGGGTCTGCATAGAGCTTGCTCCTGCTGGCACCCAAAGCAGCTGGCTGGATCCTGCACTCACTTAATCACGTGCTCCCTTCCACAGGGGGTTGAGCGCTGTGGGCCGAGTAAATGTGGAACCCCCATTGCAAATTCGACAAAGTGGTTGAGAAAAATCCTGCATCACTTCTGTAGTACCTAGAGGTCTCCTGCAGTCCCTAGAGGCCCCAGCAGTTCCTAGAGGCCCCCAGCAGTTCCTAGAGGCCCCCAGCAGTTCATAGAGGTCCCAGCAGTTCCCAGAGACCCCCAGCAGTTCCTACAGGCCCCAGCAGTTCTTTGCCATGTGGGGTTACCCAGCATATTCACTTATTTCATCAAGTCAGAAAGCAGAGGCTCTCTAACATGTCTGCTAGCAAGATTATGTTTTTTTTTCTTTTAGTAACAGGGTCTCTGAGTAGTCTAGAGCACATGCCACCATAACCAGCTAACTTATTTTTTATTTTTTGTAGAGATGAGGTCTCCCTATGTTGCCCAGTCTGGTCTTGAACTCCTAGGCTCAAGCAATCCTCCCACCTTGGCCTCCCAAAGCACTGAGATTACAAATGTGAGCTCCCATGCCTGGCCAAGACAGGGTTTTAGATAATGGACTGTAATCATGAGAGCAACCTCACATCACATTTGCCACATTCCATGGGTTAGAAGCAAGTCACGGTCCTATCCATACTTCAGGGGGAGGGGTTCTGAACACCACCTTAGAGTCTGCCTGCCGCAGAAGTTACTATCTCTGAACTTCAGCTTTTTCACCTAAAAACATGAGGCCAATAATACACCTGCCCTTAGGGTAGTCGTGAGGATTAATGCATGTAGAGCTCTTTGAACAATACCTGGCTTGTAGCAACTGCTCCGTAATAGATAGGTACTATTATTATTGCTGTTATTATTTGTATTATTATTACTAGATATCTTGCTACAGCCACATAAACATCAGCAACTCTGACCACGTTTCAGAATTCACTGACTGGTTTGCTCGTGCTTCTCAGGGACTCCTAACCCATGCTCTTCTCACCATAGCTCAACACATGTGTGGCTGCAGGGGCAGCTGCGGTGTTTGCTGAACTTCTCTTGTCTGTCCATGACCTGGTGGGAAAATGAGGAGAGGAAGAGGAAACATCCTTCCTTTTTTATTAGACAGGGCTCAGAATTACTATCAGCTTGAGTACACATCCTGAACATTTTCAGCTATCTGGTCCAAGGCTAGGTCATCGATAAAGCTGAACACTCACAGTATCCACACAGCAGTTTAAAAATTGGGTAATTTGATAAAAGAATTAAGTCCTCATGGGAAAAGTCTGAAGCTTGTTGATCTTCCTCACACAAATATGTGCAGTTTGGTGGTGCTTTCATTTGGAATTCTATATGAAGTTAGAGGTAGAAAAACGTGAGTTTTCTCAGTAACTATGAGCCCTGAAGCTTCTGTTCTGATTGGAATATAGCAGAAGACCTAGAATTGAAAATGTCTGGAATTGCAAGTTCTCTGAATTAGCACTCAGACTTCATTTTTGTTTCATCCACCATTAGACTAGCCATCTTCATTTTGTTTCTTAGATTAACTGCAACAAATCAAAGGCAGTGAGAGGTGAAGTTTCTTGGTGATTTTCCTTCTGACAACAGTCACATGCACAGCAGAGAGCTTGAGAGTGATTAGGAGACAGCAAAGCTGTTGACAAAGGCAGAATTTTATAGGAAGAGCAGTTTGGGACTATTTATGATACAGGTTAAGTGGCATTGCTTACCTCTGTGGTATCACAGAGCATTGCAGCATCAAAAAAAGGTTACCTCTTATTGAGAATACGCACTTTAATCACATAAAATATGTTATACATTACTTTTTCAATGGTAGAAATAACACTTTTAAAAATTAGTTCTAGGGTTGTGCTTTAGATTTCATGAAAAATTAACTTATATATATCTCATATATTAATTAATACAGGTTAGTATTAGAGTAACATAGTTCATTTGGCAGGGGAAGGATCAAACAGGGAAGGATTTCTACAGAACAGAGGACAAGAAGGTGCACCTTTCACCTCCATCTGTGGGACAGGCCATGTGAAAGCACGCCTGCCACTGTCCTCACTTGACTCCAGCTGCCTTGCCTCCTTTGCTTCTGAAGTTCCTGTCCCTGCCACTTCTAATATCAAACCCATCACCAAATGGTCTGTCCTGTGTGTGGCTGTCTTCTCCCCTCAGCAGCTCTGGGAAATTCTCCTGAGG
Source organism: Homo sapiens (assembly GCF_000001405.40). Classification (NCBI taxonomy): domain Eukaryota; kingdom Metazoa; phylum Chordata; class Mammalia; order Primates; family Hominidae; genus Homo; species Homo sapiens. The sequence goes on from NC_000018.10 coordinate 13,883,148, forward strand.
GCAAAGCATTGCCTGTTCTGGAAGATACCATCCATCCTGCAGATCCTGAGCCTGGTGGCCTCTGAAGCCCCACTGCTCTCCTCTGTCCCTTTCACCTTTCACCCCATTCAAGTCACCCTCCAACTTAGTGGGGACTTACAATCAGGATGTGCTTCTCCTTTAAGCTGATTTTTAGCTATTAAAAATGAATGAACTTGCAAATTATGTTTCTTTTATTCCTACTGGGGTTGCCACTCTTCCATTGCTGGCATCTTGGCTGATGGGAGGATGACATTTCCCAGTGACTGGGTCTGCTTTCACATTCATCTGCAGAATGAGGTGGTGTTTGCCTCCCTCAGGTCTTTGACTTGGGGCTATAATAACAGCACCATTGCTTGATGTCTTGCTTTGGTTTTGGTTTTCCCCATAGTCCAAAAGCATGGGGAAAATACACACACACACACACACACACACACACACACACACACACACACACACACACTCTCTCTCTCTCTCTCTCTCTCTCTCTCTGTCTGTCTCTGTCTCTCTCTCTTTATTTCTTAAAATACATGTTGGGGCTCTTTTCTTGTACTTCTACATTGTAACACACATAGTTTGGTTACAGCTTCTTCAAATAGTGACAATTTTCATCTGGCCTTTATGTATTCCCACATGGGAACTAAATGGATTAAATTTTCATTTCTTCCTTTGAAATGTATGCTCATAAAGCATGAGGAAATGTAACAGGAAAGGGTTTTAAGGCCAGTGGGATACTGAGTGAGCAAAGAAGACTAACAGAGAAGGTCCATTTATCATTGGAAACTCGAAGCTCGTTATTTGACATTTATAGTTTATACTCAGCCTACTTTCTGAAACTGAGGTGGCATCAATACATCAGACTAACAGGGAGAAAGAGGAGGGTGGAGATTCCACATGGCTGTGGGAGACAGACAAATTCAGCTGCAGCAATGCATTCCTTCCAATTTATTATTGGCTTACAGAGACCCTACATCTTCTGCCTGGAGTCGCATGTCCAGGTACTTAACTTCTGGAAATTGGCTGCAATGGCCTCCACCTGGAAAGGCCACCTCAGAACTGGCTTGTTAGATGTCCACAGGAAAGCAAGTCTTTGCCTTAGCCCAAAGCCCTTGAATTTTTATTGCTGTTTTACTAGATTGGTGCAAAAGTAATTGCAATTTTTGGTCATTGAAAGTAATGGCAAAAACCTTAATTACTTTTGTACCTACCTAATACTTTGTATTCTATCCTTCTTTTACTACATCGTTTTATCTGTCCAGTCACAAAGTTAAGAGGTTGCCCCTACAATAAGACTGTTCACATAGAACCTAGCTATTAGAAACACTAGCTGGTGGGATCATCCTTGCATCCATTAGGGAAGGAAGGCCAGTGAGGAGCACTGGCATTTGTTGGAATGTTACACTATTCTGGCACTTGGCAACGTTATTCCCATGGATTCTAAAACCAGGGATCAGCCATTCTACCAGTACCTGCTGCAGAAGATCATCTTTTTGAATGCGTCCCTGAGCTCTGGGCTCCGGAAGGCATATATGAAGGGGTCAATGACGGCATTGCACATGATCAACATGCCGTTCACCTGGAAGAGAGACATGTAGCAGGCGCAGTAGGGGTTACTTGGGCAGAATGTCATCAAGAGGACATGAAGCACAAAGGGGGCCCAGCAGAAGATGAAGACCCCGAGCAGGATGGTCAGTGTGATGGCCCCTTTCATGTTGGCTCTGGGGAGGGTGGAGATCTTCCTGGTGTGGGATCGAGCCAGCAGGAACATGTGCACATAGAGGCACAGGATGAAGACCAGCATCAGCGGGAACAGCGACGTGAAGGTGATCACTGTGGGCACATGATGGGAGAAGATCACCATGGTGATGCCAGTCCCCGTGCAGAACGTCCAGATGACCGTAAGCACCACCACAGTGCGGCGCATGGTCACGATGCTGTGGTACCGCAGTGCGTGGAAGATGGTGATGTAGCGGTCCGCAGCAATCACAGACAGGCTGAAGATGGAGCCAAGCAGGGAGAGGACAAACAGGGAGTCGATGATGTCATCGGCTGTGGTTTCAAAACTGCCACGTGGCTTGAGATAGCCCATGTTTCTCAATATGATCAGGATATTTTCCAAGATCTTATATAGGCTGCCCAGCATATCAGATATGGCCAAGCTACAGATGAAAAAGTACATGGGTGCCTGGAGATTCTTATTCTTGAACACAGCCAGCAGGACGATCAGATTCTCCAAAACTCCAACAATGGAAATTGTGAAAAATATCTCCTCCGGCAAAACCACACGAGGACAGTCGGAATTATTTCTTGCTGTGTTGTTGATGTTTTCATACGAGTTGATAATGTGCTTCATTTCTCCTGCTTGTGGTTAAGGCGGGGATGTTACTTGGACTTGACTTCACGGAAAACTTGATTGATTCTTCAGGATCTTTTCTTCCTTGTAGCACTTGCTGGAGATCTAAGTTAAAATCTCCCAATCACCTAAAAGGGAGTATACAGAAATATTAGTTGCAAAGTACACTAGAAAATAAAAACCAGCCACACTCGCTTAAAGAAACTCTATTCCCTCCATAAAATATAAAGAAATCAGTATATTAGAAGGAGCCTGCACATGTATGTTTATTGCAGCACTAGTGACAATAGCAAAGATATGGAATCAACTAAAGTGTTCATCAATGGGTGAATGGATAAAGAAAATGTGGTACATATACACAATGGAGTACTCCCCAGCTATCAAAAAGAATAAGGTCATGTCTTTTGCAGCAACATGGATGGAAGTGGAGGCCATTATCAAAGTGAAATAACTCAGAAAGAGGAAGTCAAATACTACATGTTCTCACTTATATGTGGGAGCTAAATAATGCATACACGTGGATATAGAGTGTGGAATGGACATTGGAGACTCGGAAGGGTGGGAGGGGGCGGGTGATGAGAAATTACCCTATGGGTAACACGTATGTTATTCTGATGACAGATACACTAAAAGCCCAGGCTTCACCACTACACGGTATATCCATGTAACAAAATGGCACTTTTGTACCCCTTACATTTATAAAAATATATATAAAGTGTTGTAATTTAGGTAAAATAATATACTGGGCCCTCATCTTAAGCACTTTGTGAGAAAAAGCTTTAGTGGAATTTTGAGCCGAGAGATGATAGCAAAGATTATTCTTTGCCGCCCCACTTTCCCTCCCATCCTTCTCGTGAACACACGTGAGTGTGGGATGAACAGATGAACAGCAGCGGTGCCCTTGATGAAAAAAGAGGTAAAGCAAGGAAAGGTCCATGTGGGAGCAGGAGAGCCCACAGCTGCCTTCTCTGACTGGGAGGCGGTGGCTGGGCTCGGTGGACTCGGGAGATGTTTAGTCCATTCCTTCTCACTGCTCGTCTCCCTGGGTCACTGCCTGACCCCACAGCCTGTGGGATAACGGTAAAGGTGCTGATGTATCATTCCCAAAGATGACTATACAATGAGCGTCAGCACTTCTGTTTCAAAGGTGGAGCTCCTGGGACTGGCATTTCTGGAGACTTCTTATTTTCTGTGTCTCTGGGGTGAAGGCGGACTGCGGCAGTGCACCAGTGGGGAAAGCCAGCACCACGTGGCGAGGAAGACACTTCCTAGGGAGGACAAATTTGGGAGCACAGCCTATGATCTGAAGTCCACGGGGAGCCCATCACGGCCTCACTCTAGGGACTTGTCTGGAAAGGAACTAATTACCTTGGAAAGGATTGGGTCAGAGGTCAAGTGTTCAGAAGGAGGTTTGTGGGTCCGGTGGATGCGGAAGGAAGGGGTTGACAGGGCGTAGCTGCTGTGAGGGTTCTGCCTGGAATGGCCAATTTACCTTGTTTGCCTGAAACATGGACAGGGTTTAAAAGCCAGAAGTTCTGCATCTCAGGAACCACCTCAGTCCTGGGCAGACAGGGATGAGTCACCTTCGTGCCTCCTGCCCAGGCCCGGGGAAGCCTGTGTGCTGTGTCCCACCTGCTGGGGAAGCCTCGGGGATGGGAGGGGAAGCCTGTGTGCTGTGTCCCACCTGCTGGGGAAGCCTCGGGGATGGGAGGGGAAGCCTGTGTGCTGTGTCCCACCTGCTGGGGAAGCCTCAGGGATGGGAGGGGGCCTGTGTGCTGTGTCCCACCTGCTGGGAAAGCCTCAGGGATGGCAGGGGAAGCCTGTGTGCTGTGTCCCACCTGCTGGGGAAGCCTCGGGGATGGCAGGGGAAGCCTGTGTGCTGTGTCCCACCTGCTGGGGAAGCCTCAGGGATGGGAGGGGTCCTGTGTGCTGTGCCCCACCTGCTGGGGAAGCATCGGTGATGGGAGGGGGCCTGTGGTGGTTGGTGTTCATGTTTCAGCCTGACTGAGTTTCAGGGTGCCAGGTATGTGGTGAGACAGTGTTCTAGGTGTGTCTGAGGGTGTTTCTGGGTGAGATGCACATTTGAACAGGTTACTGAGTAAAACAGAGGCCCTCTGGGATGGGGGAGGGCCTTGTCCAATCAGCAGAAAGCCTGAGGATAACAGACCAGCTCCTCGACGACCTGGGGGGCTCCTCCTGCCTGACTGCCTGATGGAGACACTGGTCTCTTCCTGCCTTCGGACTAGCACAGAAGTGTGAGCTCCTCTTAGGTCTCACGTCTGCTGGCTTTCAGACCAGAACACATCATCTACTCTCCTGGGTCTCCAGCTTGCTGAGTGTAGAGCTTGGGACTGCGCAGCCCCATAACTGTGTGTGCCAATTCCTTATAGTAAATCTTTTATGTCTCTACCCATCTCCTGCTGTTTATTTTCCTCTTCAGAATCCTGGTTAATACAGGGGCCAACACCTGTGGCCAGCATGGGCCATGTATGGAGACTCTGCTGGGACAGATACTCCCATCTCATGAGTCCATTAAATGTAATCAGAATTAGTATATATTTCCAATTTCAGATGCATTTGATGGTAAAATTCATAAAAAAAAAAAGACATGTTGAAAGTGGTTGTAATATTTTTTTAGAAACAGGTGGTTTGGGAGCCCAGCTTCAGTTGCTGTGCATTGCTGACCTGCAGCTGCCAATCCTATAAATCCATGGGGAGCCCTGAATTTGGACAGATACACAGTGTGCCCATGGGGTCCCTTCAAAAGGCCACCAATCAAGCATTGCTACTGCACGTTTGTGGATGCTGCCAAGCTGGTGGTGGGGGCTGCAGGTGGTGTGTGGCCCCATTCTTGGTTGAAGGGCCAGTGACACGAATTGGTGGCCTTTATGAGTGCTCAGCATGCCATGGGCACCACCTAATTCTCCAGATGCATTCACTCACTCAACCCCCAGAGGAAGCTACCCCAGAAAGGTTGGGCAAACGCCCAAAGCCACAGTCTGGAGAGGATACAGCAGAGCCCGCCTTGTGACCACCATGTCACACTCCTTTCACAAGTGGCAAGGGTAATAACAACAGATGCAAGAGACCAGACACAGCACCCCCTACTCCAACACAAACTGCAATAAAATTGACAGCAGTCACTTTCCTCTCGACTTGGCCTTTCTCAGTGCCAAGTAGGATTTGTAAATTCTGCTGCATTGCTATGCTCCTGTTGTTCCTGCTTAGAGATTGCCTGTAGAACACACTAAATGACAATTAGAAGAAGCAAAACTCACTCCATTTAAACTTCACAAGGACCTGCTGTGAGGTGGCGTCAATGATCCAAATATTTCAACAATGTCTTTGGCTTAAAGAACTTGGATAGGGGTCTGCACCTGCCATATGTCTGGCTCTCATCCATTCAAAGCCGTCTGCTGTCCTCTCCCATTTGCTTTTTTGTGTCTTGATTTCTTCACTGCAAACAACACAGGTCTAGAGCCCTTCCACCTCCTTCCAGGGTTTGTGGTTTGCTGGGCAATAAATGTCCACCCTTCAATTCCATGCTGCTTTCCTCTGTCCATACCCTATTGAAACCTGTCTCAAGCTCCTGGGCTCAAGGCATCCTCCCACTTTAGCTTCCCAAGGCACTGGGGATTACAGATATGAACCATCCCACCTGGCAGAGTGATCTTTAAATCTCATTCTTTCTTATGTTATTGGAACCTCTGGAGTTAACTCCTGGCCCGAAGACCAAGCTCCATCACCTTGAGCTTGCAGTAAACAAGGTCTTAGAAGGCTCTAACTCTGCAGTGCTCCCCAGGAGGCAGAGATGGGGTGGTGGATGAGAAAGGAGAAAAGAGACAAGTTTTTCATAGCTTTATAATCTGTACCCAGAAAGAAACTTGGTTGATTCGTTTGCCTGAAGGCGTAGGTCTTGGCAGGCAGAGCAGACAATTGGGGTAGTTATAACTGTTCAAGGGACTGCAAGGAAAAGCAAAACCGACTTTTGTTTTTTGGCTGGGAGGGGCGCACAAATCATCGAGTTAACAGCATCACAGGGCACAAGAACATGGCCCCGGATAACTCAAATGTGGCCCCAAATGTGGCTCACTCTGTTAGATGCTCTTTGGAAAGTCCAGGGAGCATGGGCCTAAAGTGAGATTTTTATATTGATCATCATCTTTGACCAAAAAAAATATATATAGTTTTTATATTTTTTAAAGGCTCCAAGGGTAAGGAGAAGGCTCTATTATGTGTTAAATTCTTGTTATGTGCCAGCTGGTCTTGTGTCCTGTGCTGTGCATGGTGGGTCTCATTTTAATCCTCTTGTTGACAATACAAGGGAGTCCTATTCTCTCTGACTCACCCCTGATCTGACTCACCCCTGAGGAGTTGAGGCCCAGAGACCAAGAGACCGGTCTAAAGTCCCACAGGCTTTGTGTTGCACAGCTGGGATTTAAATCAAGATCTGTTTGGCTCCAAAAATGATTAATCTTAGCGCTTCCATGAATATTCATTTGATAAGGAAGTTTTAATGGCTTTAGTAAAAAAATGAACACAAAATAACTTAACAATCTTAAACCTCTGTATCTGACCAAATCAGGATGGTTTTAAATCTTTCTGTTCTCTAAATTTCATTTAGAGAAAAATCTCTCTGAAATTTAGAGAACAGCAAGACCTGTAGACACCACTTGTGGTTTAGGAAGGGAGTTAATGCTACAGAAAGCCTTTGAGCAGCAGGGCTGCAGGCGTCCTGGGGCCCATGGGCTGTGTTTTTGGGGTTCCGTGGATCTTGCTGAAGATAAGTTAGCAACACTGTGCCGCTTTCCTCTGCGCTGCTGGGTGTTTTCTCGGATTGCTCTTCTGGAGAAGAGCTGGGGAAGGAGGACTGAGTGGCTGAGTACTGTTTACCAGGGGCTTTCAGGCTTTTCTAGAGGGCAGTCCTGTAATCCAGGCTTTAGAGAGAGCCAGTGTAGGACTGTGCTCCTGAGCTCTGGGTTCTGGTGGTGGGAGCTGTCACGCGGCTGGGGCTGATCTGCACGTGTCGGGGTGAGGTTCTGGGACCAGCTCTGAGTGAATCAGGAGCTCCTCTCCGCGTCCCAGCTTCTGTGCTGCCTTTTTTCTTTGTTTTCACTAGATGCATTTAAGATTTTTATGTCACTCGTTGCATAAGTTGTACGGCCCAATACACTTATGTCTGTGTGTCTGTATGTGTGGATATGTATGAATAGTACAAAGGCTCCCTCCCCATGCTTTATCCAACGGTCCCATCGCCACCTTCAGAAGTCCGGTCTCCTTCTGGAATTTCTTTATGCATACACCAGCAAACATGAATATCCATGTCTTCTCTCAGTCGTTAGGGTTTCTGGGAAGCAATTGCTGAGATGATGGGATTAGCAATGCCTGTCAAGGATGAAGAGGAGCCTGCAGACTGGAGGCAGGCATGACTCCTGGGCACACAAGGAGGAAGAGGATTGAGTAGGGCGGGTCTCAGACTGCAGCACAGTTCTGAGAACATTTCATCTGGCCATGGGGAGGCTTCAAGCCAAAGCTGCCCATGAATATTGGTGGGGGAGGGATTTGGAAAACTGGGCTGTCAACTCTTTTCTAATGGCAGGAAAGCTGAGTGGCTCACGTCCACGGCCAGCATGCCTCCGCTTCCTGTGTATTCAAAGAGAGTATATTGTATATCATGTCTGTACCTTGCTCTTATCTTGGAGGCTTTCCAAAAAGTAGATGGATCACTTCCTCCTCCCTCTTCTTTCTTTCCTTCTTCCACTGCATGGTATTCCATTGTATGGATGTATCCCAAGTTATTTAATCTATTCTGTATTGATAGTTATTTGGTTTCCAATATTTTGCTGTGTAAATAATGCTATAATGCATAATCATCTACGTATATAGTTTTGTGTGAACCTACATGAGGAGGATAATTTTACAAAAATGGAATTGTTGAGGGCAAATGTGTATGCATGGGTGGTTGTGATAGATGTTGTCAGGCTGCCTTCCATAGGGGCTATCCTGGTTGACATCCTCACCAGCAATGCCTGAGTGCCTGCCCCTTCCCTAGCCTCTTCAGTGCAAAGTGCTGTCAGGCTTTTGGATTATTGCCAATACACATCTGGGGACTGTTTCAGCATCTTACTTTGGTCTATATTCTTGCTGTGGAGTCTGTGAGCCCTCCTTTTGGTGGCTTTGACATTCCAGTTGGGGCAATCACACTGCCATTCCTGCAGGCTCACAGCATTTTGGCCCTTCGGGTCTTGGCCTCTTACTTGTTTCAGTGCCCAGGAACACATCTGACCCATCCCACCTCAACATTTGACAGAGGGAGGGAGTGGCATTTTCTCTTTGTGCATGACCTGTCTTTATTACTGATTAGTGCTTCTATTTCTTGGTCCTGAATTCAAACAGAGAAGAAAAAGACTGGAAAAACTAAGCAGCAAAATAAGCTAAAGATGATCTAATAAAGAAGAGATAAAAAATGGGAAACAGGATGCAGTAGTCAAGTACAAACAAACACACAGGGCCAGGCAGGGTTTTGCATAATTTAAAAGGGCCAGTGGTGGCCTGTGTCCTGAGAGGACCAGAGTCTGGGGTCAATTCAGGGGCCCTTCACCATCATGCAGGGTCGTGCTGGGGGCTAGGGAATGGATGACTCCCTCTCGCTGATGGTTCAGAGCCCCTGTGGCAGCTTTTAAGGATGTTGCATATTCCTCTGGTGGCAAGTCAGAATGAAGGTGGTCTGAATGTTGAAAGCCACCCTCTGAAAGGGGAAGAGTTATTGTGACTTTTGCTAGAGATTACTGGCTTTGACTCAAACTTAGAAAACAGAGGATGAAGTATGGTGGGGGGCGGGTGGGAAGATGTGAGCCCTCAATAAGCCTGTAGGACTGGCTGCCCCTTTCCCTTGAGGGCCTACCCGTCCCTCCCCACCGGCACCCATCCCTGTTCAGCACAGGCCTCTGGGCAGGGTCTGGTGGTGGTTGGAGCATGGGTGGCGGATGAGCCCAGCTCACCTTGGCTCATGTGCCTTCCTTTTCTGCCAGGGCACCCCTTCACTCCTAGATGCTTGGCTTGAACAGCGTAGAACAATTTGAAGGACTTGTAATAAAAGTGACAATAAATGAACTTTTTTTTTTCTTCAGACAGGGTCAGAATAATATTTGGCCAAATGTCTTGACACCCCATGGTTCAGTCAAGTTGAGATAAAATTAACCATGACAATAAAGAAAAAAAGAGAGCTATTAACCTTATTTTGAAAGAGAGATACAGAAATAGAGATGGAGATAGACATAATCTGTTACACACACACACACACACACACACACACACACACACACACACCACACACACACATCTGTTGCCCAGGCTGGAATACAGTGGTGTGGTCATGGCTCACTGCAGCCTCAACCTCCCGGGCTCAAGTGATTGTCTCGCCTCAGCTTCCCAGTGTGCTGGGATTACAGGCGTGAGTCACTATGCCTTGCCCCAAATGAACAATTTGCAAAGATTCTTGTGCTTGTTTTGGTGCCTTTTCATAACAGATCTCAATCTTCAGTTCATGTGCAGTGAACTATTTTCTCCTTCAGGAGCCCCCACTGAATATCCTCTTTTTAGACATGCATACGATTGATTGCTGTGAAATTCTTTGTGATGGCTTCCACCCAATTTCTTATTTGGTTGAATTCTGAACGACATCCGGAAGTTTATATGTCTGCATGATTCACAAGTAGTCCTGAATCAAGCATTTGTCTTGTTATCCACTGTGGCGTGGGGTGGCGAGATGGCTAATATGGAAGAGTATGAGTATTGATAGTGAAAGTCAGAGAGTAATTTTTTACCACTGTGCCTTTTGGTTTTTTAGACTCATCTGAAGTGCAGATCTTCTGCTTTGAAGCTGGTTGATGTGCTTGCTTTGAGTGCTTATGAGTATTCATACAAGCTGTGAAGTAGAAGGGTCTTGAAGGTGCCCAAGCTCATCAGGTTGTGCTGCTAAGAATTCTTTCACTAAGGGATTTATTTTTTGCTTGTCTTACCCTCCACATGAAAAAAAGTCTTTATATTAATCACCAAGCTTTCACTTCCCTCTTGAGGTAATGGAGATCTCAGCCGGCCCAGCTGTCGCCTGTGCCTGCCCAGTCACTGTTAGTTACTTTGGGGTTTGTGTTGCTTGCTGGCTAGAGGGAAGCTCGACTGAAATCAATAACAAAAGAGAAGATTTTGAAGTTGTAGACAGCACTCAATGGATATGGATTTTTCTCAAATTATATAGTACAATGCAGAGGGTGAAGATGAATCACTGACGTGGAGAGGCTGAGTCTGCAGATATTCAGCTCTGTGATTGCATTTAACTGTATTGCACAGGAGTGATACTCTGTTATGGAAAGGAGCTGAATCTGTTCTAAGAATAGATTTGAGGTTGTTCACCAGAGGGATGGCCTAAGCAATATTACATTGGATCCCAACACCTCTTCATGAGGAGGCACTGGCTTCTGGAAGTTTATATTTGAGTGATAATAAATCTCTGTGTCTCACCTCTGCTCACTCATCTTTCTCCTTAAAAAGATTCTGATATTTCCTGGAAATTTTTCAATAGTTTTGGAAGAGAAATGAGAAATAGAAGCATGTGTGTTTGTGTGTGTGTGTGTGTGTGTGTGCGTGCATGTGTGTGTGAGAGAGAGAGAGGATGTATCAATATCAAACTAAAGTTTGATTAGTGACAGGTGACCTTTTGTTCTTTAATTTTCTTTTCTATTTCTTCCCACAACATAGCTGTGAGACAGGCGATCTTTTGGGTATTACTAGAGAGTCTCATATCCAATTTATCCCAAACATATGAGAGCTTTTCGTGGAAGTTAATTTTTGCTTTGGTCTAAGAGAAGTAATCATTGAAATCCAGAAGCAGCATCAAAGAGGTAGACCTCCCTAACTATGGTTGTCTTCACGTACATGTAAATAAATGAAGATAACAACACTCAGTGCATAGATTTTACAGGCTGTGGTCTGGATTCTATGCGATAACGTATGTAAATTACCAGCCCAGATCCTGGAACACAGTGTGGGTTCAATAAAGGAAATTATTCTTCAATTAGTTTTCATTGCCTAAAGTATAAAATTCTATTAAAATAAAACTTGGCACTTACAGCTCTGTACAATCTGTTTCCATGCTGTTTTCTCACTGTATTTTCTAGCATTCTCCTGTGTAGAACACGCATTCCAGCTGGCCCAGGCCTCTTATTGTCTCTAAGATGCCTTGCTCATTTTTGCCTGTCACATTTTTTAGTACTGCTCTCCCTCTGAACTTTTCGAATCTTTCCTCTGTCTAAATCATATATTTGTTTAAGCCCAAACAAGATCAAATGTTTTGAAGGTCTCTGGCTCCATATCAACCCACGCGACCTGTCTGTGCCATCACAACACCACAGCGTGTTTTGTTCTTGGCTTGCGTGTGGCAGGCGACACTCTCTGCTCTTGGGAAAAGTCTGCTTTAAGTGTAGATGTCTTGTCTCCTGAGCAGCCGGGCAGTGCCCTGAAAGGTTGGCAAATTTGACACCCTCTTCTTTGTATCTTCCCGGGTAACTGAGGTGCACGGTAATAATTTATGGATGCCTTGGGATGTGACAATCAGCAACTTGAACAACCCAGGGTAATCTGAATGATTCACAGCCTGTGCTTCTAAACAAATATGTTTGGGGGAGATATAAAGCATACAAGAAACAGAGTTAGTGGTTTAATTTCATCATATATCAGAGCTTACATTTCAGTGGATAATACTTGAGTTAAAATTTTATGGGAAAATAAGTGTTTCTTCTAGAGATCAAAATGTTGCCTTCCTCTTCTTTCAAAGTAGTACCAGAAAAATGGACAGCCTTCACTCTCCTCCTAGACAGGGGGAAGTGTCAAGTTCTGCAGAGTCCCTGAAAACAGCTTTATTTACAAGAGCAGTACTTGCAGGGTCAGAAGTCTCCAGGTGGTGAGGGCAGGAAATGATGGGACCTTCGTGCAAGAGAGTCAGGAGAGGTTTTTATTCAGCAGGAAGGGGCAGGCAAGGACCCTCTGCCTGTAGAAAGCAGCTGAAATCAGACCTCTTAGTTTCTGAATGTCGAAAAAGAAAAAAAAGCTCAACTTTTGAGAATATTTACTCTCAGGAAGGGGAGTGGATACAGTCTACCTCCAGGAAGGGTGGGGAGGTGACGTCAGACCTGGTTTTGGCCCGGAGCTCCAGGGGTGGTTAGCACCCTGGGAAGGCTGCATGTGGGACTGAAAGTGCAGGGGACTAGGAGCTGAAATACCACTGGCACTAGCAAATTCTGTGAGAAGGTGGAGGAGCCATCCGCAACAGCAACACCATGAGGCAGCGAGAAGCAAGGACAGTAGTAGATCAGATACCAGACTGGTCTTGCTCAGATTTGGACTCCATAAGTCTCTAGGTTTTAGAAGATTCAGGGGGACAGAGGCAGCCCAGAGGAAGATACTGGCTCTTTTTTTCTCACATATTAGATTGGTATTTGAATATTTAATTCGAATATTAAGAGATATGACTATTTTACCACTACTTTGTGGAGCAACTCATATTGGTTACATAAGGTCTATGTCAAAATGTGAAATCTATGAGGCACACAGGATAAAAAGCACGATGTTGTTCTAATAAATAAGAGTTAGTATATATCATGATTAAAAAGTATAAGGCCAAGATTCTCAATGTAAAGGGATGAAAATTTTTACTAATGTCAGATTTCTGGGGTTCCATTTGGTGCAAATCAAAAAAGTAGCACAGGGAGTTAAGAAAGGTGATGTGACACCTAGAAGCAGCCATTCCCTCCCTGACCCTGGCACAAAGCTTTCTCAACCAGGAAAAATATAAGAGAATTGGCTGAAAAGTGTGAGAGGTAACTATTCTGTGCTTTGGGTAAAAGTTGGAGAAAGAATATAGAAGTACAATGATTAAGCAAATAGTTTTCTTTTAAGATTGGAACCTAATGTGAACAATGACAGTTCAGAGAAAGGAAAATTGAAGAAAAGAAGATAAAAAACAGTTAGAAATAAAATAAGCATCTATGATTTATTTACATTTAAATAAATATAAATTATTCAAAATCCAGGTAGCAATTTTTATTAAATATAGGTATCTAATATTACTTTAGACCTTGTAGCTATGAAATGTGTTATCACTAAATATCTGGAGCAAGGAACACACTCTCTGCCTTTAAGACCTAAAAACATGACTGATTTATGACTCAGTGGCCTTGAACAAATAATCAATGATGTTTACAAAGATGCATATACAATGATATTCACTGACCTGTTATATCAAGTAGTGAAAAACTAAAAACAACATAATAAACTGGTGATTAAAGATTAGTTAAATATACTCCGCAAGTCCATACAATAGAATGCTACATGACAATTAAAATCACAGCTCAACATACCTTGAAATAATAAAGGCAGAGACAGAACAGAATGCCAGAATAGAAGGCTCCACTGATTGTCCCCCTGCAAGGACACCAATTCAACAACTATCTACATAGGAAAAACACCTTCATAAGAGCCAAAAATCAGGCGAGCCCTCATGGTACCTGGTTTTAACTTCATATTGCTGAAAGAAGCACTGAAGTGGTAGAGAAAACAGTCTCAAATTGCAGACACCACCCCCCCAAACCCCCCAGTGGTAGCGTGGTGTGGAGAGCATCTCTGGATGCTGGGGGAGGGAGAGCACAGCAATTGTGAAACATTGAACTCAGTGGTGTCTTATTAGAATAGAAAAGATAACCAGACTACACTCGGCTGACACCCAGCCACGGAGCAAGTCTTTAGACCAGCCCTAGCCAGGGGGAATCGCTGACCCCAATGGTCGGAACTTGAGTTCCCGCAAACCTTGCCACAGAAAGCTACAGTGCTGTCAGTCTCTAAGTAAACTTGAAAAGGCAGTCTAGACCACAAGGACTGTAACTCTTAGGCGAGTCCTAACGCTGAACTAGGCCCAGAGACAGCGGACTTGGGGGGCGCACAACCTACTGAGATACCAGCTGGGGTGGCTAAGGGAGTGCTGGCATCACCTCTCCTCTAACTCTAAGCTGCACAGCTCATGGCTCCAAAAGACACCCCTTCCTTCTGCTTGAGGAGAGGAGAAGAGAAGGAAGAGTAGGGAGGACTTTGTCTTGCATCTTGGATATCAGCTCAACCACAGCAAGATAGGGCACTGGTCAGAGTTGTGAGGCTTCCATTCCAGGCCCTAAATCCTGGACAACATTTCTAGACACACCCTGGGCCAGAAGGGAACTTGCTGCCTTGAAGGGAAGGAACCAGTTCTGGCAGCATTCATCACCTGCTACCTGAAGAGCCTTTAGGCCCTGAGCAACAACCAGCAATACCCAGGTACTACGCTGAAGGCCTTGGGTGAGCCTGAGACTTGCTGGCTTCAGGTGAGACCCAGCACATTCCCAGCTGTGGTAGCTATGGGGTGAGATTCCTTCTGCTTGAGAAAAGCTGAGGGAAAAGTACAGGGGACTTTGTCTTGCACCTTAGGTACCAGCATAGCCACTGTGGAATAGAGTACCAAGCAGGCTCTTGGGGTCCCCGATTCTAGGGATTGACAAATGGACAGCATTTCTGGACCAGCCCTGGGCCAGAGGTGAGCCCACTGCCCTGAAGGGTGATTCCCAGAGCAGGCAGCATTCACCACAACCTGACTGAAGAGCGCTTGCAAACAAGGAAACATCGGTGGTAGGCTGGCAGTGTTCCCTGTGGCCTTTGGTGATGTTGGTTACAGGGTAAGGCTCCTCTGCCTTTCGGAAAGAGACGGGTGAGTGGGAAAGACTGTGTCTTGTGGTTTGAGTGTCAGCTCAGCCACAGACAATAGAACACTAGGTAGACTTCTAAGGTTTGTCACTCTAGTCCCTGACACCTGGATAGCACCTCTGAACCTAACCAGGACCTGGGGGAACTTCCTGCCCTGAAAGGAAAGACACAGGCCTGGCTGGCTTTTCCACCTGCGGATTGTAGAGCCCCAGGGCCTTGAGTGAACACAGGCGGTAGCCAGGGAGTGGTTACAGCAGGCCTGGGGTGAGACTGAGTGCTGTGCTGGCTTTGGGTCTGACCCAGCCCAGTCACAGTGGTAGTGACGAGGTGCTTGCGTCACTCCACCCCCAGATTTAGGTGGCTCAGAAGAGAGAGAGAGACTCTGTATGTTTGGGAGAAAGTAAGGGACGAGAACAAGAGTCTCTACTTGGTAATCCAGATAATTCTCCTGGATCTTGTCCAAGGCCATCAAGGTGGTACCTCTATGAGTCTGCAAGAACCACAGTGTTACTGGGCTTGGAGTGCCCCCTAAAGCAGGTAAGGCTTAGATCACAACTCCCAAGTTCTTTTAAATATCTGGAAAGCCTTCCCAAGGACTGGTACAAACAAGCCCAGCCAGTGAAGACTACAGTAAATACCTGACTCTTCAGTACTAGACACTGATGAACATCAACTAGCATTGCCATCATCCAGGAAAATATGACCTTGCCAAATAACTAAATAAGGCACCAATTCTGGAGAAAAAGAGATATATGACCTTTCAGACAGAGAATTCAAAACACCTGTATTGAAGAAACTCAAAGAAATTCAAGACAACAGAGAAGGAATTCAGAATCCTATCAGATAAATTTAATAAAGAGATTGAAATAAAAAGAATCACGCAGAAATTCTGGAGCTGAAAAAATGCAAGTGGCATACTGATGAAGGCGTCAGAGTCTTTTAATAGCAGAATTGATGAAGCAGAAGAAAGAATTAATGAGCATGAATACAGCCTATTTGAAAATACACAGTCAGAAGAGACAAAAGAAAAAAGAATAAAAAAAATGAAGCATGCCTATAGGATGTAGAAAATAGCCTCAAAAGAGCAAATCTAAGAGTTATTGGTCTTAAAGAGGAGATAGAGAAAGAGATAAGGGTAGAAAATTTATTTGAAGGGATAATAACAGAGAACTCCCCAAACCTAGAGAAAGATACCAATATGGAAGTAAAAGGTTATAGAACATCAAGCATATTTAACCCAAATAAGACTACCTCAAGGCATTTAATAATCATACTCTCATAGATCAAGGATAAAGAGAGGATCCTAAAAGCAGCAAGAGAAAAGAAACAACAGTGGAGTTTCAATACACCTGGCTCAAACTTTTCAGCAGAAATTTTACAGGCCAGGAGAGAGTGGCATGGTATATTTAAAGTGCTGAAGGGAAAAACTTTTACCTGAGAATAGTATATCCAGTGAATATACCCTTCAAACATGAAGAAGAAATAACAACCTTCCCAGACAAACAAAAGCTAAGAGAGTTCATCAACACTAGAACTGTTCTACAAGAAATGCTAAAGGGAGTACTTCAATCAGAAAGAAAAGGATGTTAATGAGCAATAAGTAATCACCTGAAGGTACAAAACTCACTAATAACATTAAGTACACAGAAAAGCACAGAATATCATAACACTGTAACTGTGCTGTATGAACTACTCTTATCCTAAGTACAGAGACTAAGCAATCAATAAAATATAATAACTACAACAAATTTTCAAGATATGGACAGTACAAAAATATGTATAGAAACAACAGAAAGTTAAAAAGTGGGGGATGAAGTTAAGGTGTCGAGTTTTTGTTAGTTTTTGTTTTGCTTGTTTGTTTATGCAAACAATGTTAAGTTGTTATCAGATTAAAATAATGGGTTATAAGATAGTATTTGCAAGCCTCTTGGTAACCTCAAACCAAAAAACATACAATGGATACACAAAAAACCAAAAGCAGGGAACTAAATCATATCAGCAGAAAATCATCACTTTTACTAAAAGAAGACAAGAAGGAAAAAAAGAAGGAAGAGAACACCAGAAAGCAAATAACAAAATGGCAGGAGTAAGTCCTTACTTATCAATAATAATATTGAATGTAAATGGACTAAACTCTCCAATTAGAAGACACAGAATGGCTGAATGGATGAAAAACATGACCCATTGATCTGCTGCCTACAAGAAACACACTTCACCTATAAAGACACACATGGACTGAAAATAAAGGGAGGGAAAAAGATATTCCATGCCAATGGAAACCAAAAAAGAGCGGGAATAACTATACTTACATCAGACAAAATAAATTTCAAGACAAAACTGTAAGAGACAAAGAAGGTCACTACATAATGACAAAGGTGTCAATTTAGCAAGAGGATATAACAATTTTAAATATATGCACCTGAGACTGTAGCACCTAGCTATATAAAGCAAATTTATTAGCACTAAAGAGAGAGACAGGCCCCAATACAATAATAGCTGGAGACTTCAACACACCACTTTCAGCACTGGACAGATCTTCAAGGCAGAAAATCAACAAAGAAACATCAGATTTAACCTGCAGTATATACCAAATGAACCTAATAGATATTTACAAAACATTTCATCCAATAGCTACAGAATATACATTCGTTTTCTCAGCACATGGATCATTCTCAAGGACAGACCATATGTTAGGTCACAAAACAAGTCTTAAAACATTCAAAAAAATTGAAATAATGTCAAGTATCTTCTCTGACCACAATGGAATAAAACTAGAAGTTAATAACAGGAGGAATTATGGAAACTATACAAATACATTGAAATTAAACAATATGCTCCTGAATGACCAGTGAATGAAGAAATTAAATAAATTGAAAAATTTTATTGAAACAAATGATAATGCAAATACAACATACCCAAACCTATGGGGTACAGCAAAAGCACTACTAAGAGGGAAATTTATAGCTATAAGTGCCTACATCAAAAAAGAGGGAATGTTCCAAATAAACAATTTAATGATGCATCTCAAAAAAACTAGAAAAGCAAGAGCAAACCAAACCAAAAAGTAGTAAGAGAAAAGAAATAATAAAGATTAGAGCAGAAATAAATGAAATTGAAATGAAGAAAACAATACAAAGGATCAAAGAAAGAAATAGTTGATTTTTTGAAAAGTTAAACAAAACTGACAAATCTTTAGCCAGACTAAGAAAAAAAGAGAGAAGATATAAATAAATAAAATAGGAAATGAAAAAAGAGACGTTACAACTGATGCACAAAAAATCATTAGTGGCTACTATGAGTAACTATATGCCTGTAAATTGGAACATCTAGAAGAAATTGACAAATTCCCAGATACATATAACCTAACAAGATTGAACCAGGAAGAAATCCAAAACCTGAACAGACCAATAACAAATAGCAAGATTGAAGCCATAATAAAAAGTCTCCCAGTAAAGAAAAGCCTGTGACCTAATGGCTTCACTGCTGAATTCTACTGAACATTTAAAGAAGAACTAGTACCAATCCTACTCAAACTGTTTTGAAAAATAGAGGAGGAAGGAACACTTCCAAACTCATTCTACAATACCAGTATTACCCTGACACCAAAAACAGACAAAGACACATCAAAAAAAGAAAACTATAGGCCAATATCTCTGACGAAGAAATCCATCCCCCCCACCGACTGCCCCACTGCCAAATACTGGCAAACCAAATTCAACAATATATTGGAAAGATCATTCATCATGACCAAGTGGGATTTTTTCCCTAGGATGCAAGGATGGCTTAACATATGCAACCAATGCAAAATACAATGTGATATATCATATCAAGGAATGAAGGACAAAAACCATATGATAATTTCAATGATGCTGAAAAAGCGTTTGGTAAAATCCAACATCTCTTTATAATAAAACCATCAAAAAAACTGGGTAGAGAAGGAACATACCTCAACATAATAAAAGCTATACACAACATACCCACAGCCATGCAATCCCTATCAAAATATTAAGGATGATCTTCACAAAAATAGAAAGAAAATCCTAAAATTTATATGGAACCACAAGAGACTCAGAATAGTCAAAGCTACCCTAAGCAAAAATAACAGAACTGCAGGAATCACATTACCTGACTTCACATTATACTAGAGAGCTGTAGTAACCAAAACAGGCATGGTACTGGTATAAAAACAGACACATAGACCAATGAAACAGAATACAGAACCCAGAAACAGATCCGGACACCTATGGTGAACTCATTTTTGACAAAGGTGCCAAGAACATGCAATGGGGGATAGACAATCTCTTTAATAAACGGTGCTCGTAAAACTGGATATTCATATGCAGAAGAACAAAACTAGACCCCATCTCATGCCATACACAAAAATCAAATAAAAATGGATTAAAGACTTAAATATAAGACCTCAAACTATGAAACTAATACAATAAAACATTGGGGGAAATCTCCAGGACATTGGTCTGGGCAAAAATTTCTTGAGTAATACCCGACAAGCACAGGTACCCAAACAAAAATGGACAAATGGGACCACATCAAGTTAAAAATCTTCTGCACAGCAAAGGAAACAACCCACAAAGTGAAGAGACAGCCCATAGAATGAGAGAAAATATTTGCAAACTACCTATCTGACAAGGGATTAATAACCAGAATATATAAGGAGCTCAAACAACTCTACAGGATAAAGTCTAATAATCTGATTTTTAAAATGGGCAGAAGATTTGAATAGATGTATCTCTAAAGAGGACATACACATGGCAAACAGGCATATGAAAAGGTGCTCAACATCATTGATCATTAGAGTAATGCAATGCAAAACTACAATGAGATATCATCTTACCCCAGTTAAAATGGTTTATATCCAAAAGACAGGCAATAACAAATGCTGGTAAGGATGTGGAGAAAAGGGAACCCTCATACACTGTTGGTGAGAATGAAAATCAGTATGACCATTATGGAGAACAGTTTGGAGATTCCTTGAAAAATTAAAAATAGAGTTACCATATGATCCAGAAATCCTACTGTTGGATATATACCCAAAGGGAAGGAAATCAGCATATTGAAGAGGTATCTCCACTCCTATGTTGTTGCAGCACTGTTTACAATAGCTAAGATTTGGAAGCAACCTAAGTGTTCATCAACAGATGAATGGATAAAGAAAATATGGTACATATACAAAATGGAGTACTTTACAGCCATAAAAATAATGAGATCCTGTCATTTGCAACAACATGGATGGAAGCGAAATAAGCCAGGAACAGAAAGACAAACATCACATGTTCTCACTTATTTATGGGATCTAAAAATCAAAACAATTGAACTCATGGGCATAGAGAGTAGAAAGATGGTTGCCAGAGGCTGGAAAGTTAGTGTATGTGTGGGGTGGTTCTGGAGGGAGGTGGGGATGGTTAATGGTACACAAATAGTTAGAAATAATTAATAATATCTACTATTTGATAGTACAACAGGGTGACTATAGTGAATAATAACTTAATTGTACATTTTTTAAAATAAAAAAATGCAGCCTTAAAGGAAAAATTTAAAAAACAACAAAAAACAGGAGGATGAAAATGCAGTTTTAATATCTCTATTAGAGGTATGTTTAAAGCTGTGCTGTTTCTTAGATCTCTATATGATAACATCCTTAAAAGAGAGTTTAGGTTTTTAAGAATTGTAGATTTTTTTTTTCATTTCCACAGATGTCTGCTTGTATTTTGAGTCACCCTGTTTCTTCTTCCAACGAAATAAACCCACTCAAAATGTTTTAAAAATCATAATAGGCCAGGCACGGTGGCTCATGCCTGTAATCCCAGCAGTCTGGGAGGAAGAGATGGGCAGATCACAAGGTCAGGAGATCAAGACCATCCTGGCTAACATGGTGAAATCCCTTCTCTACTAAAAATACAAAAAAAAAAAACTTAGGCAGGCGAGGTGGTGGGCACCTCTAGTCCCAGCTACTCCGGAGGCTGAGGCAGGAGAATGGCGTGAACCCGGGAGGCAGAGTTTGCAGTGAGCTGAGATAGCACCACTGCACTCCAGCCTGGGTGACAGAGCAAGACCCCGTCTCAAAAAAAAAAAAAAAAAAAGTCATAATAAAGGCCATATGTGGCAAATTCACAGCTAGCATCATACTGAATGGGGAGAAATGGAAAGCCTTTCCTCTAAGATCTAGAACAAGACAACGATGCCCACTTTTACCACTTTCGTTCAATATAATCCTGGAAGTCCTGGCAAGAGCAATTAGACAGGAGAAAAAAAAGGAAAAAAGCTGGAAGTATCATGCTACCTGATTTCAAACTATACTACAAGGCTACAGTAACCAAAACAGGTACAGTAACCAAAACAGTAACCAAAACGGTACCATGGTACTGGTACCAAAACAGACTTATAGACCAATGGAGCAGAACAGAGACCTCAGAAATAACACCACACATCTACAACCATCTGATCTTTGACAAACCCGACAAAAACAAGCAAGGGGAAAGGATCTCCTATCCATTAAATGGTGCTGGGAGAAAAGTGGCTAGCCATATGCAAAAAAACTGAAACCGGGCCCCTTCCTTATACCTTATACAAGACGAATTAAATACTTAAATGTAAAACCCAAAACCTTAAAAACACTAGAAGAAAACCTAGGCAATACCATTCAGGACACAGGCATGGGCAATGACTTCATGACAAAAATGCCAAAAGCAATTGCAACAAAAGCCACAGTTGACAAATGGGATCTAATTACACTAAAGAGCTTCTGCACAGCAAAAGAAACTATCATCAGTGTGAACAGGCAACCTACAGAATAGGATAAATTTTTTGCAATCTATCTATCTGACAAAGATCTAATATCCAGAATTTACAAGGAACTTAAACACATTTACAAGAAAAAAACAACCCCACCAAAAGTGGGCAAAGTATATGAACAGACACTTCTCAAAAGAAGACATTTATGCGGCCAACAAACAAATGAAAAAAAGCTACCATCCTGGCCAACATGGTGAAACCCCGTCTCTACTAAAAATACAAAAATTAGCTGGGCTTCGTGGCGTGTGCCTGTAGTTCCAGCTACTCAGGTGGCTGAGGCAGAAGAATCGCTTGAATCCGGGAGGCAGAGGTTGCACTGAGCCGTGATCGTGCCACTACACTCCAGCTTGGCAACAGAGCGAGACTCCCTCTAAAAAAAAAAAAAGCTCAAGATCACTGATCATCAGAGAAATGCAAATCAAAACCACAACGAGATACCATCTCATGCCAGTCAGAATGGCGATTATTAAAAAGTCAGGAAACAATAGATGCTGGCAAGGCTGTGGAGAAATAGGAACACTTTTACACTGTTGGTGGGAGTGTAAATTAGTTCAACCATTGTGAAAGACAGTATGGTGATTCCTCAAGGATCTAGAACTGGAAATACCATTTGACCCAGCAATCCCATTACTGGGTATATACCCAAAGAAATATAAATTATTCTGGCCAGGTGCGATGGTTCACGCCTGTAATCCCAGCACTTTGGAAGGCCGAGGTGGGTGGATCACGATGCCAAGAGATCGAGACCATCCTGGCCAACATGGTGAAACCCCGTCTCTACTAAAAATACAAAAATTAGCTGGGCATGATGACGCACACCTGTAGTCCCAGCTACTCAGAGAGCTGAGGCAGGAGAATTGCTTGAATCCTTGTCTTGTTCCAGATCTTAGAGGCGGAGGTTGCAGTGAGCTGAGATTGTGCCATTGCACTCCACCCTGGTGACAGAGTAAGACCCCATCTCAAAAAAGAAAAAAGAAAAAAATATATAAATCATTCTACTATAAAGACACATGCACACGTATGTTTATTGCAGCACTATTTACAATAGCAAAGACATGGTACCAACCCAAATGTCCATCAATGATAGACTGGATAAAGAAAATATGGTACACATACATCATGGAATACTATGCAGCCATAAAAAGGAATCAGATCGTGTCCTTTGCAGGGACATGGATAAAGCTGGAAGCCATCATCCTCAGCAAATTAACACAGGAACAGAAAACCAAACACTGCATGTTCTCACTCATAAGTGGGAGTTGAACAATGAGAACACATGGGCACAGAGAGGTGAACAACACACACCAGGGCCTGTTGGGGGGTGGGAGGTGAGGGGAGGGAACTTAGAGGACGGGTCAATAGGTGCAGCAAGCCACCATGGTACATGTATACCTATGTAACAAACCTGCACGTTCTGCACATGTATCCCATTTTTGTTTCTTAGAAGAAATAAAGAAAAAAAAAGAAAAGAAGAAGTCAAATTAGCCTTGTTTGCAGATGACATGATGTTATACTTAGAAAAACTTAGACTCCACCAGAAAACTGTGAGAGCTGACAAACAAATTCAGTAAAGTTGCAGAATACAAAATCAACATACAAAAATTAGTAACACTTATATACAACAACAGTGAACAATCTAAAAAAGAAATGAAAAAGTAATCCCATTTACAATAGCCTCAAATAAAATTAAATACTTTGAAATCAACCAAAGAAGTGAAAGATCTCTATGAAAACTATAAAACACTGATGAAAGAAGTTGAAGAGGACACCATAAAACAGAACAATATTCTATGCTCATGGGTTGGAATAATTAATATTGTTAAAATTTCCATACTACCCAAAGCAATTTACAGATTCAATGCAATTCCAATCAAAATACCAATGACATTCTTTGTAAAGATAGAAAAAAATCTAAAATTTATGTGGAATTGCAAAAGACCCTGAATAGCTAAAGCAGTCTGGAGCAAAAAGAGCAAAGTTGGAGGAATCACAGTACCTGACTTCCAAATTTACTACAAACACGTAGTAACAACATCAGCACGGCATCAGCATAAAAACAGTTACACAGATAAATGGAAGAGAATAAATAACCCAGCTATAAATCCATGCATTTGCAGTCGACTCACCTTCGACAAAGGTGCCAAGAACATACAATGGGGAAAGGACAGTTTTTTCAGTAAATGGTGCTGGGAAAACTGGATATCCATATGCAGAGGAATGAAACTAGGCCTCTATCTCTCACCAGACACAAAAATCAAATCAAGATGGATTAAAGACTTAAATCTAAGACCCGAAACTATGAAACTACTTGAAGAAAACATTGTGGAAATGCTTCAAGACACTGGTCTCTGCAAAGATTTTTGGAGTAAGATCTCAAAAGCATAAGCAACAAAAGCAAAATCAGGCAGGTGGAACCATACCAAGATAGAAAGCTTCTGCACAGCAAGGAAAACAATCAACAAAGTGAAGAGACAACTCACAGAATGGGAGAAAATATTTGCAAACTCTCCATCCAGCAAGAGATTAATAACCAGATTACATAAGGAGCTCAAACAACTTAGCAGCAAAAGAAAACCAACAAATAATCCAATTTAAAAATGGGCAAAATATCTGCACAGACTTTGCTCAAAATAAGACATACAAATGGCCAAACAGGTATATGAAAAATTTCAAAGCATCACTAATCATCAGAGAAATGAAAATCAAAGCTACAATGAGATATAATCTCACCCCAGTTAAAATGGCTTATATCCAAAAACGGGCGATATCGGATGCTGGTGAGGATGTGGAGAAAGAGGAACCCCCGTACACTGTTGGTGGGAAGGTCAACTACTATAGCCACTGTGGAGAACAGTTTGGAGGTGACTCAAAACACTAAAAATAGAGCTGCCATATGATCCAGCAATCCCACTACTGGGTATATATTGAAAAGAAAAGAGATCAGCACATCAAAGAGATATCTGTACTACCATGTTTATTGCAGCATTATTCACGAAAGCCAAAATATGGACTCGACCTAAGTGTCCATCAGTGAATGAATGAATAAAATGTGGTATATAAACATAATGAAATATTATTCAACCATAAAGAATGAAATCTTGTCATTTGCAGAAACATGAGTGGAACTGGAGGCCATTATGTTAAGTGAAATAAAGCAAGCACAGAAAGACAAATGTCCCTTGTTCTCACTCACATGTGGGAGCTAAAAAAGTAAATCTCATGAAGACAGATAGTGGTGGTTACAAGAGCCCAGGAAGGGTAGAGGGGAGAGGGAGATGAAGAGAAATTGACTAATGGGTACAAATACATGGTTTGATAGAAGAAATAAGAGCTAGTGTTTAATAAATCAGTAGGGTGACTATAGTTTACAATAATCTATTGTACATTCCAAAATGGCTAGAAGAGAAGAATTTCAATGGTTCTAGCATAAAGAAGAGACTTTAGGGTGATAGATATCCTAAGTACACTGTTTTGGTCTTTACAAATTATATGAATGTATCAAATTATCACATGTACCCTGAAACTACATACAGCTATTAAAACTACATACATATACCAGTTTATAAAATTGCAGTTCAACGGTGCAGGAGCTTCTTGTGTGTGTGTGTGTGTGTGTGTGTGTGTGTGTGTGTATTTCAAGCAAAGGCATAGAAAAATCCATGACATCAAATTTTAATGGTGGTTATCACTGGGTGGTAGAGCTATGAGCTATTTTTTAAATAAACGTTTTATTTTAGAACAGTTTTAAATTTATGGAAAAGTTGCAAAGATAGTAGAGTCCCCACAAACCTCACACCCAGTTTAGCATCTTACATCATGTTAACATCTTACCTGAGTATGGTGCATTTATCGCAACTAGTGGACCAATATTGACACACTGTTATTAACTAAAGTCCATGCTTTATTCAAATGTCCTTAATTTTAACCTAATGTCCTTTTGTGTCTCTGGGTCTCATCCAGGACATGGTATTATTACCTTTAGCCATCATGTCTCCTTAGGCTTCTCTTGGTTGTGACATTTTCTCAGACTTCCCTTGCTTTTGATGACCTTGAAATTTTTAAGGAGTACTGCTCAAACATTTTGTAGAATTGCCACAATTGTGTGACATTTTTCTCATGATTAGACTGGGGTTATGGACCTTGCGGGAGGAAGACCACAAGATGTAAACTATCATTCTCATTACATCACATCAAGGGACACGCTATCAAGGTGACTCATGACTGGTGCTAACCATGGTCACCTGGCTGAGTTCATGCTTGCCGGGTTTCCCCACTGCAGTTAGTGTTTCCTGCACACTGTTTCCATAATGGATTCTTTGGAAGGAAGTCAGAATGCATAGCCCTCACATACAGAGCAGAGAGTTCTGCCCCACCTCCTTGAGGGTGGAGTGTCTACATAATCCATTTGGAGTTCTTCTGCATGGGAGATTAGCCTATCCTTCCCTATTTATTTATTTATTCAATCCTATGTTTCTATCAGTATGAATGCATGGACAACTATTTTATACTTTAGATTATAATCCAATGCTATTTGATTTGTTTTATTGCTTAAATTGTTCCAACTTTGGCCACTGGGAGCTCTCTCAGTTGGCACCTGTGTCCTGTGCCAGACCTGCATCGCTGTGGCTTTCTGGAACACTTATTTACTCTCTGGCACTGCAAGATGTTCCAGGCTCAACTTGTTATTTCCTGACATAGTCATAGAATAAGCCACTTCCCCCAGGGATCCCTGATTTCTTCCAGTGCAGAATGGTATTAGAAACCAAGATCAGAGTGCTCAATGTACTTGTTGCTACTGGGGTGCCATTTAAATTTTAATAAAGTCTATTATTTATTTTTTCTTTCATGGATGATGCTTTTCATGTTATATCTAAAAACACCAAATCCAGTGTCATGGAGATTTTCTTCTATGTTTTCTTTTAGAAGTTGTAAGTTTTGTAATTTTCATTTAGGTCTATGATCATTTGGCGTTAAGTTTTTTCTGTAAGGAATAAGATCTATGTTTAAAATAATTTTTTCCTCATATGAACGTCCAATTGTTCCAGCACTGTTTGTTGAAAAGTCTACCCTTTTCCCATTGAATTGCTTTTGTGCCTTTGTTGAAATCACCTGGCTATATTTGTGTGGGCCTGTATTTGTGTGGTCCTTACTGTTTCATTGATCTATTTGTCTGTTCTTTTGCTAAGAACACACTGTCTTGATTACTGGCTTTAGAGTAAGTCTGAGAGTTACTCAGACTTACTGTGAAGTAAGGAGTGACAGTCCTCTGACTTTGTTGTTCTTTTTCACTGTTTTGTTGGCTCTTCAAGCTCATCTGCTTTTCCACAGAAATTCTGGAATAAGTTTATTGACATCTTCAAAATAGCTTTCTGGACTTTTGACAGGGATTGTGTTGACTCTGTTGATCAAG
The DNA here is from genome assembly GCF_000001405.40 of Homo sapiens. Taxonomy (NCBI): domain Eukaryota; kingdom Metazoa; phylum Chordata; class Mammalia; order Primates; family Hominidae; genus Homo; species Homo sapiens. The sequence continues at coordinate 13,910,522 of NC_000018.10, forward strand.
TGGAGAAGATTAAAAAAGTGTGTTTCTTGCTGTTTTGCAAGTTTTCTGATTTTGGTATTTAAAACATATACTACAAAGTGCCTGAGGGGGAGCTTGTACAGCTTCCTGCAGCCTGCCTGGAGGAGAGA